>NC_000002.12:83528392-83833775 GCF_000001405.40 Homo sapiens
AATAGAGATTTTAAAAATGTCTGATTTTATAAGATTTCATTTTAAAAAGTATGCTATTTAAATATATATTTATATAAAAATGAAATCTTATATTTATATCAAATGCAATCTTATAAAATCAGACATTTTTTAAATCTCTGTTTATAACTGTTTGGTATCTAATCTTACCTATACATTTACATATATATACCTACATATATGTGTGGAATTTGTGATCTGAATAGCCCCTAAGCCAGCATTATAAAAAGCTTCTGCATTTCCTTTAGAAATGCCATGGTTATCACAGTCACTCAAGGGTGTCTCAACGCATTTCATTGCTCAGAATTGCAACAAAAGCAACTCTAACTCCGATAGGATTTTATCATGCTGAAGGATCTCAAGGCATTTTGAAAACATATTAAAAATAAGATGTGAGTCCAACTTGAAATGTTTGTAATTCATGAAAGGTTGATGAGCAGGTCTCAGCACCCACTCATGATCAGTGTTAAGTGCTTGCCTGTGGGGATTGTGGTATCGCCCTTAGATACCCAGGACAATCATGTCATACAAAACAGAGATGGCATGTGTCCTTGCCTGACAGATGCTGATAAAGTGGTGACAAGAATAACAAGTAACTAAAGAGATCATTATGCCAAAATCCTCTGTCTGAGACTACACAGAATGGCATAAATATCAGCTGTAGTGTTATACAATGTCTTCCCAAACCAGTAGAAACTGTCATGGCCTGCAGACAGAGATACAGCAGAATTAAAAGGCAGGATATCAGACCATACCAAAAGAGAAGATGTGTAACTTGTAGAGGTGTTATGGGCTAATATATAGAAGCAAGATCAAAAGGACTAAGTATTAAATGCTAAAGAAGCTGCTAAAAGTAAGGAATAGAGATGCTGGCAGTTTTCAGCAGAGTTGACAGGAAATAAGATACAAGTGAAGAAATTTAATGATATGCCACAAATCCTACACAACTGCTCGAGATGTGTCTTCCTGGATGGCTGGCTCAGGGCCTAATTCATAACAAACACTAAATAATCATGTACTGAATGAATAAAAGTAGGCTTTAAAGAGAGTATGTTGCAGTCATAGAATTTATAATTTCTATTCTTTCTTTATTTTTTTCCATTGGCTTATGGTTCTTCTCTCTCACTGGACCATGAAGAAGAAAAGAGATTATGTTGTAGTGGCTGTGTCTCAGTACAAAGACCAGTACCTTTTAGGCAGAGCAAAGCCAGAGGGTGTAGACGTCCATTGCTCCTTGGTAATCAATGAGCGACATTTACTAAAGAGAAGTGAAGAGCTGTTGGATGACAAGGATAAGGATGGTGAGCATAGGCCCTGCCAGATGCTCAGATGGAGCTTGGGCAGACTACAAGTGCTGATTTACTTCTTCCATAGCTCTATGTATGGGTCACAGTGTTCACTTCATGGCCAACTAGGGGCCATGAGTGTCCTCTGCTGCCAACACCAGATGTTACTCTCCATGAGATCTCTATGTGTATGACTATGCCATCCTGAGCTCTACTGATCTCTCTCCTTCTTTCTCATTTTGGTTTTCTCTTCCTCTCAATATTGGGAAAACCTTTTCTACTTTATAGTGCTAAGATGTTAATTTTTATCTCTGCAGATTTCCTAAGTCCACAGGCATCTTAGGGCCTTTTTATGAAACTAAAGCATATACTCTGTATTTCTGCATTACCATTTTTTTCCTCCATGCTATTGGATATTTCAGAATTTAGGTATTTTAAAGAGGATAGGAGAATCAGGGTAAACAGAAACTGGAACTTTTGGCTTCCTTTCTCTCACAGCTTTTCTCTCTCATGTGTCATCTTCTAGCCACACTCTCCTATGCTCATTTTCTGAAATATATCTGTCCCCTTAGAGCTCAGTGCCTTCACACATTCTGTTCCCACCTCCTGTGCCTGTCTTCCTTCCTTCCACAAAGCTGACACTTCTCCTCAAGTCTCAGATGCAATGTCATTGTTTTAAAAACTCTTTCCTGATTACACAATTAAAAGTTGGTCACATCTTCCGTAACATTCTGATATGGTTTGGCTCTGAGTCCCCATCCAAATCTCAACTTGAATTGTAATCCCCATAATCCCCACATGTCAAGGTTGGAACCAGTTGGAGGTAACTAAATCATGGGGGTGGTTTCCCCCATGCTGTTCTCATGATAATGAGTGACTCTCATGAGATCTGATGGTTTTATAAGAGGTTTGGCATTTCCCCTGCTTGCACTCATTCTCTCTCCTGACACCCTGTGAAGAGGTGCCTTCTGCCATGATTGTAAGTTTCCTGAGGCCTCCCCAACCATGTAGAATTGTGAGTCAATTAAACCTCTTTTCTTTATAAATTACCCAGTCTCATGTATTTCTTCATGGCAGCATGAGAGCAGACTAATACACACTCACATATTCTGTACAGTACAATTTGTTTTTCTTCTTATATAACAATTTATCAAAATTTGCAATTGTATGAGTATGTTACTTACTAGCTTACCATACATTTTTTTCATTACCATAAATTTTGTAAGGGTGGGAATTAGGAGTTATTGAGGCAGGAAATTTAAAAAAAATAAAGTTTAAAAGAAAGAGAAGTAAGTTTTCCTGTATTAGGCTGACTTGTCCTAGAGGCAGCAACAGGCACAGCCTAGACCCAGGAAAAGTCTTGATAATATTATCTAATGTACCCTGGAGACTCTCCCAGCACTCCCTCTACAGAGGGAGAAGAAAAACAAATTTTCCTTTGTTTTATGGAATAAGTTTATAGATTCCTGTTCTCTATAACTAGTGACTTCAAGTATTCTGTTTTATCTACAAAGTGCAATTAAGGTCATAAGAAGCCTGAGTAGGCCTGAACTACAGCTTCCTGGGCACCATAGTGAAAGTTATAGGATAAGCCCATGCCCAGGCAAACCTAGATAATGAACATCTGGGTTGCTTGGCAACAGTCACGTGCAATCCTGTCTTTGTCCTGCCTCTATATCCCTGCTTTCACGCCACTGTAAGCTTGCTTCAAACTAGCCCACCCCCTTTTGTGAAGTGTGTATAAAAGTCAAGTACTGTCTTTGTTCTGGGCCTAGTGTTTTGGATGTGAGTCAGCTGGGCCTGAGTGCACTCAATAAAGATTCTCCTGTTTCAACCCGAGATCTCTCTCATCCTTCTAAATCCCACAACACTATGTTGTTTTATTTCAACACCTTATAATCTGAGCCTAGGACAAAGGGATGCTTAATAATTATTCGTCAAAGAAACGTGACAAACATTAAGATATGCAATATCCACTCTCTCCTTTCTGTAACTAGCAGAACCCTAGCTTTTGGAGATTCTACTATTTTTTTTATGTGCCCAGTTACAATACTTCCTTCTCCCTTGTCTGAGGATAAGAGCACACAGTTTTGTGCAACTCAATTTAAGTCAAATTATACTGGGAAGGGTCAGACTCAGTCTTTCGTTTTTTGTGTTTTCTTTTATTTATTTATTTTTGCCTACTCTGTGTTGGCTGGAATTTGAGTATGATGTATCTAAGAGAAGAAGCCATCACAAAAGCATTGGTGAAAAAGCCACATGCTAAGGATAATGTAACAGAAAGGTAGAAGGGCTGAGTCCTTACTGGCTTCTTTAAACCCTCACCCAAAGCATGGGCTCTACCACTGGAGTTCTTCACCTGTGAGGAAAATCAGTCTTATTTTGGTTAAGCTAGTAGAGTCAGGCTTCTATTAAGTGCAATCCCAATTCAAAATGTGATTTTAGGTAAGTCATTTCATATGCTAACTTATCCAGATTCTAATTTAATCACTTTGCCATTGCATAAGATAATTTCTAAGATCACTAGTTCTATCACAGGTTTTCCTTTAAAATAAAAACACTATTATCTAAACTAAATTTTAATTATTCCTCTCATTTTGAAAACCAATGAGCTATATGAATTTTTAAATAACTACTATGTATAAGACAATATAGCAGATGGCTTGATTAATGATATTTCCTTTTTAAATGTACATGTTGTACATTTTCTCTATTTTCTACTTTTTCTCTGATTTTTTTTTAAAGTTTCAACACATCATTAATTTAAATGTTTGTAATTAAGAATTCATGAGAAGACTGAAAGGGTCAGTTTTCAGATTTAATTGTATGGAATC
This sequence comes from Homo sapiens, assembly GCF_000001405.40. NCBI lineage: Eukaryota > Metazoa > Chordata > Mammalia > Primates > Hominidae > Homo > Homo sapiens. The sequence goes on from NC_000002.12 coordinate 83,532,531, forward strand.
AAATATTATTTTCTTCAGCAAATTATACTGAAGACTAGCTTGTGGTAGGGCAGAGATGTGTAATTTAAAGCAGTGATTTCAAAATCTTGCTTTATAAACCAGTGTTACACAAGCTACATGAAATCACTTGGGAGTGTTTACAATCCAATATCAAACTCCTATGTGTAGTAAAGAATTTAACTTTGCCCAAAAAGAGGTCTGGCCTTTGCCCTTGACTTCTTGGAGGTAACATCTAAGTCCTTGGAATGTCATACATGATAAGATCCTTTCTTTGTCTGTGAGCCTAATAATGTGATTTAGGATGGGACTAAAAACCATACCATGAATGTGGTTTGAGTTACAAGGTGTTAGCTTGATCTCCTGAGAGGCTGGAAAAAGAGATCAGCTGATGGACAATCAACCATGCCTAAATGATGGAGCACCAATAAAGATGCCTGCCACCAAGGTTCAGCTGAACTTCCCTGATTGACAATATCCTATGTATGTTCTCACACATTATTGTTGGCAATAATTAATGCTGTCTATAATTCCATGGGGAGAGAACATCTGAATGCTCCATGTTGCATCACTTCTGGGCTGTACCCATGTGTCTCTTCCCTTGGCTGATTTTAATCTGTATCCTTTCTCTGTGATAAACCATAGCTGTGAATAAAACAAATTTCATTGAGTTCTGTGAGTTCTGCTAGTGAATTATCAAAACCAAGGGTCATTTGGGTAATTTCCTGAACTTGTAGTTGGTGTTATAAGGGAAGGTACATTATGTGGGCCCTGTTCCTAACTTTGTGGTTGCCCAACTATTGCAGCCCAGATACCCGAATTCTGTAGCTATGGGATGTTTATAGATACCTTGATTTGGAAACTGTATTAAGAAATCAGTTGTGTTTAGCAATTGGGAAAGAACCATTTCTATATTAATAATTTGCACCATACGTATTAACAATAAGCATTTATTTAATTTATATGTGTACTGTGCCTGTGTGTTTGTGCATGTATAAGTAGTTTTGTGGGTAATCACAATTAATTCTGTAATTAAGCCAGGTCAATTGCATTCTTCTTAGAAAAGTATTTCTTTTGATTAAATAAAGTTATTGTAAGTACTTGACTACATAAAACATAATTTTCCTTGGAAAATTATACATAGAAAAGATAAATTTAGTTAATGGATCTGAATTAAAATTATATGATTTAACAGCTGCATATCTTAGTAAAATAGTGTTTTAGACAGGCAAAGTGTTAAATTTAAATCACATGCAAATGCTTTTTAAGATATTTAAAAATCTTTGTTTCTTCTCTAAAAATTCTTTTACATTTCTCAAAGACTGGCTACATTATCAAAGTGCTCTGGGGACACATACTTTGCCATTTTTGTTTTATTTCTGCAGTGAATTAAAACACAGCCTGTACAATCAAACTCATGGCCCAGTCTTGTCATCCAAGCTTATTGTCTAATTCCTTCAGTAGGAAAGTAAAACAGCTAGGGACCATGGCTTCAAAGATTTTTGTTACGTCAACAGTGTAAATTAAATGAAATAATTTCCTTGCCTAAGAAGGGGAAAATTATTCAAACTACATTTCATGTTTGCCTATTTTCTTCCTGTTGCTTATGCCAATAGGGGACACAAGAGGCGATTTCAAGAAACACTAATAGGATTGTGAGAAAGTTGGCCAAGGAAGAGGAACAGCCAATAAACGGTGACTTGTCAAGACAGTTAGGACCCTGGGAGCTAAATCTGCCTGGAGAACTCTGGAAATCAGTGTGGAACACATACTTCAGCATCATCTCAGCTAATGGACAAGTAAGGTGAGATATTTATACCCTAATTCTTATCAGTCATCAGTTGGTGGATATTGCAAAGGAGCATTAATTTTGCAACCTTTCTGGCCAGCTGTGCTGGTAGGCAGAAAGATTTCTAGCCTCCAGAGAAATCCCTCAAACAAATGGCAGCTGAACTCACCATATACTACGATAGTAGGATGTGAAGGTACAGGAATTTGCAAAAACAGTGTTTACTATATGAGTTGATACAAACTTGGCACCAGAAATGGTTGTAAGAAGCAGTCGCAAAAAGATGCAGGCCAAATCTAAATGAGAATCATGCCTAAAGATAATTTTGCTGGTTGTAGAATTGCAATGGAAGTTGAATTCACTACTTTGCCATGCTTCTTATGTAAAAATAAGGGCATATTTTAGCAAAGAGTGAGATTCAAAAACACTTAGAATAGAGACATCTGTGTGTATTCAAAGTTGGGAATCTTGAATCCATAACTCTCTCTGAGATATCATTCCCAGCATAGCAGCTTGTACCCTCAAATCTGAGGACATCCTAATTTAATGACCATGTAATAACATCATTAAAGTAAGCTGGATTACAAAGGGATTTCTATCTTCTCAGGACCCACTCCAACCACTTTTTAGTCCTTCTATTAATGAGATGCTAGAGTAACAGGGGCTAATTGCCAGCACTGAAGGTCCAGATCAGGTGGGTTTGATTACTTTAATAGGCTGCAAGAGTGAGGATATTTTGACCTACATAGTTCTTTGCAATGCTTAATTGATCATGGTGTTCCTAAAACTAAAACACATGAACTATCTACTGGGCAAAAAAGGTTAACTCAGCAGACCTCAGTTGCTCAAACACTGCACATTCCAAACAAGGCCTATTTTAGGATTGGTCCTTGACTGGTTCCTGGGAGATAATCTCTGAGCCCTTGGAATATTCTGCCTGACAAGAGTGTTTTTGTATGCCTGAAGCCTTGGGTCTTGTTGTACGGATTGGAACAAATGAGTTTATTCTAACAATATGATTTATGGCAAATGCCTATGTTTGCTCTGAGGGTAAGGGTGAAGTTTGAGCAGCTGAGGTCAGTTATGTGGGAGCTGTATATCCATGTGACTTGCCCCAGTAAAACCCCAGAACACTAAGGATCCGGTGAGGTCCCCTGGTTGGCAACACTTTACACATGCTGTCACACATTATTGCTGGGAAAACTAAGCACCCCCTTTGAGACTCCACTGAGAAGGAAACACCTGGAACTTGCTCTTGGTTTCTCCTAGACTTCACCCTCTCCATGGCTTCAGATTGCTCTTTTTGATCTTTGTCTTTTCTCTGTAACAAACCATAACCATGAATATAACAGCTTTTGGGAGTCCTGTGCATCCTTTCAGTGAATCATTGAGCCTGAGGGAGGTCTTGAGAACCTCTGACACACCCGCTAAAATATCACTTCATCTACATAAAAGAGAAAACTCTAGGTCCATTCTCTAGAAACCTGACCCGAATCAACATAAAGGGCAGCTATGGCTTCTCCCCCAGCTTTCTGACTGAAGCCCATGTTTTGACTGGAGCACCTTGATTAAACAGAAGACCCTCTGAGGAAACACCACAGACAAAAGTGTACATGGTAAATATTCCTCCAAGATTTCCCAAAGGATCATATGGCTGTTTTCCATCATGATAGAAAGGTAAATATGCAGACTGTTTATGGCTTACTAGACCGTGGCTTTGAAATGATGCTAATTTTTAGGAAACTAAAATGTAATTGTGATCCACCAGTCAAAGTAGGAGCTTAAAGTTGCAGGGGAGAAAGCGAAATAAAGCAAATGTCCCCACACATGTAAAAAAAGATTATTTTGTAGTTGAGGCATACATACACAAGTCTCTATTTTTGATTCATCATTATTTATTCTATTTGAAATAAAATCTTTATTAATTTTAGTGAGGAAAAAATAGTATGTTGAATATCACAAGAGAGTTTGTTTATCAGAATCTCCTCCTATACAATGGTTATAAGTTGTAGCTATAAATCACTAAGACCATATTGGTTTAACATACATACCATAACTTTTAATAAATTTAAATCCCTTACATCCTCAGGTGCTCATCTTAAAAGGCAATACGTTAATTCAAGCAAATCACTTCCCTCATTCAATTTGTGGATAATCTATGGGATTGTTTTAGCTTATTTTCTTAGGAGGGACTGCATTATGTTCACTTATGTTACTGTTATCATTTGAAAGTTGATCTTATTTTCTAGAAAGGACAAACAAGCATTTATAGGCAAATATAGCCAATAAGCAGCTATTAACTGGGAACAGCAGTTTGGTTAACAAAAGGAAAGGTCTATTAGGAGTCAAAAGTGCATGAGAGTGTTTGCATGTAAAAGAAGTCAATCAACCAGTCGTAAATATTGTCTTCAAAACGTCTGCATTAAGTTATTTTTTTCTGACCAACCTTGTGGGCTGGGATTCCACAGTAAGGTCAGGAATGTCAGAGAGAAAAATCATTACTATCTTCACATGTTCTGACATGTAGATATTCTCAGGCCTCCCAGGGCCTGTGTGGTTTTCACCAGCAAGCTGTGATGTTTTCTCTCTAGGTCATTCTAGAAGCACCATATTTTATGACTGGTTGCTACCTTTTCATAAATACTGTTTTTTTTTCAAATCCTGTGGAAAAATCAGAATAAATGTCAAACTTGCTGTGTGTCTTTGTCATTCAAAATAAATAGCATGATATGGTTTTTCACATCAAAGTTATTTTTTTCAAAAATATTGCTTTATCTGATTTTTTTATCTTTGAATATCATACACATGGTAAATTGTCTACTGAATGAACTAAATCTCTGAAATTTTTATTTTATCACATATTGGGAAGTTGTCTACCTATGCCATGTACCATAATTGATATCTTTCCTCTCTTTTTACGTGTTTGGAGCCAATTCAGATACATAGTCTCTTGACATAATTCTCATTGCTAAATCTATGGACAGATTTGCTTAACTTCACATAAAAAATTATATTCAGATTTTGCTCTTTGTAATTGTTGTTCATTTTTATACGAACACTGAACACTACCCACATATAGTCCCACATCTGTTCAGAACAGAAAAAAAAGACCAAACACCTATCAAAGGCTCTGCTTTTGCTCTTTGAATCCCATTGTAAAAACTCTTGTTCAAAATACCTTTATTCTACTTTTTAAGATCCAAAACCCCAAACAGAAAACCTTTCCTTATCCTATAGTTAACTGTCTTTACTTAATATATAAAATTAAAGAACCTCCATTTGTGATAAAGGAAGGCCTCACTTCAAATAATCCAACCTTCTGAGGTATCAGGTGTAAACAGCGAAGTGTCATTCTTTATGAGTCAGAGAGACTGTAATCTCTGTTTTAAGAAAATTTAATGTGTTATCTACCTAAGAATTAATCTAGGCCAGGCACGCCTACAGGCTCACGCCTGTAATCCCGGCACTTTGGGAGGCCGAGGTGAGTGGATCACAAGGTCAAGAGATCGAGACCAGCCTGGCCAACATGGAGAAACCCCGTGTCTACTAAAAATACAAAAATTAGCTGGGTGTGGTGGCACGCGTCTGTAATCCCAGCTACTTGGGAGGCTGAGACAGGAGAATCGCTTGAACCCGGGAGGCAGAGGTTGCAGTGAGCCGAGATTGCGCCACTGCACTCCAGCCTAGCTACAGAGAGAGACTCCATCTCAAAAAAAAAAAAAAAAAAAAAAAAAAAAAAAAAAAAAAAAGAATCTTATGCTATATACCATCTTTATTCACCACATCTTTAATTTTCATCCTGTATAATTTTCTCTTTATTCTGTACATTTTTTACTCTAAATTCCATAGAGCATGCACTCATTTTATTTCCTGAGATATCTTCTGAATGTCATTTTTCAGCAAACAAGAAAATAATTAAAAAGTAAACAAATAACAATACAAACTCGTGACAGACCTGCTGGCATTGATACTCCAAGTTTCCCTGGGTCTGTTACTCATCCCTACAGACCCAGGAGAAAATAAACTCCTGTTTCACCGGCCCTTCAAGTCAACTTGCCGAACCCCATTCCAAGCTACAGTTAGAACAACAGCCTTCAGTAAGCAATCACCTCTAAAGTCAGCATGACTTTCAGATTCCTTCTCCTTCCTTGCTCATCTCTACAGTTTCTCTGCTCATTCATCAGTTATAACCATTAACTTTACTTCATGCTTAACAGGGTAAACAAATAATCAGATTGAAATTATCATCAATTTCAACTTCCAGATGCATAAAACTATCAGATTCTAAGCCCCTCAGTTCCTCTTTCTGTCATTGCAATAAATGAACATCCTTTGTCTTATGTAAGCTCTCCATCTGTGCTCTAGACTGAGAGATCTAGACACCCCCACAAAACTTCTCAAGGATTAGACCATCTCTCTCCTCCAGCATCATCCTATCTCCTCCACTAGTGTTTCGTATCCTCTATTACTACTTCAGCATGTGGCACCATTGTCTCTTTTTATCTCTTTTCTCTTATTATCTCTTTTACTTGCCTCCATTCTTTTCTCTCTAGGGAAAAAAGAAGGAAGGGGCAGAGGGAGGAAAAAAAGAAGGAAAGAAGAAGTAGGAGGGACTAGAAAAGAAGGGAGAAAAGAGAAGAAAAGAAAAAGAAAAAGTCTCAAGTTTACTTATCCGTGGTCTCATCTTGGTTCTCTCAATTCCTTCACCTAGACAAAAACAAACTTCTTGGCAGAATCCCTGTCTTTATTTTCCAGTCTTCTGTGTCATGTAGGATGTTTTTCATTGCACATCACGGAATACCCAGTATAGATGATTGGGTTAAAAATAGCCCTTATGGGCTAAAGCCATAAAGGTCTTACATCTCATGTAATATATAAGACATGCAAAGACAGGGCTATGTTGATGGGTTAATTCAACTACTTGGCAGTTTGATTAAGGGCTCAGGCCATTCCATCTTGACATTTTACATATATATATATGTAAAATATATATACATATATATGTAAATATATTTTATATATATGTATATACATATACATATATATTTTACATATATACATATACATATATATTTTACATATATATACATATACATATATATTTTACATATATATATACATATACATATATATTTTACATATATATATGTAAAATGTCAAGATGGAATTGCCTGAGCCCTTAATCAAACTGCCAAGTAGTTGAATATATACATATATATGTAATATATATATATGTGTCTGTATATATATATATATTCTTATATATATCATGTTATGTGGACATCACCCCGTAACTGATGTCCTTGTAAGAAACCCACCAGGACTGGATACACAGTGGGGCAACCACATGGAAAGGCAGTGAAAGGATGCCATCTGCAATCCAAGGAAATAGGACTCAGAAGAAAAGAGTCCTTCTGGCACTTAGATCTTGGACTTCCTGTCTCTAGAACTATGAGAAAATTAATTGCTCTTGTTTAAGCCACCAAGTCTGTGGTAGCCTTAGCAAACTGATACATCCAAGTTGTGTTTTTAAGGAATGAGGGCACTTTTGAGAACACAGTACAAGTTTTGTAACAGGGTTCTTCTTAGAGAAGAGTGTACTGGGCCTCCCATTTTTTTGCATCTGGCTGCACTGTTTACTTATTGTCTTCAGGGAAAATTTCTAAACCCCCTTGTTGAGAGTAGTCATCTACATGGAGATAATAATAGCATCCCTACTGGATTGGTGAAATGATGATAAAATGAAACAAGGTTTATACATTTCTTAACACAGTGTCTGCTTATACTAAGTTCTGCATAAAAGTTATATACTTAATTTGCAATAACTTTCAACATAATAGAATTGATTCTCTCAGAAGTTTTTCTTTCCTTGAACAGTGATCAAGCTTTGTGAAATTTCATGCAAAAATACACAGATACCGTAGTTCTGTTTTAGAATTCTTTAATGTCAATCCTTTTTTTTTTTTTTTTTTGCAGAAAACATTTGTTAGGGGTTGCATGATATAAAGGTAGTTAATACCACTGAATTGTACACTCATAAATGGTTAAAATGGTTAAAATGGCAATTTGGTTTTATATATGCGTATATATTTATACAGCTTTTTGTTTTATATAAGTATATATAAAACAGAATACATATGCACATATGTGGTATATACACACACATGTATAAACACAAGATAAAAAATAATAATGCAACATACCAAAAATCATTGAATATTATATTTTAAAACGATGAATTGTACAGTATATCAGGAGTGATATTTATTTGATTAAGGATATTTTATAGATATTCTCAATAAGATAAATGCCATTTAGGTTAGCTTCAATTAATTTGTTTATAAACTATTTTTTTACAGCAAGAAGAAAATATAAAATAAGCTTTCAGCAATTTAAAATGCAGCAGAAGGAGTTACATGCCATTTTCCAGAAAAAAATATCAACCTGTAGCAGATTTGCAATCTGAACCTGAGGTTAGTGCTTAACAGTGGTTGTTGGAATTGGAAATACCACCTGCTTCCATTTCTGCAGTCACTTGAGAGAAAGCAAATACAAAGCATGGTACCAAATAGAGTTGAGGGCATTGAAGTGGCAATCAAACACACTGCAGAAACAAATGGAAGAGAGTGATACCACAGACTCAGGGAGGATGCAGTTCATCCATCACATAACCAGCCAAAATTGCTATTTGTTCTTTTCCAACTTGTGAAAAGATGAGACTCACTTCTCTGTCTTCACATGGAGAAGCAACTCAGGTCATTTAAAACCCCCAAATACACCACATGTTTCAATATAACCTTACATCAAACATTTAAAAAAAATGAAGAAAGTAATTGGAACTAAAACACTAATTAAAATAACTTACTGGATCAATACAAATATTTGAGGTTTCTCAATCATTTTTTGCATATTAAGTACTTACTAATTTTATATTCTGTTTAATTTTATATCCTAGTTTAGATATCCTAGGATTTACTTATTATTATTCTGAAAGTATGGGAGAATTTGAAAAGAATTTTAATTATTCAAATACTTATTTTTGTAATTTATTGTATCAGTCACTTCTTACATGTTGGTTTGAATCCTCTCATCAATACCTGTCTCATTTTCATCTGTGGCTGCTGTGATTACCAGCTCTGCATGGACATTGCCAAACTTCAAGCCAGCAAATCAAGCTGAGAGAACATCTCCTGAGGTCCCTGCCTCCTGCCTCACATCTCGTACATCTTGATTACCTTGCTGAGGCTGCTCTATTGACCTTAAGCCAGCCTCACAGCAGAGAAAAGATTTCCAGAAAGACTTTTATTTATCATTCTGTGGAAGGAAACTTTGGCTATAGTTGATGAGAATTAATTTGTCTCCCTTGTCACCTCCATGCAAAATGCAATTCTGAATAGTTTCTTAGTAGATGGTCCAGAGACTTCAAGAGATCTAGCAATTAGCTCTTAGCAAGTGGATGCTTTAGTAAGTGGCTTTGACATAGCCTCAAATGTTTCTATGTCCTTTCATAACTTAATCCTAGCCTTGTCTTGCTCTCCTGTTATTTAGAATTGCATGCAAACCTAGTATCAGGCTCTGCTTTCAGGTGAAGCTGGGCTATATATATATATATATATATATATATATATAATTTTTTTTTGCATATTGACACTCTAAAAGTGTTACAGCAGCATACCCCTTCCCTGTGTTCAAGGCAATTTGATAACTTATTTCCATGCCGAGCTCATTGAGAGCTCATTATGAACATATTCTGAAGAGAGAGGGTCCCATCTGAAGTGTCATGAAGATGCCATCCTGTTCCTAAAGACATTCATTCATTGGTATGCATCTGAAATTAGAATTATGATGAAAATAAAAATAATACTGTGTGAATTTCTATGCCAAGATGTTATATATTTTGCTAAATTTATTCCTCATATTCAATGTGTATAATGCTATGTGATTGGTAGCATAAAATAGCTTTGTTATTATTGCTTTCAAGGATTATTTTCTTTTCTGATTTTCTCTTTTAAAATGCAGCTAGTCTCTGAACCAGGGGATGACAAATCCTCCCTGAAAGAACAAGTAATAAATATTTTAGGGTTTGTGGACCAAGAGGTAAAATCAAGGATATTACGTAGATATTTACATAACTATTTAACATGTAATCATGTAAAAATAGAAAACATGGTTTTATTTGTGGGCCATATAAATTTGTAGATTGGCCAGATTTAGTCTTATAGCTTGAGAATCTCTAAACCTAGAAAATATAAATTATTTTATATGTGTGTTATAGTTAAATAAAAAGTTCTTAAAACTCAGTCACTTAGAATAAGTAAGACTGACTTAAACTACTTCCGATTATTTTCCTGGAGGAACCCGAAGCAAAAGATCAAGGCTGATCCTGAACTGCTGCACTAGCACAGCGAGGGGGCCAGCATCCCTTCTGACTCGCTGGTCTTTCAGGATTACCACTGTTACATATTTTAAATATCACTCCTGATACAACATACTGTACAATTCACCTTTTAAAATGTATTATTCAATAATTTTCAGTACGTTTCATTATTATTTTTAACTTGTGTTTATATATGTGTGTGTATGTGTATATACGTATGTATTTTGTTTTATATATACATATATAAAACAAAAACTGTATATCTATATACATGCACATATATACATATATATAACAAAATTGCCATTTTAACATTTATAAGGGTACAATTCAGTGGCATTAACTACCTTATGTTATGCAACCATCACCTCTATTTCCAAAATGTTTCATGTACTCTAACAGAAACTCTGTAACCATCAAGCAATAAACTCTCAGCCCTTAGTAACTTCTAATGTACTTTCTGTCTCTTTGGATTTGCCTATTCTAGATAAATTACAAAAGTGATATCATACAATATTCATCCTTTACTATCTTACTTATTTTACTTAACATAATGTTTTAAAATATCATCCTTGTGTTAGGATATCATTTCTTTTTATGGCTGAATAATATTCTATTATACATATATACTACATTTTGTTTATTCAATCATCCGTTGATGAACACTTAGGATGTTTTCACCTTTTGCCTACTGTGAATAATGTTGAGATAAACATTGGCCTGCAAGTATTTGTTCAAATCTCCATTTTCTTGTGTGATTTTTTAAAAAATTAGAATAAATTTAATTGTCGTGATATCTTATCATACCTTTTGATCATCATAACAACCTAAACATACTTGTTGAGTGCTTACTATTTGCCCAGCATTGTGCTACACCTTTCATCTCTTTTATCTCATTTAATGCTGGTAGTTGCTCAATAAGGTCAGTGTTATAAGACTCATTCTACAGACTGATGACTGACCTCTCATGTAAAACGATTTGAGAAAGGCCATATAACCAATAAGTAGCATAAGCAAACTTCAAATCTAGGTCAGTTCTGAGAGAACCCTCTATGATATAAGAGGCACAGAAATTCTGCAATTGGAACTACTCTCTGCTTCCACAAATTCAGAGGCCTGGGAGTTGGAAGAGATTCCCTGAAAGTTGTCTATTTACTAATAATTTATTTAATTAATTGATACATTCAAATATATATGCATTTACCAATTTACATGAACAGAAAAGATATCTGCCCTCACAGCCACCCTCTGTCCTACACCGAAGAGATGAACACCTCTAACAATTTCTTGTATTAGTTTTTCTGTTGTCTAAGAGTAGAATTCCAAATATTATGCTCTCTAATTTCTTGAGTTTATTTATTTCACCAAAATATCTATTGACTCAGCATAGACCATTTTGTTGGTTATAGTTTTAATTATTCCACTGTGTACATATATAGCCATAAATAATACATATAAATATACATGTATGTTATAAGAATTACAGCACTCATTTAAGAAGAGTGGGTTAGGTTCCCTCCACTACCTATGATTTCAACCTTCTTTTATGATTCTCAACTTCACATTACTTTAACATCATCAGTTTATGCAACTCTAATTCTTCTTTGTTTTGCCTATAGATTAATTCTAAAACAATAATAATAAGTTCAAATGTATGATTACATAAGTATCATTTAGACTCACATGGGGTTATTAGAACTATGCAGTAAGAATGCAAATATCTTAATCTGTGACATTTTGAGAACAAATATTTGTCATTATTTTTCTATAACGCATCAACTCAAAAATCCTACTCAAAAATCATACACAATCAATTCTACTATATATTGTACACTATATATTGTATCATTAATCTTACTCACAGCTTTTATAGTAAAAGCTTAAATTTAAATATTAAAGGTGTCTTTAATTTTCTACAGAAAAAAATTAAATGTCTTCTTAATGTAAGATCTTCATCTAGCTTTTCAATTATATTGAGTATTGAATGGTAAAGTATAAGCTTATTTTCTAAGTCTTTCAAACAGTTGTCATTTCAGAAATTCTTCTATCGCATCCCTGTTTTAATATGATTCTTTCATGTATTCTATCTTCCCCTGTCTTGGTTTTATTTTTGTTTTGATTTAGTAATTTCTAAAGAATTTCTGAGACCCCAGAAGTATGAAAATATCTTTATTTTACTCTCATACTTTATGAATAGTTTGATTTGGTAGAGAGGTCTTCATTCAAAGTCAGTCTCTCACAGACCTTTGGAGATGATGTCCCATTGCCTTTTTGAATTCAATATTCCTGGTGAAAAATATGATACGTGTTTGGTTGTAAGTAACCTAGGTTTTCTTCACTGGAGAATTTTCTACTAATTTTATATTTTTAAATTCTGTATTCTAAAATTTCCTGAGAATGCATTTGATTTTTTAAAAAATTTCCCTGTCCAACAATCTGTGTGTTTTTAATATGAAGATATATGTACTATCTCAATTCTAGGAAATTATTTTTTATAATTTTGAAATTATACAATGGGAGGTCAGTAACTAGCAAGTCATGTATTAATACATGGGTCAACACAGGAGCTGCAGAGAAATCCAGATAAAGGATTAGAAACAGAAGGCTCAGGTTGACTATCAAAGAATGTGTTAACATCTGAAAAAAAGCTGGCCATATAAGCTATAATTCTGATAGTTAGACCTGGATTTATTTAAGGATGTTCCAATGTGGGCTGAGCACAGCTGTGGATAATGAGCACAGAAGCAGGTCCTGGGAATGACTGTCATCCTATAAGGTGTATCAGCCATTGGGAAAAAGAGATTGAAAAACAAACTTGAATTATTGAGAAAATTCCCAGTGGCTGTTGAACTTATATGTTCTTAGACAGGTCAGTGTATCTTTAATTCTGAGAAATGGGTAAGATAAAACAGACATCCCAACTAGCATGCAAAGGTAAGGACAAGGCTCAGAAATGAAATAAGTACCAGGATATCAGCCCTAGCATAGAGCATCCTATGACTGCTGAATAAAGTGATGTCCTGTCCTCGAATGTGAGGCCATTCTACTTTAATACCTTCTGCTTCAGGCTTCCTAGTTTCATAAAAATTGGTCTTAGTCAACATATCTGGATGAAATAGAATTGTAAAAGTAGAATCAACAAAATAGGATGGCTCCAAAGGTATCTAGAAGTACAAGAATACAAAATAAAAATAAGAGTTGCCTAGGGTTAGTGGTTAACAAGGCTCAAGTGTCCAAAGGTGGCCCTTGGCTTGGAAAATACATATAATATATGTAATAAGGATTCTTTTTCTTTTATGGAAAAAATATATAATATATGTAATAAGGATTATTTTTCTTACTCTATTATGAATTTACCATTTAGTTCAAACATGCAAAAATCCTTAGTATTGATAAATCTTCAGAAATATCTTTTCACCATATCATTCCTTTTGACATTTTTCCTTTTTCTAATGACAAGAAGATGAGTGATATTTAGAGATTTTCCACTGGCAAAAGGTTCCATGAATAATAACATTTGAGATGCATAAACTCAGGAAATTCTGTCAGCAGTTACTTTCTTATGTAAGATTACTTGAAGTGCTGAATTTCCATTTTTGAGTATCAGAACTAGAATCTAAGGATAGAGGTTCCATCACACGTTAACCATAAATGGTTCAGGGTTACTTACATAACTTTACCGAGCCCCAGTTTCCTTATCAGTATTATTACGGTAATAGCAAATAGGTTCAAGAGTTGTAATTCATGAAGGATGTAATATAAGTTTACTATTGGTATTTTATTTTTCAAAGGCCAAAGCTTACACATGATAGACACCACTATGATTAATAACAGACTTTGCATAAATATTTGGTTAAGTCATTGAATCTGTGCTCTGTCTAGATTCTGTTATGCTCCATAGAGTACAGATACGTTTTGTGTCTTTTGAGCAGGGAGTTATCCGAGTTAAACTCAAAGTCTAAGCTCTTTCTCCCTTGTAGCAGGCAGAAGCCGAACTCTTTGTTCAGTTCTTTTCCATTTAGCTGGGTTTTCTGGAGTTTGTTACACACATTTGTACGGCATAGGTTACCAGATCACTGGACAGTGTTTATGTCTCACTTTCAAGCTGCCGTGGTCACCAGGAACGCTATCCTCTCATTTCTCAAGCAATAAGAATATATTTTCTTTTCCTTCATTATAGCCAGCCATAGAAGCAACATCTGGGAACTGCACCTAGATGAAAAGTCATAAAATGGAAAACCTGACCCATGACTCAGACAAAAAGCCATAAAAGCAGGAAACTTCCAGTGTTGCCACTTTTCTAGATTTTGCCTGCATCTGGCAACTCTCTAGTGACTTTAGATATTTTAAAAGTATTTTGACTAGTATTTTTAATTGTTTTGGGAAAGATGGTTGATCTGATATGAAATACTCAGCCATTACTGGAAACAGTAATTCAGATTTATTTCTAATGCAACATTTCTGAAGCTTTTATTATAATGATTGCTTTTCTTGGAATATAACCTATACACATTAACAATTACTCTACAGTATTTAGAGGTAGTGATAAAATATTCAACTTTCTCTGCCATTTTATCAAAATAGGTCAATAATAAATATAAATGGGTTGACATGCCTTCTCCACATGACAGCTAGCATATAGCAAGTATAGAATTATATGTGGACCTTCATTACTTATCCTGTCTTATCAAATTTCTCAGTGTGGGTATGAGGTCTGTGATTAAAAGAGATTGACCCATCACAGCAATATAAAGTTATGAGAGGTAACATGATCTTAAAGGCACTTGACTAATTTGAAATATTCTTTCACTAAAATAGAAAAAATGATTAAGCCTACAGCAGAAATCAGGTAGGATTATCTATCTTATCAATACTTTTTTTTTTCATGTGGAGGGAGGCTTTGTTGTAAACGGTTCTTAAAGGTCAGACAAATGATGGTTCAGTGCTGACTGCTTAAAAGGCTATCATGCAATAAACAGTAAAGTCTCCAGAGGAAAACTTTGGCTGTCCAAAGACTGATGCTGAGAACTTTCAAATTTTGGTAAGTTTTTATTTTTATATTTCTGAAGTTGCTAAAGTTTAGAGCTGCTTCAATACTTTTAGAAAACCCTGAATTAAACTTTCCATACTGGAATTTATTATAATCATTTGCTTATGTGTCTTTTTATATGATAAATTATAACTATCTTGAAGGAAGTGCCTGTATTATATTTATCTTCTTTATTGTCTGGACCATAATGGGACCCAGAATATGTTAGAAGCCCAATAAATAATATTATTCATTGATGAAATAAATGAGTAAATGTGGGCCAGGTAGTGAGGTAGTGTGTGAATACATATATACTATGTACTGTGTGTGTGCATATATATATATATATATAGTGTGTGTGTGTGTGTACATATATACTATATACTATAGTGTGTGTGTGTCACCTTTATTTATCTGAACAAAGATAAACTTGACTTTTCATATTAGGAGTGCCTTAAATCACAAATGGTTGTAGGCCAATGTGAGGTGGCAGGCCAGCAAGAATATTAGAATGCTACAATCTGGGAACTTACAACAAACTCTACATTGGTAACTCTACACTTCCAACATCAAAGACAAGACATTCCTGAAAGTGAGAAACCAAAACTTTCTCCCTTTCTTAATCCTTGTTTTGTTTAGAGCAAACCTATGGAGCTATAGGCTCAAAGCTCAGGCTGTGAATTGGATACTATACTGAAAGTATATCCTTGCATTTCCTGATTCATAAACTAGCATTTCCTTTATTCAGCCTTCATATATGTGTGTTTCTGGGCCTATACAAACAGTATGGCCTGGCTCTTGAATTCCATGATTAAAGTAGCAGCAACACACTTGCACTACTGATGAGAATATCCTTTTTATAAAGAGATTCACAGTAGATTGAGATAAATCCATTCTTTCTTGGTATAGATGATACTAATAAAAAAACCAGTGAATAAATTGAAAGATATCTATTTTTACTGGGGATGGATTAAATGGCTCTAAGAAGTACACAATCAGAGGTAGAACGATATTTTAAAAATACGTGAGCTTTAGAATATTTCAGTCATGATTTTGAATAGTGCCCAAATCACTTACAATCTATGGGATTGGATCAAAGCTATCCAGATTATGTGAACTCATTTCTTTTATCGTGAAAGTAAATATGGCAATATTAGTTTTAAAAGTTGTTGAGTAGGATCATAAATGATACGGATAAAATACAATCAGGCATATACAGACTCTCTATAAATAAATGATTCTGCTATTAGTCTGTCTGTGCAGTTCATTGCTGTTTTAAATAAACACTCAAATTACGTGTCAATCCCCTGATACTCTAACCAACAAGGAACTGGTTTTGATGTCCAATTTCTTAACAATAAAATTACCTCGATGTAATTGCAACAATATATGATATTTTCTCTCATTTGCCTGGTAATTTGTATATTTGTTGATTAGGGAAATACCTACAAGTGAAAGAGGTAGCTAGAAATTAATATCACATCAAAAGGAAATTTAGAATTGAGAAGTTTCAGCCATATTCAGGTGAAAATCTTCCTGTATATTGATAAAAAAGTGCAATCACTTTATTCAACCAAGACTGAAATTGAACATTTTAAGTATATTTTCAATTTTATTTTGAAGAGGGTTTTTATTTAAAAATATTTATGAGGCTGTAATAGAGACGTAGAGACACAGTTTGATTGTATGAACTGCTTTTATGTAAACTGAAGGACAAGGAATTCATGAAAACATGATCAGGGAATAGTTATATTCCAAGGCTCTTAGAAAGCTATAAATTGCATGGCAGTTTCTAAGCCAAAAAATGAAAACCTAGTAAAACGTGTTGAAATAATCTTGTTGGTTCTCAGGCGTGTTCCCAAACCTGTGACAGTGTTTTATTACTAAAAAGAAAAATTCAAGTTCAAAATGAATATCTCTCAACTTCCAAATCAAGCTAGATAAGAAATAACTTTGTAAATCTATTTGAAATTATATTATTGAATTTTCATCAAGTGCTCCTGACTTACCAGGATGGCCATGATAACGGTGCTCTTATGAGTTCTAAACTCTTGGTTATTTCTTGAAAGGGTTATATAATATAAAATGATATTTAATCTTATGTCAATCTAAAATTAATCTTAATTTAATTAAAAACATTAAATTTAATATTATAAAAATTACATAATGAATATTGAGATTTATAAATGTCTGCTGTTTTATGGGCAAAACAAAAGAATCAATCATGTAAAATAGAATATTTCTGTATCAGAGCTATTATGGTCTCCATTTAGTGAAAACATTTCAGAGAACAATAGAGTTAGAAATAATATTAATGATACTGAATCTGACATCCTCATCTTATCAATGAGAGCACCCAGTATTTGGGGCAAATTTGACTCAAGAACAACAGAACTTTATTCCCAGTATAGCACACAGAACTTATAAAAACATAGAGTTCTGGATTTTTCTAGGTAATTTGGGAAGTTCTAACTTGAAAGTAGTTGAGAGTGGTATGTATACAATCTTGATTTGAATGTAAGTCAGAAAAAGCATTTTTGTAAGGCAATTCAGAATGGTGACTAGCAAAAATTGTGGCAATATATAATAATTTTCTTGCATTTGTGGCAAGGAATCATAGAAATATTGTCTTAGTCAAAACTACTCATACTTAAATGGCTGAGATGGGCAAACATTATCTTCATCCTACATTTAAAGGGTTCCCAGATATATAAGTATTGACAGAAGGCAAAGATTGTCTTCCAATTAAGATGAAAGGGTCAGATATTAATTTTCCTAGCATTTGTAGCTAGGATATAGGCATGTGGCTTTGAATTAATTTGATGTGCGAGCTCACCACACAGAATATTTGCCTCAGAAATCTCTTTTGGTGTTGATGAGAGCATGCTATGGAGAGCTCAGAAGGAAGAGTGAAACAATCTGCAGCATGTGGCTTCTAACTGAAGCATGTGTCTTCTAACAGTGAAGATGCCATTGTCTTTACCAGAATGGTGGGTAGCAGGATTGTGACCATGGATTCTGTAGCTTACCTTATCCTTCCATAAACTAACCTACAGCTTTTAAATAATTTTCTTGTGTATGTGTCTATATATTATATTGTATTTATGTAATTATATATGCACAATATATAAGTATAGAATTATTATACATGATTATATATATAATCCTCATGTGTGTATGTATATATATATATAAAATACAGCCATATTCCATTTTTATGGCATAAATATAAAAACCATGGTGAGTGCAAGAGTGTCTCAGTACAAGCAACATATATATATGTTAAAAGTTTAATAACTATTCAGCTATTTCCTATAATAGATTTTCAAGGCACAATCCCATTGACTTGGGAATTTACACAAAAACAATTACAATGTTTGTCATTTTTTCTAATCCAAGCAAACATGTTTGTCCTTTCTTCAAAGTTTGTTTCTGACTGTCCTCTTTGAACCTTTTTTGGTATATTATTATGCCTTTATTCTATATATAAAATAATTCCTAGTTTAGGAAATTGCTAGAAGAAATAAATGAGGTCGATATCATGCACCACATCAATTTAGCTATTTGGACTTCTCGGTAAGCAAATTATGCTATGTATTTTCGATGATGGTCAACGATTTCATTTGGCTACTTTGTCTAATGGTATATGTAGACAAACTACCAGATAACAACTACTATTAGCCCTCTTCCTTATTGAAGAATCACTCAGTCTTGAAGTTCTGCTCTTCATTTTCAGCTGTATCAAATCAGCATTGTTTGCTTCCTCATGTTCTTTAGCACTTTCTCAGTGTGTCCCTCAGAGCCCTGTGGCCCAGCATCAAACAGTATAAAGTACTTATAAAAGGAGGCTCATGTTTATTTCTTAGGCGTTCCTAAGTATTTTAAATAAATTGCTGAAAATATTTCCAATTTTGTGAAAACTTTAAGTCCTCAGACCCAATTGAAAGGAGTTAGCCAGCTTGCTTTAGGCAGACAGTAAGAGAAGTGTCTGCAGAAAACCTCCAACCTGTGTTTTGGGCAAATAAGGGAACTTGCACAGGGGGCTTGCTTAAACATGCCCCCAGAAGACTAAGGACCTGCATGTGCACTGGGGGGAATTGGGTGGAGCCACCAGGAATTCACACCTTGTGCAAACAGTGAACCCAGCCCCATCAGCTTTTACATAAAAGCACTTGTATTCAACTGTGAAGGGGGCAACTGGCAACCTGCTTTTCAGGACCCCTTTCTCTGTTAAGAGCTTTCCTTTTGCTTAATAAATTATATCTTTTTATAATTATTTTATTTTCAGTTCTGGGATACATGTGCAGAATGCGCAGGTTTGTTACATAGGTATACATGTGCCATGGTGGTTTGCTGCACCTATCAACCCATCATTTAGGTTTTAAGCCCTGCATACATTAGCTATTTGTCCTGATGCTATCCCTCCCCTCGCCCCCACCCCAACAGGCCACAGTGTGTGTTGTTCCCCTCCCTGTGTCCATGTGTTCTTATTGTTCAAACCCCACTTACGAGTGAGAACCTGCAGTGTTTGGTTTTCTGTTCCTGTGTTAGTTTGAGGAGGATGGGGGCTTCCAGCTTCCATGTTTCTGCAAAGGACATAATCTCATTCCTTTTGTGGCTGCATAGTATTCCATGGTTTATATGTACCACATTTTCATTATCCAGTCTATCAATGATGGGCATTTGGGTTGGTTCCATGTTTTTGCTATTGCGACTAGTGCTGCAATAAACATACGTGTGCATGTATCTTTATAATAGAATCATTTATATTCCTTTGGGTATATACCCAGTAATGGGATTGCTGGGCCAAATGGTATTTCCGGTTCTAGATCCTTGAGCAATCGCCACACTGTCTTCCAAAATGGTTGAACTAATTTATATTTCCACCAACAGTGTAAAAGCGTTCCTATTTCTCCACAGCCTCGCCATCATCTGTTGTTTCTTGACTTTCTAATAATTGTCATTCTGACTGGTGTAAGATGGTATCTCATTGTGTTTTTTATTTGTATTTCTCTAATGATCAGTGATGTCGAGCTTATTTTCATATGCTTTTTGGCCACATGAATGTCTTCTTTTGAGAAGTGTCTGTTCATATCTTTACCCACTTTTTGATGGAGTTGTTTGTTTTTTTTCTTGTAAGTTTGTTTATGTTTCTTGTAAATTCTGAATATTAGACCTTTGTCAGATGGATAGATTGCAAAAATTTTCTCCAATTCTGTACATTGCCTGCTCACTCTGATGATAGTTTCTTTTGCTGTCCAGAAGCTCTTTAGTTTAATTAGATCCCATTTGTCAATTTTAGCTTTTGTTTCCATTGCTTTTGGTGATTTTATCATAAAATCTTTGCCCATAACTATGTTCTGAATGGTATTGCCTAGGTTTTCTTCTAGGGCTTTTATGGTTTTGGCTTTTACATTTAAGTCTTAAGCCCACCTTGAATTAATTTTTGTATAAGATGTGAGGGAGGGGTCCAGTTTCAGTTTTCTGCATATGGCTAGCCAGTTTTCCCAAAACCACTTATTAAATAGGGAATCCTTTTCCCATTGCTTGTTTTTGTCAGGTTTGTTGAAGATCAGATGATTGTAGATGTGTGGTGTTATTTCTGATGTCTCTATTTTGTTCCATTGGTCTATATTTCTGTTTTGTTACCAGTACCATGCTGTTTTGGTTACTGTAGGCTTACAGTATAGTTTGAAGTCAGGTAGCATGATGCCTCCAGCTTTGTTCTTTTTGCTTGGGATTGTCTTGGCTATGAGAGCTCTTTTTTGGTTCCATATAAATTTTAAAGTATTTTTTTTCTAAATCTGTGAAGAATGTCAATGGTAGTTTGATGGGAAGAGCATTGAATATATAAATTACTTTGGGCAGTATGGCCATTTTCACAATATTGATTCTTTCTATTCATGAGCATGGAATGTTTTTCCATTTGTTTGTGTCCTCTCTTATTTCCATGAGCAGTGGTTTGTGGTTCTCCTTGAAGAGGATCTTCACGTGCCTTGTTGGTTTTATTCCTAGGTATTTTATTCTCCTTGTTGCAATTATGAATGGGAGTTCATTCATGATTTGGCTCTCTGCTTGTCTGTTGTTGGTGTATAGGAATGCTTGTGATTTTTTCACATTGATTTTGTATCCTGAGACTTTGCTGCAGTTGCTGATCAGCTTAAGGAGTTTTTAGGCTGAGATGATGGGGTTTTCTAAATATAACATCATGTCGTCTGCAAACAAGGACAATTTGACTTCATCTCTTCCTATTTGAATACACTTTATTTATTTCTCTTGCCTGATTGCCCTGGCCAGAACTTCTAATACTATGTTGAATAGGAGTGGTGAGAGAGGGCATCCTTGTCTTTTGCTGGTTTTCAAAGGGAATGCTTCTAGGTTTTACCCATTCAGTATGATATTGGCTGTGGGTTTATCATAAATAGCTCTAATTATTTTAAGATATGTCCCATTAATACCTAAATTATTGAGAGTTTTTTTTTTTTTTTTGAGATGGAGTCTTGCTTTGTCACCCAGGCTGGAATGCAGTGGCGTGATCTCGGCTCACTTCAAGCTCTGCATCCCAGGTTCATGCCACTCTCCTGCCTCAGCCTCCCAGGTAGCTGGGACTACAGGCGCCCACCACCACGCCTGGCTAATTTTTTGTGTTTTTTTTTTTTAGTAGAGAAGGGGTTTCACTGTGTTAGTCAAGATGGTCTTGATCTCCTGACCTTGTGATCTGCCCGCCTCGGCCTCCCAAAGTGCTGGGATTACAGGCATGAGCCACCACACCTGGCCTATTGAGAGTTTTTAACATGAAGGGATGTTGAATATTGTCAAGGGTCTTTGCTGCCGCTATCGAGATAATCATGTAGTTTTTGTCATTGTTTCTGTTTATGTGATGGATTACATTTATTGATTTGTGTATGTTGAACCAGCCTTGCATCCCAGGGATGAAGCTGACTTAGTCATGGTGGATAAGCTTTTTCACATGCTGCTGGATTTGGTTTTCCAGTATTTTATTGAGGATTTTCACATAGATGTTCATCAGGGATATTGGCCTGAAATTTTCTTTTTTGTTGTGTCTCTGCCAGGTTTTGGTGTCATCATGATGCTGGCCTCATAAAATGAGTTAGGAAGGAGTCCCTCCTTTTCAATTGTTTGGAATAGTTTCTGAAGGAATGGTACCAACTCTTTGTTGTACCTCTGGTAGAATTTGGCTGTGAATCTATCTGGTCCTGGGCTTTTTTTGGTTGATAGGCTATTAATTACTGCCTCGATTTCAGAAATTGTTATTGGTCTATTCAGGGATTTGACTTCTTCCTGGTTTGGTCTTGGGAGGATGTATTTGTCCAGGGATTTATCCATTTCTTCTAGATTTTCTAGTTTATTTGTGTAGAGGTGTTTATGGTATTCTCTGATGTTAGTTTGTATTTCTGTGGGATCAGTGGTGATAGCCTGTTTATCATTTTTTATTGTGTCTATTTGGTTCTTCTCAGTTTTCTTCCTTATCAATCTAGCTAACAGTCTATGTTATTATTATTTTTCAAAAAAACATCTCCTGTATTTATTGATTTTTGAAGGATTTTCATGTCTCTATCTCCTTCAGTTTTACTCTAATCTTAGTTAACTATTTCTTGTCTTCTGCTAGCTTTTGGATTTGTTTGCTCTTGCTTCTCTATTTCTTTTCATTGTGATATTAGGGTGTTGATTTGAAATCTTTCTAGCTTTTCTGATGTGGACATTTAGTGCTGGAAATTTCCCTCTTAACACTGCTTTAGTTGAGTCCCAGAGATTCTGGTACATTGTCTCTTTGTTCTCATTGGTTTCAAAGAACTTGATCTCTTCCTTAATTTCATTATTTACCCACAAGTCATTCAGGTGCTGGTTGTTCAATTCCCATGATGTTGTGTTGTTTTGAGTGAGTTGCTGAATCCTGGGTTCTAATTAGATTGCTCTGTAGTCTGAAAGACTGTTTGTTATTATTTCAGTTATCTTGCATTTGCTGAGGAGTGTTGTCCTTCCAATTATGTGGTCAATTTTAGAGTAAGTGCCATGTGGCACTGAGAAGAATATATATTCTGTTGTTTTGGGGTGGAGAGTTCTGTAGTTACCTACTAGGTCCATTTCATCCAGAGCTGAGTTCAAGTCCTGAATATCCTTGTTAATTTTCTGTTAATCTGTCTAATATTTACAGTGGGATGTTCAAGTTTCCCACTATTATTGTATGAGAGTCTTAAGTCTCTTAGTAGGTCTCTAAGAACTTGTTTTATGAATCTGGTGCTCCTGTATTGGCTGCATATATATTTAGGATAGTTAGCTCTTCTTGTTGAATTGATTCTTTCACCATTATGTAATGCTCTTCTTTGTCTTTTTTTATCTTTGTTGGTTTAAAATCTGTTTTGTCAGAGACTAGGATTGCAATCCCTGCTTACTTCTGCTTTCCATTTGCTTGGTAAATTTTCCTCCATCCTTTTATTTTGAGCCTATGTGTGTCTTTACACAAGAGTTGGGTCTCTTGAATACAGCACACCAATGGGTCTTGAATCTTTATCCAATTTTTCAGTCTGTGTCTTTTAATTGGGGCAATTAGGCCATTTACATTTAAGGTTAATATTGTTACATGTGAATTTGATCCTGTCATCATGATGCTAACTAGTTAATTTGCACACTAGTTAATGCAGTTTCTCCATAGTTTCGTTGGTCTTTATATTTTTGTATGTTTTGCAAGGGCTGATACTGGCGTTTCCTTTCCATATTTAGTGCTTCTTTCAGGAGCTCTTGCTAGGCAGGACTGATGGTAATGAATTCCCTCATTATTGCTTTTCTGAAAAGGATTTTATTTCTCCCTCACTTATGAAGCTTAGTTAGGCCAGATATGCAATTCTGGGTTGAAAATTCTTTTCTTTAATAATGTTGAATGTTGGCCCCAACTCTGTTATGGCTTGTAGGGTTTCTGCTGAGAGATTCACTGTGAGTCTGATGGGCTTCCCTTTGTAGGTTACCTGGCCTTTCTCTCTGGCTGCCCTTAACATTTTCTTCTTCATTTTGACCTGATGATTATGTGTCTTGGGTTTGATCTCGTGGAGTATCTTAGTGGGGATCTCTGTATTTCCTGAATTTCAGTGTTGCTCTATCTTGCTAGGTTGGGGAAGTTCTCCTGGATAATATCCTGAAGTGTGTTTTCCAATTTGGTTCCATTCTCCCTTTCTCTTTCAGTTACTCGAATCAGTTGTAGGTTTAGTTTTTTTACATAGTCCCATATTTCTTGGAGGTCCTGTTTGTTCCTTTTCATTCTCTTGTATCTAATCTTGTCTGCCTGCTTTATTTCAGCAAGATAGTCTTCCATCTCTGATATTCTTTCTTCCACTTGATCGATTCAGGTATTGATACTTGGGTATGCTTCACAAAGTTCTCATGTTGTGTTTTTCAGATACGTTAGGTCATTTATGTTCCTCTCTAAACTGGTTATTCTAGTTAGCAGCTCCTCTGACCTTTTATCAACATTCTTAGCTTCTTTATTGGGTTAGAACATGCTCCTTTACCTCAGTGAAGTTGTTATTACCCACTTTCTGAAGCCTACTTCTGCCAATTCATCCATCTTATCCTCTGTCTAGTTTTCAGCCCTTCCTGGAGAGATGTTGCAATCATTTGGAGGAGAAGAGGCATTCTGGGTTTTTGGGTTTTCAGTGTTTTTTCATTGATTATTTCTCATCTTCATGAGTTTGTCTAGTTTCAATCTTTGAGGCTGCTGACCCTCGGATGAGGTTTTTTGGGGACTTTTTTTGTTGATGCTTTTTTTTTCTTTTTGTTTGTTTTCTTTTATAGTTAGGTTCCTCTTCTGTAGGTCTGCTGTGGTTTCCTGGGGGTTCACTTCAGACTCTATTCATCTAGTTTGCTCCTGTGCCTGCAGATGTCACTGGAGGAGCCTGGAGGACAGCAAAGATGGGTTTCTGCTCCTTCCTCTGGGATCTCTGACCTCAGGGTCACTGACCTGATGCCAGTAGGAATGCTACTATATAGGATGTCTGACAACCCCTGTTTGGGGGTCTCACCTAGTTAGGTGGCATAGGAAGCAGGACCCATTTAATGAGGCACTTTGCTGTCCCTTGTGCTGCACTGAGGGGAACACCATTCATCTGGGCTGCCAAGATTACTCAGAGCTAGCAGGAGGAAAGACTAAGTCTGCTGCTCTGCAGAGACTATGGCCATCCCTCCCCCTAGGGGTTCAGGCCCAGGGAGATCAGAGTTCTGTCCCTGAGCTCCTCACTGGAGTTGGAGTTCCTGCAGGAAGGCCCTACAGCCACAGTGTTGACTGCGGCCCCTCCCCTAAAAAGCTCAGATGGCTTAGACTTCAGGCAGCCACAGCAGTGGTTATGGTACCCCCTCCCCCAAGAAACTCTCAGGCTGAGGCCAATTCTAGCCAAGTGGGTGTTGAGAATCTGTGTGGCTCTGTGGTTGGGGCCCAAGGCCTCAGTGGCTTGGGCTTCCGAGTGGGATCTTCTGATCCGTGTCTTGCACAGTTCTGTGGAAAAATCATGGTTCCCCAGCCTTCATAGCCTGTTCACTCACTGCCTCCCTTGGCTGGTGGTGTGGAGTCTTCTGCTCTATGTGGCTCTCAGGTGGGCTGCCATACCACACTGCTCTTCCTTCCTCTCTGTGGGTCATGCCAGCCACCTAGTCAGTCCTAATGTCAGAACCTGGATATCTCGGTTTGCTGTGCAGGATTCACATGCTGTTTTGGATCTTTTTGATGAGAACCTCCGATTGCCTCTGCTTCTAGTTGGCCATCTTGATGCTATCTCTGCTTAATAAACTGTACTCCACTCACTCTATGGGGTCCACATGTCTAATTTTTCCTGGACATGAGACAAGAACCTGGACCTAGCTGAGCCTTTAGCAAAAATTCTGCATCACGATGAGGCCGAAGAAACTTAAGCAGGATGAACACAAAGAAAACCACACCACATCACATTATAATCAAATTACTGAAAACCAATGATAAAGAAAAAATCTTAAAAGCACCCTGAGAAAATTATGAGACAGCTTAAAATTTAAGGAACAACTTAAAATTTAAATATGTGCAGTATAATACTTCTTAAATAATACTGATTTAGTAAGACATGGATACTTTTGATTTTATAAGATAGTATCTTTATTTTTGGATATCCATGCTGAAGTACTTAAGGGTGAAATATCATGATATCTGAAACTTACTTTCAAACAGTTTGGCAAAATAATATAGATAACTAGCTAGCTAGCTAGGTAAAGTATTAACAAGGGCAAATGGGTATACATTGTAGTATGCCTTTAACTTTTCTGCAAGTTTGAGAATTTCATTTGAAATACCATATTCAACCCCCAGGGCCTGAACAGATTTATTTGGTGGAACTTAAACAACAACAACAAAAACCTGTCAGTTTCCCCTGGAGCATATGGGAAGGAGGAGATACAGGGAGCAAAACACTGAATACAGTAAAAGCCCCCAGGCATTTTCCAAGGTGATTTCTGTCTTCAGTGTTAGTAAACTCATAAAATATATATGCATATGATCAGCCTGTTTTTCATAAAAGACTATGGTGTATGCTACATATTAATAATTCAGGCAGACCAAGGCAACATGTATGGTTGGAGGAATGTGGAGACAAAGAAAAGAATGAGGAATAAGCTCCCAGAAATCTACAGTAATCATTGGATGATATGTGGTCTCTCATGCGCCTGTGAAATCAGTATTCAGAAATGAAGACACAGCTTGAGTGGGAGCATGGAGACCTAGTTTACATTTGTATTACAACTCCCAATATAATTTTTATAAACATGGTTTTGATGCTTCTTCAATGGCTGTCAAATTCCAACAGAATAAAACTAACGTTTTTATCCTGAAGTTATAGCTTCTCAATCAGGTTCCAAATTACCCAAAAGGGTAAGTCACTGTACCTTTCTTAGGATAGAATATGTAAAAGTTTCCCAATCCCTGCCTTTTTAAAAAGGAGGTTTTGCACATCCAATATCTAAAAGGCACACCAGAAATCTTACAGTAAGATTTCTGAAATCACAGTGGCTTGGGTTAGCAATGAAACAACTTAAAAAAGAGATAAGCAGTTTCTTAATAAACTCCTTTCATATACAAAGAAAACTCAGGAGTAAAGGACCACCTCTTCTCTAAAACATACTAGTAGAGGTCAGAGCTCTTTAAAGGCAGGGATCACATCTGAGTTCTCTCTGTATTCATCACATTGCCAACCAAACAGTGTTTTTATCTTTAGTAGTCAATTGAGAAATGTTTGCTCACTGATAAATGAATAAATCTGCATTGATGCTCTCAAAATGCTTTAAGAAACAAGATAGAAAAAGTGAATGTGAGAAGAGTATGGACAAGCAAAATCCACAGCTAACTGAAGGGTACAACCACTGACAATAAGACATTCACATTAAAATAATAGCATTAACAAGCACTGTAATAGCCTATGAAAGCCAATCAGGGGATTAATTCAACCCACAAGTTGATTGTAAAGTAAAATACAGAAGCAGAGAAAAGCAAAGAATTTAGACTGAGTTTTTCTCTGTGTGTGTTTAGGCACATTGTAGCATTTTTTTTGTGTGTGCAAGGCTGACCTAAATAAGTAGTGATATACTAATTTCGACTTTCCTTTTCTCTCACTGTATTTTGCATTTGTTTGCGGTTTAATTGGAAGTTCTTTGGATACACCTTCCTAACATGACAATCTCTGCAGAAGAATTCCCAATAAAATGTTTCCCAATCCTTACTTTTTAAAAAGAGAGACTATGCATGTCCAATATCTAAAAGGTATACCAGAAATCTTAGAATATGACTGATTTCTGAAATCACAATGGCTTGAGTTAGCAATAAAACAACTTAAAATATTTATCTTTGGAGGAGAAAATTTTAGATGTTTAGAGGTGTACCTTGAGTTACTAATACCTTGAGTTACTAATAACTTGAGTTACTAATTAGTAACTTTGAGTTACTAATACCTTGCTCTACAACTCTTTAAGATCTATTAAAAGAGGACTTACAACTTCCCATTTAGCGTATTTCATATCCATTAGTGGCACTAAGTTCTCTTAGCAGACCTTACAACTATCTAATACCATATTATTTATTGGCTAATTTATTTGTTGTATCTTTCTACCAATCTACAATGTAAGTTCCATGAAAGCAAGCATTTTCTTCATTCATAGTTGATTCTCAATGTTTACAAAATATTTCTGGTTTACAATAAATGCTCTATAGATATATTTCTGTAGATTATTATAAGTGGTTATAAATAAATGGTCTAAAGGGAAATTTACTGAGAGAAAGACAGTGAAAACAAATAAAGATAAGTCCCTCATAGAGTTGTGATAAAACTGGAACACACTTATTTTATGCTGATATCTTTATAAATTGTTAGAAGCATTTTGGAGAGTGATTTGCAAATGCAAATCAAGAGAAATTCCTGAACTTTTACTCCTAGAAACTTAACTAATAAAAACTGCTCTACAGAAAACAAAATAATGTAATGTTGATATTCATAATAGTACTTATTTCTAAATATGAAATATTGAAAAACAATGTAAATGCTCATCATCAGGATAATAAAGTATTCCACATCAACCTGATAAAATATTATGTATTGTTAAAATTATTATTATTAAATATATGTGGATATGTGGAAGGTATAGATGGCACCACTGAGGCAGAGGGTAGAATTTGAATTGCCATGCAACTGAAATACCTGTCAGTGTTGTGTGGACATTCCAGAGATAAAAGGGACAAGGTACTGAATATGAGTTATGGAATGCCCTCAGAATCATTTGAAATGAAGAAGTCCATAAAACACTATTCTCGCATGACAAGAACTAGTGGAATGCCTGCCCCCAATTCTATTTGTTTTTATCCTTGGCACCACTGACTTCTCTCCCATTGAGTATGAGATGGTTGGTTTCTCCTTTGGGTTGGTTTCTCCTTTTGACTTTGTTGAGGTGCAAATTTATGGCTTTTCATGTACACGTCTGCCAATCTGTCTTCTGGCATACAGTAACTTTGTCATGGAGATCACTAAAGTAACTCTGTGACCACATGGAGACTGGACGATGACACATGTAAGCTGTATTCTACCCAGAGAGCATAGAAGGTGTGTCTCTTAGTGTGGGAACAGAATGCCCACACTAAGCATCCAGGTTAGAGAGGCAGATGGTCTCTCTCCACAGTGCTACTTCAAGCCTCGTCTAGCTTAGCTTCCTTTGTTTTTATGGGCTGTCCCCTCACTGGCTGTCATTGGAAAGTTCTGCGGCTGTGCCACACATAGTTCCTGCAATTGATTTCCAGATTGTGGCTTTTCTTCTAGGTGACAGACATTCAAATAACTATTTTGCTTTTCATTTTAACGAAAAGGAATTTAAATTAATAAGGGATGTGATTTTGTTAATTTTAGCAAAATTTAAAAGATATAGAAAATATCTGGAGTTTATGAAATTAAAAGATTTCTGGAAATAGGCCAGGATTAGCAATTAAGGTAATTTTCCTTTTCTGATCATGGGAGTTTTGTGTGTTTCATGGCAGAAAATATAGACAAGAGAATAAAAGGTACCACTGAATTAAAAAACTATGTCATTTAACTATTGCACTTTTTCTTCTTTCTGCATAATGATTTAGTTTGCCATAGATACATTTTTATCTTGTAAATGTGATAATTATGTTTCTTCCTGTGTTATTATTTCTTATACACATCATTTTAATGTGTGCATCAATTAATATTTAATCACTTTAATATTTCATAGCTTCACCTACCTATATTAAGATTATATTTGTTCATGGATAATCTCTGTTGGTTTTATATTTAAGATACATGTTAATTTGTATTTTATAATAGCAGTGAAGAATAAATTTAAAAGTAGAATTACCAGATAAAACATAATGACTATTTAAAGTCTCATTGTTATGTTGTACAGTTGTTTTCCTAGAATTCTGTTCTTACTCCTGGCATTTGCATTGAGTCACCTCCAGGAGATATTGAAGAATGTGACAATAAGTAAGTTTGCAAAATAGCAACTCTTAAAGTTGGTCTGGCCACCAAGCAGATACCTCAGGATGATATTCTGCCTAACCTTATTTACTATATGTATGAAAAATTCAACTTGGTTACAAATTCCCATGCATATAAGATAAGATAAAATTATGCTTTCTTCCCTAAAAACAGAGTAATCTGCTTGTCTTACATAAAATGTTCTATTTCCTCATCTAAATTATTTTGTTTTGTTGAGCCTACCTAGTAGAAACTCAATTAGTAAGTCAGCCTTATGCATAACACATGAAAAATTAGTGTTCATTACCCTACATAGAACCCAGAGATGCATTTTCTTTGCTGTATTTTTGTTATTTTAATGGCTTTATTCGGCTTGCCTATTGGTTCAGCCACCCATTCCATACTTCTTGTTACTATCAGGGTGACCAACACATTGATGTTATTTGCTCAGCCCCTGTAGGCACATGAGGTAGTGAATGCTGAGCAAGCACACTATTCATCAATTCAGTATGTGTTCTAATTCTTTGTTCAGAAAGCATAGTCATTTCAGTCATTGGGTTAATTTTTTAATTTTCATTATTTTGAGCTCCTTGCTGCTACTTTCTGAAGTCTTTCAAATTTGAGGCATGTCCAAATTCAGGTGTGCAGGCTTTCAAAGTACCTTTCAACTCCATCCACAAGCTTCCTCTTAGCAAACTTCCTCACAGGCCCATGGGGCAAATTTTCTTTTATTATGGCTGGCATGGGTTTAACATAAAACTTCAAATTAAGACCTGTTTACCTCAGATCCTATTACTTGATTCATCAAGTTTGACTTTCAACAAAAAACTACAAAGCAGGCTAAAAGTTAAGCAAAAGAAACAGTCAAAAAACATAAAGCAAGCATCAGAACCCAACTCAGATATAATTGGGATTTTGGAATTTTCAAACAAAAATTTGAAATAATTATTATTCGTATGTTAGAGGCCCTCAGAGAAAAAGTGAGTAACATTCAAAAACAGATAGGCAATGTAAACTGAGAGATGGAAACCCAGAAAGAATAAAAAAGAAATGCTAGAAACCAAAAACAGTGTAAGAAAAATAAAGAATGCCTTTGATGGACTGACCAGTAGACTGATCATGGCTAAGGACATAATCAGTGACCTTAAAAATATATCAAGAGCCTTCCCAAAATGAGATACAAAGAGAAAAAAAATGAATAGGGAAAAACTCATAATATCCATAAACTTTGGGACAATTTTATTGGAATACCAGATGTAGAAGAGAGAAAGGAAGAGAAGAAATATTTGAAGTACTATAATAATGGTTGAGAATTTTTCAGAAGTAATGACAGACACAAAAATCACATATCTAGGCAGTTTATATAATACCAATCAGGATAAATACCATAAAATCTGCAGCTGGACATACCATATTCAAATTGCAGAATACCAAAGGCAAAGTGAATATCATAAAAGAAGTAATTGATAAATCAAATGAACAGAAATTCAGTGTAAATATTTCACCTGAGCAGCACCATCAATTAACTTGATTTCATTGATATTTATGGAATATACCTTCCAACAACAGTTGAATACATGTTCTTGTCAAGCTCACATAAAACATTCATCAAGACAGACCACATTCTGTTCCATAAGACACATCTTGAAAACTTTTGCAAACAGAATTCATATAAAATGTGCTCTCAGACCATAGTAAAATTCAACTAGAAATCAATAATAGAAAGACAGCTGAAAAAAAAGACCAAATATTTGGAGATGAGCAACACACTTCTACGTAACACATGGATTAAAAAAAAAGTTTTAGAAAAAACTTTTTAAATATTTTGAAATAAAGAAAATAAAAATAAAATCCATAAAAATTTCACTGGGGTACAGTGAAAAAATACCTAGAAAGAATTTTATAGCATTAAATGCACATATTAGGAAAAAAAGGAAAAATCTAATCAATAACTGAAAACTCTACCTTAAGAATCTAGAGAGAGAAGAGTAATATACCTAAAACCTACAGAAGAAAATAAAATAATTGAACAGAAATCAATAAAATTGAAAATAAGAAATCAATACAGACAATTAATGAAACCAAATTGTTCCATTGAAGAGACTAAAAATATTGACAAGCTTCTAGGCAGTCTAACCAACAAAAATGAGACAAGATAAAAGTTACTAACATCAGAAATAAACTTTATCAAGAATCAGCCCATAGTTGTATTGGCTGCTTATTCTGATAGAAGAATAAAATCACTAAAGTATATCGGTCCTGAAAATTACCCAGAGAAGCAGGGAAGGATCTCGCTAATATTCTTGTTCAAAAGCTATTAAGATAACCATGGGAATGTGTTTTTATTGTAACAATAGCTTATGTAGAAGCAGAACAAGAGATTCTGAGTTCCTTGTTTTACATTACAGAAATACTATTTTGTATTTACGAAGCTCTAGTGTCATGATCAGTTTGTTGGATGTAATTCCCATAGCGTTTAAGTTCCGCTGTAGAAAAGAAAGCACTTTCCAAGCTCCATTCCCTCCCTCCTTTCTCCAGAGGGTATTTTGTAAATTACAGCTTCTGCACACTACATAGTTCCCTAGCGGCCTGCTATAGTGAACATAGTTCTTCAAAGTGCATAATAACTCCCAAGTTGCAGTTTAAGCAGTGGGAAATTAGAATGAATTACGGAGAATGAAAATACCCCCAGATGTCTTGCTTTTCTTGCAGGGAGGGAAGGGTGGCCCTTTAATGGTTCCAGATGTGGTACAAACAGCACCAGCCATCAGATTTGTTTCCCACAGCTTCCCAGCATAAAAACAGATCTCAGAGACAGACTCTGAGTAAGACAAAGGGATTTTTTTCACTCAGATTTTTTGTACCTGATTCGCAGATATCATTATTCTGGCAATGCTTTTCTCACAAACAGAAGTCACCGAAGTGCTTTGAAAATGCAAATCACTTTTGAAGCATCTCTCTAGTTTCATTGTTTAAAGGCCCAAATCTTCTCACTTAACAAACAGTGAAATCATCAACATATTATATTTGTGTGGTTTTGTTTCTAAAAAACCACAGTTGGGATTACTCTGGCAATAAAAGACAAGTCATATCAGGAAACTAGTGGTTAGAAGTGCTAAATAGATGGGCAGCGATGAGATCCCTCAAACGTGACACTGGAAATTCACCAACGTTATCAGCAGTACTGTAGAATAATGTCAGCAATACTTATATCAACACCATGTAAACACCATGTAACTTGGAAAGAAGTTTCCTGGGAGCAAAAAAGGAAATGTGACTGTGGGCAAGATAAGGGTTGGGATTAAGAGATGGGAAGGGAGTTTTTCTGATTGCATTCTACTTTGGTAGGAAACGATTATCTCTCAGTACAACATTGCTATTGCCCACTGTTTCTTCTTGACCTCCTAAGGCTCATCCTACTCTACATCATACTTACCAACACCAGATTGTCTCTGTCGACGGAAAGGGTCAAATTCTGTTAAAAAATGTGAAAATATTTAGTCTGAGCCAAACATGAGTGACTATGGCCCGTGACGCATCCCTCAGGAGGTCCTGAGAACATGTACCCAAGGTCGTTGGGATACAGCTTGGTTTTATACAATTTGGGGAGACATGAAACTTCAATCAAATACATTTAAAAGAAGTATAGACTTTCTAGTTTGGTCCAGAAAGTTGAGACAACTCGAAGCAGGGGGGCCTCCAGCTTATAGGTATATTTAAGAATTTTCTGGTTGACCATTGGTTGAGTTTATCTAAAGACCTGGATCAATAGAAAGAAATGTCTGAGTAAAGATAAAGATTTATGGAGACCCAAGTTCTTACTTGCAGGGGATGCCTTCAGGTAGTAGGCTTCAGAGCGAATAGCTTGTAAAATGTTCCTTATCAGAGTTAAAATCTGTGTTGATGTTAATGCTAGAGAGGTATGATGAGGCATGTCTGACCCCTACTTTCTGTCATGGCCTGAACCAGTCTCTCAGGTTAAATTTTAAGAGTGCCCTGGCTGAGGAGGAAGTCCATTCAGATGGTTAGGGGCCTTAAAATTTTATTTTTGGCTTATACTTCCAAAAATAATAGTGTCTCAAGATCCCAGCTGTCTACCAACTTCCAGTGCTTTAAACCAGGCAAACCATCTTGGGATATGCAGACTACTCACTCTTTCCTTTAGTCTTCTATCTTTGCCCTGTCAACACTCTTCCATTGTGTTATGTTCTTATAACTTTCTGGCCTTCTTGTTTCTTATTAAAGTATATTTTTTCCTTCATGATATCCCTTAAGACTTGATTAGGGATTTTACATATATACTTTTCTTTCATGATTTTAAAATAAAATGCATTTATTATATTTTTTGAAATAAATAATGCACTAACAGTAGAAATGCTGCATCCCACAAATTTTTCAAATCAGATCACATCTTCTGTCACAACAAAAGATTACTATTATTTTTGATTCACTCAAAACGTTCTTTTTTATGTTTATTTGAAGAAATACGAACCTGTAGTCTTTTTCCCCTTTTATCACATAACTGTTTGCATACCATACACATGTTCTTCACCTTGCTCTTTAAAATTTACTAATATGTTTTGGAGTTATTTATATTACAGTACATAAATAAGTTTCTTACTCTATTTTATGTTTCATAATATTCCATTGCAAATATAGATCATCATAAGTTTATTTCATGCTTATTGTTGAACTTTTAGTTTATTATTAATATTTTGGTATCAGAAATAATGCAACAATGAAAAGCCTTAACATACATCAATTTGCATGGGTGCACATTTGTGAAAGAAATCTTATATTGGTCTTCTATTGC
The DNA here is from genome assembly GCF_000001405.40 of Homo sapiens. Lineage (NCBI taxonomy): Eukaryota > Metazoa > Chordata > Mammalia > Primates > Hominidae > Homo > Homo sapiens. Next base: position 83,567,544 of record NC_000002.12, read on the forward strand.
TGCATAACAAATTACCATAGATTTAGAGACTTAAAACGACACATATTTATTATATCATAGTTTCTGTGAATCAGGAGTCCATTACGGAGTAATTTAGTCCTCTACTCAGGTTCTGGCAAAGCCATAATTAAGTTATCAGCATAGCTGTGTTGCCACCTGGAATCCAGAGTCCTCCTCCAGGCTCACTCAGGCTGTTGTCAGAATTCAGTTCCTTAGAGCTGCAGAACTCACGTGGACTGTTTAATTTGGCCAGCAGAAGAGTCTCTGGTGCCTGCTAGGTAATACTTCCCCTATATCTTTTTTTGAAAGAGCTTCATTAAGTCAGTCCCACCCAGGATCATTTTGCCTTTGATTAACTTAAAGTTCACTGATTAAAGGCCTTAATTAAATCTGCAAAATAGCTTCACCTTTGACTTATAATAAAATCACTGGAGTAATAACCCATTTTTTTTTACCATATTTTATTGGTTAAGAGGCAAGTTATAGGTCTTGCCTGCACTCAAGAGGCATGAACATGGATCACTGGGGAGTTTCTTAGACATCTGCCAACCTCAAAGTGAAATAGTGGGATCAATTGCAATTTTGAAGGAAATTTGCCAAAGGGTCTCCCTAAAAATTACACTTTCAATAACAAAACATTCGTGTTTCCTCATGGGCCTCACCAGCACTATGTGTGAATAAATTCTCTAATGATATCACAATTTATAGGTCAATAAGGGATTCTTGATATGATTTTTCTTTCTTTTATTATAAATGAGATCAAGTAGCTTTTAATATATTTAAATATGACTAAAGTTATTTTCATTAATACTCATCTCTTCTTTTTTTCTCAGTGGGTTAGTTGTCTTTATCTTACTGATTTGAGAAGACTTTTAAATATTTGTCTGTTAATGGGACTTGCAAACATTTCTTATAACTTTACAAGTTCATCATTTTTTTTACTTTATCTTTTTTCTTTTGGAGCCATGTAAAAGTTTATGTATTTATGCTATCAGATTCAGAGTTTTTGTGTGCATGTGTGTGGTTTTTTGAGTTTGAGCAACTGTTTACATTGAAAAAATAATTGAAAACATTTTCTTTTATTTGTGCCTTTATGAATTTATATTTACATAGTCTTTGTGTCGGGAATTTTTTAGTAGTTTATTTTCAATATGAATATATGTTTTTTAATAGGCTGTGCTCACCATTTATTGCTTAATTTGTCTTTACTTGAATTTAAATAACCTCTTATGGAAAACTGTATTTTCCAAGATGGCACAATTTTCTTAAAGTGAGATCTTGGTATTATTTCTTTGAGAGCAAGGGTCTATGTTCTCTACCCTGCACTCAAGAGGACCTTTGTTAACTGCCTCAGCCAATAGAATAAGGTAGAAGGGATACTGTGTGATTTACAAAGATAACTAATGAAAGGCAATATGACTTCTACCTGGCTTTTCGATTCAGGAAATGTGCCTTTGGAGCTTGAGCCACAAATAAGAAGTTCATCTACTTTGATACTGACATGGTGGAGAGACCATACAGAGAGAGAGAGAGAGAAAGAGAGATGATCGATAGTTAGATAGATAGATAGATAGATAGATAGATAGATAGATAGACCTGTAGAGATAGAAAGAGACACATACGGATCTTTGACTTTTCTACTACCCAGCTTTTAGCGCAGGCACCAGACATATAAGTGAAGCCACCTTTGACATGACCAAGGACTAGCCAGTCAGAATCACACAACTAAGATGCCCCCACATCTGAACCCACAGAGATTACAAGTGATGATAAATAATTGTAATTTTAAGGCACTAAATTATGTGGTGATTTGCTACACAGCAATAGTAACCAGATTACTCTTCTATAGTAACCAGATTATTCCTCTATCATATGCCAAATTTACGTCTGAATTTGTGTATATGTATGGCTTTAATATTCTGTTCTATTGTTTGGATTATCGATTCATGCACCATATTGTACAGTTTTAATTACAGAAAATTTAAAATGTTGGGTTTTACTATTCAACAGTATTACTCCCCCTGTATTGATCTCACTGTTTCAGAGTGTTTCTGAACATTTCCCGAATTTTTTAATAAAAACTTTACAGTCACAATTTTTAGTTTAAAAAACACAGATATTCTAATTAAATTAGAGTAAATGTAAACACTATGGGGAATATTGCTATGCTCATTCTTTTAAAATCTAAGAATGTGTTGTATTTTCACATTTGTTCAAATTGTCCTTAATGTCTTTCAGTAGAATTTGAAAGGTTTTTTTTCATATATTTCTTAAAATTTTTGAAAGTTTATTGCCTAATGCTATGGTTTGAGTGTGTCTCTGAAATTCAGCTGTCGTTACTGTGATAGTATTAATAAGTGAGGCCTTTAAGAGGTGATTAGGCCATGACATCTCCTTCCTACTTAATTGGGTTAAGGCCCTTATAAAATAGGCTCTCTTCAGTGTTTGGCTAGCTTGCTTTCTTGCCCTCTCTCTTTCTGCCCTTTAAGAAGACAATAAGAAGGCCTCCACCAGACAAGAAGTGCCAGTTGCCTTGATTTTAGTCTTCCCAGTCTTCAAAACTGTGAGAAAACAAATTTCTGTTCTTTATAAGTTACCCAGTCTTAGGAATTCTGCAATAGAAGTGCAAAATAGACTAACACAATTTAGTATTTAATTTGTGCTAGCTACTCTTAAAAATGAAGTATTTTCTGTTATTTTATCATCTAACTCATATAGATTGTACACATAAATGCTACTGGATCCTATATACTATTTTTACAATCTTACTACTACATAAATCAATATAAGTTTTCTTGTCATTTGTGGGCTATTTTTTATTAAAATAATACTCCTAGTTTTGTTACCAGAACTATTCAAAATCTTGAACTTCTATTTATCTAATTGCAACAGATAATGAAGTCAAAGATAAATAATGATAACAGAGGGCATCTTTCTTTTGCCCCTCTCTCTAGCAAAAATGTTTTTAGGGTTTCCCTATTAAGATGATGTCTTTGGAAGAAAAGAGATCTTTTAAATATTACAGAAACATCTACATATTTGTAACTATTAACTGTGTTTAATAATTGAGTCATTATTGACTATCTTGTTTTAACATGCTATCCTAAAAATATGACTTTGACCAAACGTCCGGCCCTTTCACATCAAACACTCAAGAGATACACTTCACTGACCAAATCCACATGCAGAGACCATATTCAGATTTTTCTATTTGTGATCTGTAACCCTTGGCCCCACTCAATGGCACAGGACACTGGATTACCCACATATTTCTATTATAGACTCTTACCTATTCAAATATTACCTCATGTACAAAAGAAGTCTTTATACCTGTTAAATGCACGTATCTTCAAGTTGTTCCTACAAGAGACACATTAAAGCCTGCAGTCAGCTGGTGGCCCTCAAATTGTACTATGTAATATTTAAATACAGTACATAAATGTAAGGGAGGCAATGTCTCCTTTCCTTCTTTCCCAGAACTTAGTATGTATTTTTGAGAAACATTGTATTTGTTTAAAGTATTGAGTGGCCTATTGAAAATATTTAAAATTCATGAGTGTTCTATTCACATCAAACTCAGGAATTGTGTTTTAATACTCCAAGAAATTTTCTGTGCCAGATTGCAAGAAAACAAATGATTATAAAATTCAGCATTGCATATCCTGGTATAACTTGGGGGAATTATCTATTTTACCCAGATTTCAGAAATTTATAAATAGAGATGACAAAGGAGATAAAGGAATGCTTTACATGCAAATAGCTACATGTGTTTAATGAGGATATGAGTCTCACTGTGAGGTACCTTGTGAATTTCAATAACCTGCCCTCAGGTAAGACTATTCAAATCATACACAGGCAATATCATTCCTACATTTTTTTTCTTAAAATGTTCAGATTTCCATAGTTCCTTTAGGAATAGGTGCCAATTATTCAAAGTATTTGCTTTCAGCAATTAAACAATCTAAAATATATTCTTTCCATTACAGAATTTTATCACCTAATTAACTGTCAGTGAGTATAACTCTCTGCAATAACATTGTAGTCTTTCATCTATTTAATGATAGTCACCAACTCCTTTCCCTTCCTTGTACTAAACACAACTCTTTATATTTTGTCATGAGCTTTCTTACTTAGTTTCATTATCTAATTTAGTAATGTTCAGTGAATGCCTAATTTATACCAGGAACTATTTAATTTCTGGGAATACAGTGTAACTAAAAAGAGAGGGTCCCTACTCTCACAATAAATATTTGTGGGGTAAATAAAGGTGTAAATAAAGCCATAAATAAATGCTTGGTTGTTATTTTTTGTTGAAGTCAGGGATTGTTCCTTTTTTGTATTTGCAGCCTCTTTGCCTAAGTTTGTCTCTATGTTTAATAAACATAAATTTGATAAATACGAATATGATAGAATAGCATCCAAACAAATGCTTAGTAGGCAGAACCAGTGACTAAATTTCATGCTAGTTTTATTTCAATAATTAAATGGAAAAAGTAGATAACGAAGATAGCTGGAGTTTTGTTGGTGTGTGTATGTGTGTGTGTGCTCACACATGCGTGTGTGTGTGTGAGAGAGAGAAAGATGAAGGAGAAAATGAGAGGAAAACAGAGCACAAAATTAATCCTTCTGATGGATATATAGCTGAGGAGAGTAGGCATAGACAGAAAGGAGCAAAATAATGTGAGAATTGACAATGGGAAGCAGACAACTTTTCAGAGAGGTAGAGAAACAAAATTGAGTGCCGCCATTGTATTTAAATGAGCAGTGCATTTGAAGCACCAAATGCTGGTCTGCAGGGTCTACAGGAACAGATATAATATACAGATTTAGAAGAAGCTGGAGAAAATATTTTCAGATCTCACATGATGTCACAGGTTACTTTGAGAACCCAGTTTTTTGGTAGTTTCATATGTGTAAGATTTGCCTTTCCAACAAATTGAAAGCACCTGCCGTAAGGGCACATACCACATTTTGATTTTATTTAAATCCTTTACAACTACTAACATACAGATGTTGTCAAACAGTGTTTGTTTCTTGAAGACAGGCTGACTCACCTTCACCATTAGTCACCTCACTTTATTGTCTTTTATATCGCCTGACTTTTCTTCCTTCATGAATTTATGTTTTTTTAATTGCCAGGATGACTGTATATGCTAAAATTCTATTTAGTTTCTTTATCCTTTACTTTCTTTTTATCCCCACCTTTGGAAATCTAAATCCTTATGAAGATTAGTGATGAGAGTGGGTTCTTTCGGCTCACTAAAGCTGGATCTACACAAAACAAGTTAGATAAGGAGATGAGTTGGAGTCTCTAGCATATACAGAATAGATTTTAAAAACATTTTTTAGCAGTTTGAAGCTGACTTTATTTACTAAGACGTCAAACATTGACAAGTAAGGCAGGATATTATAATGTCCTTGCATTTAAATAACAGTGTAAATTGACTAAGAAACACCTAGAAGGGACATGCCTCATCAATGGTCACGTAAGTCACTCTTATGTACATTCCTCCAGTCCCGTTCCTGGTCATCCTATCATTTAGCGCTCACTCATGCTTATAATTATATAACTCTTATTTCATATGCCTCAATTATAATATTTGAACTCTGCCTTTTTCCTGAGAATCTTCTCCTTGGTACTGGGATTCAATAAACCACACACATTTCTCTGTTTTCTTTGTTTTGTTCCTGTCTTGATACCTTGCGGATTGTTTCTGAGTCAGCAAAAATGATCCAAAGCAAGAATTGGGAATTTATAATCCTTCCAAAATTCTTCTTCACTCTGCTATTGATGTCAGAAATTTTAATTTTCAGGAATGTGCTGTCCACTCTGTTTATTCAGATTAATCCACATTTTAGGCCAGGCGTTGGCTTATTGGTTTGAAATTCTTTCAAATGCTTATCCGTTACTATATCTCCTATGCCATTATATCAGGTCAATCTGGTTCCTGACACATTAACCCTTTTCAGGCTGCTATATTCTGCAAGTCGTCAGTTAATATTTGTTTGAGATGACTTGAATATGTTACCTAATCATTCGTTCATTCACCATATGTTGACAAAACATTTATTCTAGACTACAAGGATTCTGAAAATGAAAACGTGAAAAAAGTGAAAACACTGTAATAAAAAACGTTCATAGAGAAAGTAATAACTGAGCTGAATCTTGAAACAGGGTCCAGCACTTTTCAAGTAGTAAGTGCACAGAGAAAACATTGAAAAATATAAACTATGATTTTTTTCCTTGATGTAGACGTATTAGGTGTTCTTGTGTTGGTGCAAAGAAATACTGAAAATGAGTACTTTTAAAGAAAAGAGGTTAATTAGCTCATGGCTCTGCAGACTATATAGGAAGCATGGTGCCAGGCATCTGCTTGGCTTCTGATGAGGTCTCTGGAAGTTTTCAATCATGGTAAAAGGCAAAGTGGAAGCCAGCATCTCACATGGCAGGAGCAAGAGAAAGAGAGATTGTGGATGGAGGAGGTACCACACTTCACAACAACCAGACCTCATGATAAGTCACTCACTGTCATGAGGAAAGAACCAAGAGGATGGTACTAAACCATTCATGAGAAATCCATCCCCATAATCCGATCACCTCCTATCAGGCCTCAATGCCAATACTAGGGATTACAATTCAACATGATATTTGACCAGGGACAAAAATCCAAACTGTATCAGTAGGATTAGGCAAAGTTTTGTGTTTTTTATAATAAATATGTAATTTCCAATTTGTTTTATAAAGTATCATAATTTTATAAGCACAGAATAAATAATATTAGAAGAAAATGAAGTCAAAAGAAAAAATAAATAGTTTTTAAAAAGAACAGCTCGGGATCAGGAAGGGGTAGATGAAGATGGAAGAGTAGGTCTCTGTAGCAGTTCTACTCTTCAGAAGCATCGATTTGAACAATTATATAGTTTTTTACTTTACATAAAACACAGAAAGAAGTTTTGATGAATAATGATTAATATATTACAAAATATTAACTAATAAAATACCCACACTATGATAGGGGCATGTAAAATGAATCAGGAGCCAGCTAAAAGAGTTCCCCCTAGCCAAAGCTGGAACAATTTTAACATCAAAATATAACAGGTAGTATTGGATTATAATGTGATGTGTAAAATAAATATGAATCAATTCTGATTATGTGTGTGGACACACACACACACACACACACTCTTGGCTTCTCTCCATAGACCTCAGTGGTTCATGAGAACAGTTAGCAGAAAGGATAAGACAGGAAAATATGTCAATCATCATGAAGGCATAGGGGAAAATTTGAGACAACTGGGAAATTATACAGGCACTGCATGGATACTGCCTTCCTATTTTCCATATAGAATATAATGCTTAAGATGCTAAAAGAAGAGAAGCAGGCCTCATCACTCTAATAGTAAATGTGAAGACTCATCCTTGGTGATGCGCAGGAAACTCCTGGGCCCAGGCCATTAGAGATCCACTACTAGTTGGGGAGGGGCAGCACCACCATGATCTAGGAACGCAGCAGCTGACTAAGACAGGGACAGCACCAGAACAATAGAGAATGCTACACTACATCCACCTGGCTTGCAAGTGTTTGAGTAACATGTAACAGCAGGGTTACTGAGGACATGAGCATGGGACACGAGCATGAGAAGAGGGCATCTCTGAGCTTAAGGTACTAAGAGAATTTCTAAAGTTGAGGGTAGAACAGACATTGAAGGAAACCCTCTGACAAACTGTTTGGTCCTCATCTTAAACAGAATTTAACACTAGAGGACTTTGAAGTCTACATTGCACTGAAGCTAACAACAGTGAAAAAAAAAGTCTAAACCCAGCACAGTATCTGACTTGATGGACTAAACCCTACCGTCGATAAAAACCTAGCCAAAAAAAAATGTCCATTTTGAGTCATGAATGTTTTTCTGTTGCCCTCACACAAGATGCCTGGGATTAAATCAAAACTTAAAACATGCAGAAGGAAATAAGAAATAAAACAACATACTGCAAATGAGAAGCAAATCATCCAAACCAGATTTGTGGTTCAGATGTTGGAGCATCTGGATGGAAATTTAAGATAACTATGATTAATATGTTAAAGTTTCTATTGAAAAAGCTAAACATCACACATAAAAAAAACTGGGGATTCCAGCCAGGAAGTTCAAAGAGAAGAGAGAGAAAATGTATCGAAATAAATATTTCAAGAGATGATGGCTGAAATTTTCCAAATTTGATGAAACATACTCAGACCACTTAGGCTGTTATAACAAAACAATATAAACTTTGTAGTTTATAAACAGCATAAATTTATTTTGCATGGCTTTGGAGGCTCTGGAGTTCAAGATCATATTGCTGGCAGACTCAGTATGTGGTGAGGGTCTCTTTCCTGGTTCACAGATTACACCTTATCAGTGTGTCCTCATATAGTTGAAGGGGTGGGCAAACTCCCATCGGGCTCTTTTACAAGGACACTAACTCCATTCATGGGCAGAGGCCTCACAACCTGATCACCTCCTAAAGGCTCAACCTACTAACACCATCACCTTGTGGGGAAGGGTGTTAACATACAAATTTTGGGGGACAAACGTTCAGACCACAGCAGCCACCAAATCACAGACCTATGAAGCTGTGGGACTACCAAGCATGATAAACAACAAATACATAAGGCCATAAATTTCAAATTAGTAAATAAACAGAAAAAGAAAGAACCAAGATATATCACATACAGATTGCTGAAGACACAACATAAAAAGATCTTGAAGTCAGCCAGTAAATAAAATACATATTCCAAACAGAGAAACAAATAATATTAGAGTTCTCATCAGAAGTTATGCAAGCCAAAGGCATTGGTATAATGCCTTTAAGTGCTGAAAGATGAAAATCTGTTGGCCTAGAATTCTATATCCAGTGTAAATGCCTTTCAAAAAAATTTTTAAAAAGTATTTTTTCAGACAAACTAAAAAAGAATTCTTTGATCATACATTTTCACTATAAATAATATTAAAGAAAAATTTCAAAGTATCAGACTGCAACTTGGAACTGCAGACATATACATACATACACACATACATATAAATGAAGTGTTAGAAATTACATAAATGATGGTAAATATAAAATTCAGTTATGTTCAGTAGCTGAAAAAATTATATCTAATCAAAAATAATAGTAACTATATATTTATGGCATATGTAAAAGTAAAAAGTGTGATAATAATTGCACAAAAATGAGAGGAATTGGTAGTCTAGCTCTGTGAGATCCTCACATTACACTTAAAGTTGTATATTATTTTAAGGTAGACTATAGCTAATTAAACACATATAAACTAAGCCCTAGTCAACCAATACAGAGGAGTTAAAGGAGGTGAGATATATGTCACACTGCCTCCTCCTGCTGTGTGTGCAGAGAGAGCTATCGTCATTTCAAGGGAAAAATGTTCAGAAGCTCTAGGATTTATCTTGGTGATTTACTATATATTCATAAACCTTCAGGAGGTAGCTTTCAGCAAGCAGAAAATTAAGCTGCAGCCTAGCAGAGAAAATCAAGGAGGGCCCAACACTAAGTATTGTATGGAAGAGCATGACTCAGTAACTAATGTAAGGCAAAATATCTTCCTTTCCCATATACACTAAGGTAAACCCTAACAACTGACACAGCTACAAAGGACACTTAACGCAGAAGGTCTGCATTTTATGAATCACAGAAGTTGTTTTCATAAGTGCTGTGTATCCGTGATGCACTGATTAAGAAAGAGGGAGGGAGAGCATCCTTGCTGTGCTGCCTTGGAAATACGAAATAGTTCAACTGGCTTGCCTTCCTTAAAAGACACCTTTCCATCTTAAGATGTTAATAGCCAGAGCTGCTACAACTATTTCCAGGCTTGGCTTAGAGTCATATTTAGATCACTATAAGTTGGTGTTGCAAGAAACAAGTCACAAGAAAACATAAATAACCACTTCTGTCAGGGCTAAATCGATTACTTCAGGGACAGAGGAGTAAGTTACTGACTCCAAATGGACAATGCTTAATACCTTTGTATACAGGAAGATTAACTCAAAAGCCTCTTAGCCCTGAAGATCAATTATATCCTTCTTAATATCTGGCTTATGTGAAGACAGTGGAGTTTATAACATTGCATGCCCAATAGCACCAAAAACAGACTCTTTCATCTTCAGAACAGTCATTAAATCAGGGGCATGTTTCCAATCCAAACAGTGTTCAAGCCAGCAGCTGAAGGTTTATGAATATATAGTAAATCACCAAGATAAATATTTGTGAAGAATCTATCTTTTTCTTATTATGCTTTAAGTTCTAGGGTATATGTGCACAATGTGCAGGTTTGTTACATATGTATACATGTGCCATGTTGGTGTGTTGCACCCATTAATTCATCATTTACATTAGGTATATCTCCTAATGCTATCCCTCCCCTCTCCCCACACCCCACAACAGGCCCTGGTGTGTGATGTTCCCCATCCTGTGTCCAAGTGTTCTCATTGTTCAATTCCCACCTATGAGTGAGAACATGCAGTGTTTGGTTTTCTGTCCTTGCGATCGTTTGATCATTTTAAGATAGAAATTTTGTTTCTCTAACACTGATCTTTCTCAAAAACAACTTTCATTCCAACACCCCTTGCCCTCCTATGTCCAGCCTGGGTCCTCTACAATTTCTAGCATATTCTCCAAATCTATAAAACATTCCCAGAGAATTTCAGACTGAACTCTGGAAGTTCTTTCTGGTTTAGAATCGGGTTTCTACTTTGGTGCCCTGGATAAAGGATCATAAAACATGTATTCATTTTTCTCCTCCTTCTATGCTGTAGAATGCTACACATGTTGCTAAAAGGAGATTGAACTAAAGATTCAGGGAGAGCCCATGGCAAATCATTGCAGTGGGGAAAAGATCGCTTTGGTGCCACCCTGCACTGTTAAGCTCAGGTCCTTGCACATACACAGGAAGTTTCTGGGTCATGCTTCACTGTTGAGAAATAGAGTTTAAGATTGGAGTTCAAGTCTAAATTTCTGCTTCCGTGTAATTTGATGACTTGGGACAATGTGTCCATGTTCTGTGGCATCAGCTTCCTCTAAGGTTAAGTCATCCAAGAGTATTTTGTCAGAAGGCCCACATCTGAAGAATGGGCAAGGCTGAGGGCTTGAAATCCAGCCTGTCTGATTCAGTGTGTACTGTCCCTGTGCAACACTGTCTCAGAGTCACTGGGTTTTGTGAGGATTTATTCAATTAAAATATGCCTAATACAACATTAGAAGCCTTCAATAATAGAAGCTTTCAGGCTTATTGATTGCCTCATTTAAGGTCATGACTTAACCCTTTTGTTTAAATGTAGCTCCAGGAATCCACAGAATTGGGGTTCTAGTTGTGATACTGCTTCAGCTCCTGTTTTTGACCCTGAATATTTTTTGGGATATTGACCATCACCTTCTGCTTTTTCTGATTCCAACATTTGACCTTAACTTCAGTCACTGGCTTCTGTTTTCCGAATTATCATCTAAAGAGTAAATTTCTGTTTGAAATCCTCAGCTTTACCCTAGGTCTATAAAAAAATCTGACTTTTTCCATTTTTACTACGTTATCGTACAGATCAGTAGGTCTCGGAAGCTAAAAGCCTAAATTAAAATACTAGCTTCAGTATTTTTATTGTGATTTGGGGGCAGTTAACTTTGATTCTCTGTTTCCAAATCCACAGTGATACCTACCTGAAAAGTTTTCTGTGAAGGTTAGGTACAAATATTAGTGCATATAAAAGTGCTAACAATAGTTCCTGACAGATTATAAATAAGCATAATAGTTTCCCTCCTTTGGCCAATTTCTATTAAATTTATAATTATATAAAACATAGGCAGTGCCTGGCACATTACACGTTATTACTGTTCTTACTGATTTCTTTAGCTTTCTGCACCCTTCACACTCTCCTGGATTCACATTCATATAGACAGCCACATAATTTAGGTGATTTTGGGCAGTATGACTTCCACAATTCAAATTTATAAATATCTTTTAAATGCATCTGAAACCTCCTCTTTGTTAAATAGATCTAAACACTTCTCTGCTGTCTACATCAGTCACTTGCTGCAAAGCAACCTCTATCACTACATAGAAGGGGGAGTACAAATGGCCTCTCTGTTTACTAAGCACAAATCTGCTGACATGAAAAGGTAATTTGAGAATAATGAACACTCCTTCAAGGTACACGCTGAATCTACTGTAAATTCTTCCCTTTAAGTTTACTCATCTATCAAATAGAACAGGAGGGTTTCACCTTATCTTCTGGAAATTGCTGCCAAGTGCATATATTGATTTGGCTGGACATTTAATGGGCTGGGTGTCTATTATATTTTACCACATTGGTAAATGGGGTTTATTTAATCCCATTCTCAGTTTAAAAGGTTTCAGCATTGATAAAATCTGCAAAGACAGATGTGCAATAAATTGTGCTCCTTTAATGGAATTACTGCAGAGAACAAAATGCCAAGGAAAGATGCTTACCCCAAAGCGTGAATTGCCTAAGATTTTCTCTACTTCACATATATTTTGAAAGAATCATTGTGACAAGTTGAATTATTTAACCCTTGTAAATACAGCTCGTCTTTTTTAAAATTATTTTGCTCCTGTCAAAATCATTTATTCACAGGTAAAGAAAAGAGAAAGAATGGGAAATTATACCATCCATTTGATTGATTGATTCAGCAAATTGGGATAATGCAAGTGAGATCAAATCTTCCTTTTACCAACAAGTTACCCTTCTTCCCTCCAAAATAAGCAAACTCTGCACCTCAAGTTAAAAATAAAAGCCTAAAACAGACACCTGCTCCTTCTTTCACATCTGATGATCACCAATGTACTGTATAATTTCTGCAATGCCAAATGGTGTTAGATATCTAATTTTTCATTTATATATTCCTCACCCTATCTCTCTTCATACAAATGCCCTAGGAATGATTAAATTCTGTTGCTCATCGAGCCTTCATGGAGATTGAATCTACAATAATGGTTAGTACAAATAGTTGAACAATGTTTGTATCTTCAAAAGATTAATCCATGCTTATGGTGATCTCTTAAAAATGTAAAGTCTAGAAGAGAAAATTGGAGAAGTAAGGAAAATATATAAATCAGTTAAAATTGGCTATTGTTTCCATTTAGTAAATTCCCATGAGATTGTGTTGTGGATACAATTTTATATTTTGCTTTAACTTGGCATAATTTCATATGCATTTCCCCTAGTAATCAAAATTTTCTTAAAATGCATTTTTATGATTGCATAATAGTCCATTTGACAGATGCATCATCATAGTTTTAGATATCTAGTTTTATTTATAATTTTTCCTCTTATAAGTAATGCCAGAAGAGATCCTCTGAATTTGATATTTTCCCTTAAGATATTACTGGATCAGCCTGTGTACATTTTTTAAGCTCTAGAGACAAATTGCCAAATGTTTTCCAAAAATATTCTAAAGTACACAAAACTAGAATTCTAAAATTCAAAATCCTCTGACACGTAAAATCTGCTCATAACTTCTTTGGTGGCAAAATATCATTTACCTGAACTTACTGTGTGTCAAAACTCACCTGAACAGATATGATGCAAGATGTCAATGCCTTCCAGGCAAAACTACTAGGAACATACCCGTAGCCAAATAAATTGAGTTTATTACTCACTGTAGCAAGAAAAAATGCACACCATAAGGAATCATAAAGTATCTCAATATGAAGGTCTTAGAATAACTTATTATAGCATTTAGGTTTTGCTTGGATGATTTGGAGAGGGTCTACGGTAGTGGGGTTAGCTCCATATTGGATGCTGTCAGAAAGCAGGGCAATTCTAAGATTGAATATCTCAGTAAATCTATAATCAGGCTAGAATAAGAATGAAGCTTTATCAATAAATAATTGGTAAATAATTATTTACCAATAACTATAATAACAAATAAATAATTGCTTTTGTTTATGCTTAGACAAAGTTATGAAGTGACCTTGTTTGGATCACTTTATCATGGTCTCAGAGTGGCCCTGTCTGAGGTTAGTGTTCTGTGAAGTTACTTATATAAAATAATAGGCCTAACTGTAAGGGCCAGGCCAGTTTTTAAATGTCAGGGACTGCTTTTGTTTTACTTTCTTGGAGGTTCATTATGCATTTTATTTTTCTAGTTCATAAATATCCACAGATTTTGCTGCAGAAAAAACAATACTAATTATAGGATGCTGCCTCAGAGATTGCTGGTAGGTGCACATTATCTTGACTTTCTAACATCTGAAGAAAAAATGAATATTAATATACATTTGTCTCCAGGCTTTTAAGATAGAAGTACTTGAACATGTACCATTTTATAATTGTAAATACAAATTAACTGGAAGGGCCATTTCATTGCATACTCATCAGCACTGAGTATTTTTAGAAAGCTTATTTTACTGCATAAGCGGTTTGATGTGCACAATTCCTAACTGAATGTTTAGTATGTGGAGCTCTGATACTGGAATCAAGTATGATAAGTTACAGTCCACAAGTACTGCCGCTCCTAGGTCTCATCTGTTCATGAGTTCTGCCTGTGATCTCTCTCTATCATAGCTTAACTTCCCCACAGTCATTTCATTCAGCTCCTCTCTAAGTTCTGCAGTGTGTGTTTTAGGGGAACTAGATGGATACAGAAAAAGAGAAATCAAGACAGGAATAGGTGCTGACTAAGATACAGGACTGTAGCTGCCTCAGAAAGCAGATACTCTCCAAGAGAAAGACAAATTTTCTCTTTTCTATTTTCTATTTACTAAATTTTTCTATTTTCTATTTGCTAAAGTTTCCCATGAACTGAAACTCACAGTAGAGAGTAAGGAAGAGAAAAACCTCTTCTTGTTCATGTACATGCCACAGGGAGTGACATATATATCAGAGGGTGACAATACTAGGAAGTGGACTAAATCTTCATATTATCTAAAATATGTTAAATAATATTAAACACATTGTAAAAACTAGTTTAAAAAATCAGTGCATTTATTTTATTGAAATGAAATAAATAAAGCATTTTGTTCGCAGGACCATGCATCTACCAGTGGTCCAAAAACCATTTACTGCCCTGAAATATCCTGGAGTGATTCTTCAACTTGTAGTATCTGTGAAATTAAATAATTCAAACTTAAAGTCGTTGGAACTTTAAATTATCCTGAGCCTTGAGAGGAATATGACTATGGAGCCTGAGTCACATGGCATGCAGCTGCAACTTCTGCCTTTTTCTGTAAATAATCAGGAAAACCAGGTGGTGCCAGAGATAAGACCATCTCAGATCGTTATGTAACCGCTCAACAGGTTCGTTTTTCCCACTGCCAAGATAGAACACATTTATTAAGACAGAGGAATTGCAATAGAGAAAGAGATTAATTCACAAAAAGCTGGCTGCACAGGAGAGTGAAGTCTTATTACTCAAATCAGCCTCCTTGAAAATTTGTAGACTGGGGTTTTTAAGGATGATTATGAAGGTAGAGTGCCAAGGAGTGGGGACTGTTGATTAGTTGTCTTGGCTATTAAATTATAAGGAGTGGAAGCTGTCCTCTTGCGCTGAGGCAGCTCCTGGGTGGGGGCCACAAGATCAGATGAGCCGGTTTATGTATTTGGGTGGTGTCAGCTGATCCATCAAGTGCAGGGTCTAAAAAATATCTCAAGCACCAATCTTAGGTTTTATAATAGTGATGTTTTCCCTAGGAGCAATTGGGGAGGTTTAGAATCTTGTGGCCTCTAGCTGCATGACTCCTAAACCATAATTTCTAATCTTGAGGCTAATTAGTTAGTCCTACAAAGGCAGTCTGGCAAGAAAGGGGTTTGTTTGGGGAAAGGGCTGTTATCATCTTTGTTTCAAAGTTAAACTATAAACTAAGTTTCTCCCAAAGTTAGTTAGGCCTATGGCCAGGAATAAACAAGGACACCTTAAAGTTTAAAAGCAAGATGGAGTCGGTTAGGTCAGATTGCTTTCAATATCATAATTTCTCACTGTTACAGTTTTTGCAGGGGAGCTTACAGTTACAGAGGAGCTTTTTAATAATCTCATGAAGTAATAAAGTAACCTTTCTTAGAATGTATACTAGTAATCTGTAACCAATCAAATTTCTGTAATGTATGAACTTGTATGAAAAATGTAATTCTGCTAAGATTTCTCTCTCTGCCTATATAAGTGAAACCTTAACTTCTCCATGATGGAATGCTGATCCCATTCATTTGGAGTCTTTTGCCCAGGTGGCTATCCTCAAGCTTTGTGCTTGAGTAAACTCTAAGTCATATTTTCTGAATCTCATTTTTTAAGTTTGACGCTTCTCAAGCATCACCCTCTGAGATGCAAATGCAGCCAACCTGTAGTAGAGCCTAGGAATCTGCAATGTGTGAATTTTGCTGTGAGGAACCATATAGTAGACTCACTTCCCCTTTGAACCAGAGAAGTGAATTCGATCTCAGTGTCTCCCATAGCCACAGGTACAGTTAACAAGAAAGTCTTGATAAATGACCTAGTGATTGGGTCAGCTTTACTGTCATGAAACGTATTGGAATATGTTCCAAAATTGACAGTAAAATACTTTGGACATGTGGCCTTGTTGTTAAAATTTAAACACAAAATATAATTTTTTTCTTGGTTTTAAAAATATAATTATTTGTAAAAAGCTTTTAGAGAGAACATTTCTATTAAGGTGGCTTTCCTAAATACATCTTCAGGATTGCAAGTAATATTTAGGTATTGGAAGCTATTGAAATGGCACTTTTAACCTCAATTCTCTCCTCAGAGCAGTTTGGACTATAATTTGAACTGTTTCAGAAAAAAGTCTGATACTGCAATTGGGTGTCAGTGTTTAGCATGTGACTTTGTCTCTGTGATTACTTTTAGGAGAATGCAAATGGCCTATAATGATCCAATGCAGAATAGTGTGGAGGCCAAGGGAAAACTTCTTTACCTTCAAAGTTCATGAAAAACCAGCTGGAAAACAGGCAGCTTCATAGGCAAAAAGGCATACAAATTTATTAATGTACATGAAGAATCACAGATTGATTACCCCAGCACCCCCCCACCCCACCACCTGCTGCCTGCTGCCACCCCCAGTGAGGTACAGAAGCTTATATACCCTTATTATAGGGGAAGGAGGAAATGGAGAATGCAGACAATTCTTTTGAGGACCAGTAAATGATTATTAGGCAGACTGAATAAACCAGAGAGACTGAAATTAACTTACAAGTGATTCACTCTGGAATTTGAATGAGCCCAAGAAGCAGGCATTCTCTTATGAAAACGTCCATCCAAGTGTGTTTGCATTCTTTAGTCTGCTTTTCAGACAGAGATAATACAATTTCAGGGAACGAATAGAAGTTAATTGCGTTTCTTTTGGTAAGAAGCTTTTTTGGTCAGATTAGGAAATACCACAGACAGCCCCTCCCTGTGCTGGGGGTGGGGAGTAGGAAAAAGAAACAAGACAAGGTTAGAGGGACCTTGATTCTGAGGCTTATTTCTAAGGCCTTTCAATTTTAAAAAGCACTCAGCATGACCACATGGCATATTCTGGGAAATCGTTTTTTTGCACCCCAACAATAGACTAGCGGAGAAAACTCCTTTTGTGTTTCTCAAATGCACAAATAGAAAAAATAATCAGTGGAAGTAGGCATGGAGATAGAAAATAAAATGACTAAGAGACGATTCAAAATGATTACAAGAGAGTACAAGGAAAACAGAATATAAGCAAGTTGAGCAGTTTGCAAAAGAGGAATTTGAATAAGAACACAGACGAGGTCCATTAACTCAGGGTATTCCAGGGACATTTAGGGAACAGATAATTCAGTTGTTTCATCTACTCAGGTTTTTCCTTTCCCCTTAACTCCATTCTATAAAAGCGAAAGTAAAATGTGAATGCAGTTTAAATAAAGTTATATTCAGGTGCTGATAGTTCACACAGCTGGCCTCCTCAGTACCAGAAAACCTACATCAGCCTGTAAAAGAAAAATGAAATTCTAAGCCTGTCTGAATGGACTCCTCCTCTCAGGCAAGGGCATTCTAAAGGTAACCTAAAAAACTAGTTCAGGCCATGATCAGAAGGGACTGTTGGGCATACCTTTTTACCATCAACATCAGTGCAGACCTTAAGACTGATAGAACAGACTCTGTAAGCCTGATAAGAAATATTTACAATCTGTTCTCTCTGAAGCCTGCTACCTGGAGGCTTCATCTGCATGATCAAATCTTGGTCTCCACACTCCTTATTATAACCCAGACATTCCTTCCATTGATTTCGGGTCTTTAGATAATAACCGATTGCCAATCAGAAAATCTTTGATTCTGCCTATGACCTGGAGGCCCCTGCTTCCACTTGTCCTCCCTTTCTGAACTGAACCAATGTACATCTTACATGTATTGACTGATGTCCTATGTCTCCCTAAAATGTATAAAACCAAGTTGTGGCCTGACCACCTTGGACACATGTCATCAGGACCTCTTGAAGCTGTGTCACAGGCATGTTCTTAACCTTGGCAAAATAAACTTCTAAATTGATTGAGATCTGTCTCGGATACATTTTGGTTTACAAGTCCATCTAGAAAGTTGCCCATTGGTTCTCCATAGAGGAAAGAGGACATGGAAATAAAGGGGAAAAAGACGAATACATGAACCCACATGCCTCTTATGAAATAACTTTTTGGCAAGGAGCAGTTTCTTCAATTTCCTATAGAAAGTATTTCAGTCATTTTGTACTCATGGTGGCTGCTAAAGAAATCCTACTGAAGATTAAGCCATGAAGTATTTTTGTTGTTGTTACTTTTTCTAAAATTAATTTTGGATAGATTATGTATGGTTACATATTTCAGGTCACCTTAAGTTCTTAGACACACACACTAATGTTGTTAATGAGGCCACAGTGATGCCTACAAAAATTAAGAAAATGTTCTGAATTTTCTACAGAGATCCTAATTTTAAACACTGCTTTCTTCTGTCCTCGGGAAGCATTAAAATACTTGGAAATGCTACCATGTTATCATAACTAATGGCTGTTAAATGTTTTTTTTTTAATTCCAAGTTCAGCTTTTAGGTTTGTAAATCATTATCTTACTTTAAAATATATTCAATCAGTATAGATAACTGTCTAGTTTGAAAAATAGAATCACAGACAAGGAATGAATAGAAATATTTTAACTTTTAATCCTTTTAATCATTTTCTTTTGACAGTAAACTAGGGCCCTTGAGCTTCTATGATTAGTTTCTCCATCTCATAAATAGTTTCTAAGTTTGAGAGAACCACATGAAAATATTATTTGACTAACAAAAATGCCAGTATTTTTTGGCTTCCCCTATGCCATCATTTTCCCATCTGCCTGTATCTGTACCTTTAGTGTCTCCTATGTTACTTTCAAATGATAGGTTTGCAAACACATTTGAGACTAGAGAAAAATCATCTACAACTGCAATTTCCCCTTTATCCAAACTCTCAGTCTTTTCACCCAGAACTCAGTTTAGAAAAAAGGACCATAGACAACAAAGGAAGTAAAATCAAAAGGTTGAAGGAAATATAGAATAAAAAAATACAAGATAAGCAAAGACAAAGGACAGATGAGTGAGAACAAATTTTTGAATTATATATTAATAGCAATAATAAAAAATCATTGCCCCAAACTAAACAGCAGTATTATAGTCCAGACTTCTCTAAGAATGTCTCATTAATTTGGATTTTTTTATTAAATGTGTCAATCTATGCAAATTTTTGAATGACTATAGTATATTCATTTAAGAATATATGCTTTTTTAAAAAACCACTTGGAATAAAAAGTATTTTTTAAAATATGTTATATTCATCTCTGATTATAATATCTTATGTCTAAACATTTAAATTGAATTTTAAATTATGATTTTTAAATACTTTCTTCCAGTTAAATATTGTACAGAGCTAGGTTTACAATATTTCTAGCCTTCTCACCATGCCAGCTCTAATCATGAAGGCTTCATATGTAACCACGTGGAGGCAGAATAGAACAGTGAATAGTATTCTGCTCCAAGTGTCAGCAGAGCTCGCTTACCATTCCAATTCAGCCACTTGTTCCTTCGAGGTCTTGAGTAAGACATTTAATTTCTTTAAGACAACTTACTCGTCTCTAAAACAAAGCTGAACTCTTCCAACTCACTATTTTTCCTTCATAAAAGTACAAAATATAATGTTTTAAAATAATTATTTATATATATATATATATATATTTTGTTTGTTTGTTTATTTTTTGAGACAGAGTTTCGCTTTTGTTTCCCAGGCTGGAGTGCAATGGTGCGATCTTGGCTCACTGCAACCTTTGCCTCCAAGGTTCAAGCAATTCTCCTGTCTCACCCTCCTGAGTATCTGGGATTACAGGCGCCCGCCACTACGCCCAGCTAACTTTTGGTATTTTTAGTAGAGACATGGTTTCACCATGTTGGCCACACTGGTCTTGAACTCCTGACCTCAAGTGGTCCACCTGCCTAGGCCTCCCAAATTGTTGGGATTATAGGCGTGAGCCACTGCGCCCTGCCTAAAATAATTATTTATGAATTAACCGTAAATTTACTTATATGAATATTACAATTCTCAATGAATTCACACATTATATAACACTACTAGATCTTCACTGCATGCAGACATAAAGCTGGTTATTTTATTTTCATTTTACAACCTCAGAGAGATTGAATTTCCTAAAGTATGATATGCTGGTTAAAAGGTGTTACATGAAAAAAAAAGAGTGTCAATGATCAAATTAGTTTGAGAAATGCTGATATAAAGAGAGGGTCAAGATGTTCTTTATTGAAAGACTTTTCAGAGCCCTTAATATCCTAACATGTGTCGTGGATGTGTAAGATAAGGAGATACACTTTCTGAAGCATATTTGATTTCAGAATCTATGAGGAATTCCTCCTGCAGAGTACCATTGAAAAAGTTCATCTAATATGACGAAGCAAGCAACTGGCAAAAATTCGCTGGTGAAAAAAACCAAAAAATACTGAAGGCAGGTTTTCATATACCAAGTTGTTTCTGCCATAACATAGTGAAGTATACAGAAATAAGGCAATTGAGTTGAACAATGCTTTGTTGCTACCCCCACTTGCTAATCACTGAGCATTTGTATTAGTCCGTTCTCAGACTGCTGTAAAGATACTACCAGAGTCTGGGTAATTTATAAGGAAAGAGGTTTAATTGACATCCTGTTCTACATGAAAGGGGAGGCCTCAAGAAACTTACAATCATGGTGGAAGGGGAAGCAGGCACGTCTTACATGGTGACAGGTGAGAGAGAGCGTGTTAAGGAGGAAGAGCTCCTTACAAAACTATCTGATCTTGTGAGAACTCACTCACTATCAGGCAAACAGCATGGGGAAAATTGACCCCATGATCCAATCACCTCCCTCCCATGATACATGGGGATTACAGGTACCTCCCTAGACATGTGGGAATTACAGTGTGGGAATACACACACACACACACACACGCACACACACTCCATATTTGGATTTTTTAGGCTCTACACATATATGGAGGGAAG
Source organism: Homo sapiens (assembly GCF_000001405.40). Lineage (NCBI taxonomy): Eukaryota > Metazoa > Chordata > Mammalia > Primates > Hominidae > Homo > Homo sapiens. The sequence continues at coordinate 83,589,050 of NC_000002.12, forward strand.
GCTAAGGTGCACTGGTAAAAATAGCCCATCTAAGGATGGACAAAGTACTCCAACACAGAGTGAACCTGGAAAGACCCGGAGGTTTTTTTTGTTTTTTTTTTTTTTAATTTAACTTTTTACTTTTATGGCTCCAGGCATTTTATAAAATTTTTGTCAAATCGCTATTTGACCACCAAAATAATGAAACAGAAACTTCAGTGACCACACATAACAAAGAATATAGTTTTTACAAAATCAATTTTAAATAGCTAGTAAACAGATAATTCTAAACCCAAACCAGCAGCAACAACAAACAACGGACAGTGTGAAGATACAGTTTCCAGAATTAACACATTATAATATCCAAAATGTTATTTAAAAAAATGACAAGGGATTAAAAAGAAAAACAAGAAAGTATGACCTATTCACAGGAAAAAAGAAGGAAATCAATATAAACTGTTCAGAAAGCCCAGACATTGGAATTCTTAACAAAAACTTTAAAAAAAACTTTTAAAATTAAGTTCAATGAGCTGAAGTAGATTATAGACAAAGCACTAAAATAGACCAGGAGAATGAAGTCTCACCAAATACAGAATATTTATAAAAAGAAATTATTTAAAAAACTAAATAATTATTCTGGAACTAAAAAGTATAATAAATAAAATTTTAAAATTGTTAGAAGATTTCAAATGCCCACTTATGCATGGACAAAGAGAGAATTTGTCAACCTGAAGATAGATTCATTGAGATTATCTAGCCTATGGAACAGAATTAAAAAAAAGAATAGAGCCTAAGAGATCTATGGGACACCATACAGTGTACCAAAATTTAATGGACATCCTAGAGGGAGAAAGGAAAGAGAAAGGACAGAGTATATTTTCATAAACAATGGCTGTGAACTTCCCAAACAGGCTGAAAGTCATGAATCTAAACATCAAAGAAGCTCAATGAACTAGAACAAGTATAAACCCAGAAATCCATAACAAGACACATTATAAACAAACTGTCAAGAGTGAAAACAAGAGAATTTTAAAGCAGCCAGAGAGAAATGAATCATCAGGTATATATAATCCTTCTATTTTTCATCAGAAAATATAAAGACCGGAAAACTGTGAGCCATATACTTGATAAAACTCTCTTTTAAAAATGAAAAAAGAAATTAGTACATTCTCAGGCAAACAAAAGGAGTTTGCTGCTAATAGACCTGCAAATTAAGAATGGTGTAGTGCATTCTTTAAGGCTGAAATTTAAAAACACTAGACAGAAATTCTAAGCCATAAGAAGAAATAAAGAACATTGACAAAATAACTACATGATAAATATAAATCTCAGTATTATTGTATTTGGGGTATAACTTTTTTTGATATTGTACTTTTGGTATGTAATAAAGGATCAACAAATAAATAGAAGACTTGAACACAATTATAAATCATTTAGATCTGTAAGATAGCTATAGAATGTTCTGCCCAACAACAGAGGAATGTACCTTCTTCTTAAGTTTATATGGAACATTCTCCAGAATAGACCACATATTATGGCATAGAATGACTATTGGCAAATTTAAAAATATTGAAATCCTACAAAATATTTTGTCTGACCACAGTGGAATAAAACTAATAAAATTAATAGAAGATAGAAAATTATAAAATTCAAAAATATGTAGAAATTAACACTCAAGCAATCAATAGATCAGAAAAATCAAAAGAGCCTGGGCATAGTGGCTCCTGCCTATAATCCCAGTACTTTGAAAGGCAGAGGGAAGAGGGTTGCTTGAGCCCAGGAGTTTGAGACAAACCTGGGCAATATAGGGAGACCCTGTCTTTACCAAAAAAAAAAAAATGATTTTTTAAATTTATTAGGCATGGTAGCATGTGCTACTCAGGAGGCTGAGGTGGGAGAATGACTTGAGCCCAGGAGGTTGAGTCTTCAGTGGGCACCACTGCAATTACACCTGAGTGACAGAACAAAACCCTGTCTTTAAAAAGACAGAAAGAGAGAGAGAGAACAAAAGGAAGAAAGAAACAAGAAAGAAGGAAAGGAAAGAAAGAAAGAAGGAAGGAAGGAGGGAGAGGGAGGGAGGGAGAGAGGGAAAGGAAGGGAAGGAAGGAAGGAAGAAAGAAAAGTTACAAGAGAAATTTGAAAATACTTTTAGAAAAATAAAAAACAAAATAACAAATAAAACATGGGATGCATCGAAAGCAATGCTCAGAGGGAAACTTTTGGCTATAAATGCCTACATTAAAAAATATATATCTCAAATAACCTACCTTTTTGCCTTCAGAAACTTTAAAAAAGCAGAGTAAAACTATATGTAGCAGAAAGAAAGACAATACAAGTTAGACCAAAGATACAGAAAATGAGTAGAAAAACAATAGAAATAATCGATAAAAAGCAAAAGTGGGTTTTTAGAAAAGATACAACAAAAGTGGCAAACATTTAGCTAGCCTAAGGAAAAAAAGAAAGGAGACTCAAATTACTAAAATAAAAAGTGAAACTTGGGACATTACTACTGACTTAACAAAAATAAAAAAGATGTATAAGAGAAGGCTGAAAAATTGCATGCCAACAAAACAATGAATTGGATAAATTACTGGAAACACACTCTAACAAAACTAATGTAGGAAGAAATAGAAAAACTGAATGCATCTATAATTAATAAAAAATCTAAATCAATAGTCAACTTCTTCTGATAAAATAAAAGCCAAGGACAAGATAGTGTCACTGGCAAATTCTACAAAACATTTAAAAATGAACACTAATACCTTGCAAATTCTTCCAAGAAACAAAGGAAGAGAAAACACTTTCAAATTCATTCTATAATGCCAGTATTACCTTGATACCAAAGTCTTACAAAGGTATCATAAAAAACTTTAGACAAATATACTTTATTAATATCAATGCAAAAATACTTAATAAAACACTAGCAAAGTGAATCCAGCATCATGTTAAAATAATTATACACCGGCCAGGCGAGGTGGCTCACCCCTGTAATCCCAGCACTTTAGGAGGCCAAGGCGGGTGGATCACGAGGTCAGGGGTTCAAGACCAGCCTGACCAACATATACAAAAATTAGCCGGGCATGGTGGCGGGTGCCTGTAATCCCAGCTACTCAGGAGGCTGAGGCAGGAGAATTGCTTGAACCCAGCAGGCAGAGCTTGCAGTGAGCCAAGATCGCGCCACTGCACTCCAGCCTGGGCGACAGAGCAAGACTCCATCTAAAAAAAAAATGAATAAATAAATAATAATAATAGTAATAATTATACACCATAGCCAAGTGGTATTTCTCTGAAGAATGCAAGGTTGGTACAAAATATAAGAATCAATCAATATAATGCAATAGAGGAGAAAACACAAATGATCATCTTAATTTATTTAGGAAAAAACACTTAAAAAAATTAAAGTCCATTCATAATAAAATACTCAATGTGTTAGGAATAGAAAGGAACTTCCTCAGCATGATAAAAAGTATTTATTAAAACAAACAAAAACCACAAGATAACACAATACCTAATGATAAAAGAATGAAAGTGTTCCCCCTATGATTAAGAACAATGCAAAGATGCCCACTTTTGCCACTTCTATTCATTACTATATGATATGGTTTGGCTGTGTGTCCCCACCTAAATCTCATGTTGAACTGCAATCCCCAGTGTTGGTGGAGGGGCTTGCTGGGAGGTGACTGGATCATGAGGGTGGTTTCTAATGGCTTGGCACCATTCCCCTAGTACTGTCTCGTGATAGAGTTCTCATGAAATCTGGTTGTTGAAAAGTGTGTAGTGCCTCCCTCTTCACTTTCTCCTTCTCCACTCATGGAAGACATGCCTCCTTCCTCTTCACCTTCTGCCACGATTTTAAGTTTCCTGAGGCCTCCCCAGCCATGCTTCCTGTATAGCCTGCAGATCTATGAGTTAATTAAACCTGTTTTCTTTACAAACCACCCAGTCTCAGGTAGTTTTTTATAGCAATGCAAAATGGACTAATATGTTATACTAAAATTTCAAGCCAAAGAAGTCAGGCCAAAAAAAAAGTAGAGGAAAAAGAAACTATACCTAAATTGGAAAGAAGAAGGTAAAACTCTTATCTTTATTTGCAAATAGCATGATTCTATATGCACAAAATTCCAAAGAATACATACACAAATAGGCCAAAAAATTTAATTCAGAAAAATTGCAGAGTATATGAAGAAGACAAATATCAGTTGTGTTTATGTATACCAGCAATGACAATTCCATTTATAATCATGTCAAAATAATATAATACTTTGGAACATATTTAATTAAGGAGGCGAAAAAAGAACTTACTGAAAACTACAAATCATTGCTGTAAAAAATTAAAGCCACCTAAGTAAGTGAAAATAATTCATGAATTGGAAGATTTATCAAGATGACACTACACCTCTAATTGATTTTTACCTTCAATACAACCCCTATCGCAATCCCTATTTCAATCTTATTACAAAGCTGATTCTTATATTCATATGTAATTTCAAGAGATCCCAAATATTCAAAACATCCCTAATAAAAATCAAAGTTACAAAATACACACTTCCCAATATCAAAACATATTATCTGGCTATAATAATCAAAACAATGTTGTACTGACACAGAGTTAGATATATACATCAATGGAATAGAATTGAGAGTGCAGATTTAAACATATATATGGATAGTCAATAGATTTTTGAAAAGAACTTTCAAGACCATTAAATGAGAAAAGAATAGTCTCTTTGACAAATAATGCAGGGGCAACTGGATAGCCACAGGCAAAAACAATGAGTTTAGATCTTTATCTGACACCATATACAAACATTAACTCTAAATGGATCAAAATCTAAGTATATGTGCTAAACCTATAAAACTATAAGAAAACATAGGAGTAAATTTTTATAATCTTGGATTTGGCCAGGGGTTCATAGATAGCACAAGCCTCAAAAACATACATACTGGACTTCTTCAATATTCAGAACTTTTGTGCATCAAAGAACACTTTCAATAGTGTAAAAAACCTGAAGAATGTGACAAAATATTTTCAAATCAACATATCACATAAGAGGATAGTATCTAGAATATATTTTTAAAACCTCTTATACCTAAAAATAAAGACAAAATAATCCAACTAGAAAATTGGCAAAGAACTCCAAGGGACATTTATCCAAAGAAGATATACAAGGGGCAAACAAGCACATGAGGAGCTGCTCAATATGTTAGTCAGTAGGGAAACACAAATCATACCCAAAAGGAGACACCACTTTACCCCCTCTCAATGGTTATAATTTATAAAATAAAACAAAAATGGAAAATATTAAGTATTGGCATTGAACCCTCAGACATTGTTCATAGGAATTTCAAATGGTACAGTCACTGTGAAATACAGTCTGGCAGTTCTTCAGAAAGTTTATGACTATATGACACAGCAGTTCTACTTTTAGATAATACTGAAAAGATGTGAAATCCGGTGTTCAAACAAAAACTTGCGTGTTCATGGGAGCACTGTTCGCAGTAGCACTATTCACAGTGGCCACTGAATGTCCACCAAATGATGAATGAATAAAATGTGGTGTATACATGCAATGGAATATTAAGCATCCATAAAAAGCAATGAAGTACTGATACATGTTCCAACATGGATGAACCTTGAATACATTATGGTAAGTTAAAGAGGCCAGACATGAAAGGCCACACACTCTATCATTCCATGCGGAATGGAATTAACTGCTTAATGTGAACTGGGTTTCCTTTTGGGCTGATGAAAATATTTTGGAATGAAATAGTGGTGATGGTTGCACAACATTATGAATGTACTCAATGCCACAGAATTTTACTTAAAAATAGTTAAAATGGGAAAATGTATGTTATCTGTATTTACCACAGTCAAAGTGTTTGTTTTGCTTTTTGATCTGAGTCTCTGCCACAGCTGCAGAAGTGAGATGAGAAAGGGAATATCAGCGTCTAAAAGTCATCACAATAAGAAGCACACATTGTATCACCACTGTGGCTCTAAGTGTTACCACCTTCACAAGACTTCCTGTGGCAAATGTGGCTACCCTGACAAGCACAAGAGGTAGAATAACTGCAGTGCCAAAGTGAAAAGACAAAATACCACAGGGATTTGTCAAATGAGGTACCTGAAAATTGTTTACTGGAGATTCAGGAACAGGGTCTGTGAAGGAATACGTAAACCCAAGAGGGCAGCTGTTGCAGCATCCAGTTCATCTTAAGAATTTCAATGATTAGTCATGCAATAAATGTTTTTTTAAATGTTTTGAATGGCCCTAAAATAGCTTCTACAAAGAGAAATGCTTTTATTAATATCTCTTAAAGGTATTAACTGAATTTTTGGTTATTTCTAGTAAATGTATTTAAGTTGAACAGATGTATCAGAATAGCATTTTGTTTTATGATGTTGCTCTCTGCTGGCCAAGCCATTAAATATGACATAACAGTCTTATAAGAAATATGCAACAGATTAGAAACTTCATCTTACAAAAATTCGAGGAAGCTTACAAAATTTTCTCCCAGTCTCTTGTAGTAAGCAATAACATATGTGATGACTATTTTCATGCTCTTAGCCTAAATTTAGCCATGGAAAAATGTAATTGAAAATATAAGCTCATCAGGCAATTTCACCCTCTCTTTTCATGATTCAGCTACTTCTTCCATTTGTGATTGTTACCTCTTGATAAATAGACAACATTTGGGCCAATGTGTTTAGGTCAAGAAATAGCCTCTTTGAACTTTCTGTCTCTGGTTTTAGGCTTTGAGAGTAATCCTACCTTTTCCCTTCCACATGACAACATCTTCTAAGTGTGTGATGGCCGTTAACAAATCCTGCTTCAGTATTTTCTGATACAGGCTCAATGTCCTAAGGTGCTAGTTACATCATGAGAATAACACTTCCTAGATCTGTACTGGCTCCCACCTCCGGATACTGTTATTTGTCAGTGTCATCTATAAAATGCAGACATATCAATCTCAGTGACTGTAACTATGTCTATTCTTGGGAATTGCCTGGAAAAGTTCTGCTTCAATGAGTTAAGGAGGGGCTCATACAGTGTAATTTTATAAAGAGTTTGAGTATCTCTGAGCTAGCCACTAAAATCCACTCTGATCTCCATATCCGTAGGATAATTCCTTTATCCCTTAGGCTAATCTGCTTGCTATGCCTTGGACATCATTTCCTCATACCCACCATCTGGTTCTTCAAAGGAAAATAGCTTCTGTTTGAAAATACCTTTATTTTTTTTTCCAAAACGCATATGCATTACTCACTAAAAGTTAACCCTTTCTGGAATGTCTCTCTGAAGCTCACATGATCAGTCTCGATATTGAGGAAGTTATACACAGAATGGATAGTAGCAAATAGCACAGAAGATGCCAGTTTTTAATCATTTGATAATGACCTTTATCAAATGGCAAAGGTAAAGGTGAGTGGACTCACACAGACTGTGAAAAAGGTGACATCAGCAGCATGACAGAATGAGACTCCTATCCCTCCTGCCACAGACACCCTGAGTAAATATCTAAACATGGGTCAATTTTCTCCAAGAGAAAGCCAGAATCTAGTTGAACTCCTACATACTGAAATATGCACATTAGAACTGATTTTTAAAGTGGAGATACATTCACACAGTAACCCCACTCTGAGCATAGCACCTTAAAATCGAGAAGGCAATACCAACTGTCAGCTTATTCCTGAGAAGTGAGTGGTTTGTACAATACACATAATGTGCAACTTCTGAAGTTCCTGCCAGAGGACCTGGCTCTTAAATCACCTTGTTGCAGAACAGCATGGGCAGGGCATCTGAGAATTTCTCTCAAGCACAAAGAACAAAGAGGAGTTTTGAACCACATGAGCACTCTCAGCAGCTATGGCCCCTGGGATCAGCCCAGCTTATAACTTTCCCCTGAAAAGGGTTTGGCTGCACACTTTTACTGCAGCTTCCTGTGGTTCTGACCTCTAATAAGCCAGTATCTCAGAGCCTGCATAGGAAGTGAAGAATAAACCTTCTTAAGCCCAGATGGGAGGAAGAGCACCACTCCTTGTGGTTTCTTTCTTAGCTTGCTCCAGAGATAAATTCCATCTCCCATAGAAAGTAGAAAAGAGACTGAGGGACCTTGACATGACTAGAAGGGAATGTGGGCACTCCCTGTACTTTATTCCCTTGCTTGCTTCAGCAATAACTCCATGCCAGAAGTCTCTCCCTGCAAGGAGTATGTGAGACTTCTGCATGCCTGAATGGAAAAGAGAGCACTCCTCATGCCTGCTTCCCTGGTCTGCTCCAGTGACAATTCTAGCCCTGCAATCTCTTCCTCGATAAAGGTTAGAGGCCTCCGCTGGCAAAAAACGGGAAAGATGGCACTTTCCAGCCATGCTCCTTGGCTTGCTCCAGCAATAAATTAAGATATGAAGACTCTCAACGGAAATAGTTTCTGCACAGTCAACTCCCCTCCAAAGGATTTGCTCCTAAATCACCTAGCTCTGGGAGTTGAGGTTCTGCACTCCTGAGTCTACTATCCCACAGACAACAAAAAGGTGACCTTTAAACTTCAAACATTAAGGATAAATCTCTCCAGGTTCAAAATGAGCAACTTGAGTGAGAGTACAGGTACGCACCACAGATCCTTTCCGTGGTGTAGAGCAAAATAAGAATATAATATCTGAGCTCAAAAATTCAATAGAAAGGTCCAATAGCAGACTAGATCTAGAAGAAAAAATGAATTAGCGAACTTGAATATAAGCCTTGAGAAATCATCTAATCTGAGGTGAAAATAAAGAATAAAATATAGTAAATATAACCTAAGGTACTAACTAACAAGATACCATCAAGTAGAATATTATACACATTATTGGATTTCCAGAAGGAAGATAAATAAAGAAAAGGACAGAAAACGTTTAAAGAAATAATGGCAGAAAACTTACCAAGTCTGAAAAAGGAAATAGAGATCAGGAACCTCAATTGACATTGAATAGGATAAAAACAAAGAGACCTACACCAGGACACATTATAATCAAATTGCCAAAAGTTAAAGACAAAGAGAAAATACTGAACACTGCCAGGGAAAGGTAACTTGTTATATATAAGAGAACCTCCATTAGAGTATTAGTAGAATTTTTGGCAGAAAATTGTTGCCCACCAAAAAAGAACAGAAGGTTCTGTTTATATATATAAACATGTACACACACATATATACGTATGTATATATAAGCAGAAAGAAAAAAAAACATCAACCAAGAATTCTGTCCAGCAATCCTCTCCTTCAGAAACAAAGGAGATTAAAAACTTTCTCAAGCAAATGAAAGCTGAGGGAATTTATCACCACTAGACCCACCTTATGAGAGATGCTAAAGGGAATTCTTCAAGTTGAAGACAATGTTGTTAAGTAGCAATATAAAAATAGAAAATTCACTGGTAAAAATAAGTACATAGTCAAACTCAGCTCTAATACAGTAACAGTAATGTGAAAGTTAACTAAATCTCTAGTATTAAGGAAAAATGGCATTACTATTAACAATTATATATAATGATTTATTAAAAAACAGGTTATAAAAGATGTATAATTTGATATAAAAACATAAGTTATAGTGGGGAAGTAAAATTGTAGTTTGTGCAAGTGATCAAAGTTATTATCAGCTTAAAATAGCCTATTAGTATAAGATTTTTTTGTGTAAGCCTTATAAGAATGCTTAAAGTAAGAGTGCTTAAGAGTAAGAATGCTTAAAGTAAGAATGCTTAAGAGATACACAAAAGATGAAAAGATTCAAAGCACACCACCACAGAAAACCATCAAGTCAAAAAAGAAGACAGCAAGAGAGGAAGATAGAAACAAAGAATCTGCAATTAATCAGAAAGAAATTTAAAGAAATAGTAATTAAAGAAATTTAATTTAAAGAAATAGCAATTAAAGATAGAGCAGTAGTAAGTTCTTATCTCTCAATAATCACTTTTGACTATAAATAGATTAAATTCTCAAATCAAAAGAGATTGAGTTGCTAAATATTTAACAGACCCAATCATATGCTGCCTACAAGAAAATCACGTCACATTTAAGGAAGCATATAGAATAAAAATAAATAATAAAGTTATTTTAGGCAAATAAAAACCATTTACAGCATGGGTAGCTTAGGGTTAGATAATATAGACTTTAAAGTTAAAAATAGAAAAAGAGACACTAAAGACCATTATATAATGACAAATATTTCATTGAACAGATCATCTAGACAAAAAAAAAAAAAACTTCTTTAATATTAGACTTGAACTACATTTTAAAGCAAATTAACCTAACAGATATTTAAAGAACATTCATCTATCTGCAACAGAATGCATTCCTGTCAATGGAACATTCTCCAGGATAAATCCTATGTTTAGGACATAAAACAAATCTTAACAAACTTAAGAAGACTGAAATCCTATTGTGTCGGGAGATGGTTCCTTCCAGTGGGTTTGTGGGCTTGCTGACTTCAAGAATGGAGCTGCAGACCTTTCTGGTGAGTGTTACAGCTCTTAAAGATGGCACAGTCCCAAAGAGTGAGCAGCAGCAAGATTTATTGTGAAGAATTAAAGGACAAAACTTCCACACCGTGGAATGGTACCCGAGCCGGTTGCCACTGCTGGCTGGGGTGGCCAGCTTTTATTCCCTTATTTGTCCCCTCCCATGTTCCGTTTTTGTCCTATCAGAGTGTCCCTTTTTCAATCCTCCCTGCAACTGGCTACTTTTAGGATCCTGCTGATTGGTGCATTTTACAGAGTGCTGATTGGTGCATTTTACAATCCCCTTGCTAACTACAGAGTGCTGATTGGTGCATTTTACAATCTTAGCTACAGCACTCTGATTGGTGCATTTTACAATCCTCTTGTAAGACAAAAAAGTTCTCGAAGTCCCCACTAGACCCAGGAAGTCCTGCTGGCTTCACCTCTCACTATAAAGTATCTTTTCTAACCACAATGGCATGAAGCTAGAGATCAGTAACAGGAGGAATCTTGAGGAACTCACAAATATCTGGAAGTCCAGAACAATTAATAGATCAAAAAGGAATTCTGTTAAATTAAAAAAAATCTTGAGAGCAACAAAAATAAAGAAAAGAATCCAAAACTTATGAGATACAGAAAAAGCAGTTCTGAGAGAAAAGTTTATAGCAATAACACTTACATCAAAAAAGAAAGACTACCTCAAATCACCTAACATTACACTTCAAGGAACCAAGAAAAAACTAAGTCCAAACTTAGCAGGAGAAAGAAAACAACAAAGATCAGAGTAGAAATAAATAAAATAGAGACTAGAAAAAATAATTGAAAAGATCAATGAAACTGAGTTTTTTTTAAGAAAAGACAAACGAAACTGACAAGCATTAGCTAGATAAAAAGGGAGAAGACTCAAGTCAACAAACTCAGAAATGAAAGAGTAGACATTATAACTGCCACCTTAGAAATACAAAGGATTTTAAGAGACAGCTATGAACAATAACACACCAACAAATTGGATAACTAGAATAAGTGGATGAATAGCTAGAAAAATACAATATATCAAGATTGATCAGAAGAAAAATGGCAAATATCAACAGCCCGAAAAGCAAGTATGGAGATTGAATCAGTAATAAAGTCTTCCATTCCAGTACCTGATGGCTTTGCTGTAAAATTCTACCAAATATTTCAAGAAAGAGTAATACCAATCCTCTTCAACTTTTCCAGGAAATTGAAAAAGGGAAAATATTTTCGAATTCATTTTATGAGACCAGACTTATCCTGATATCAAAGCTGGACAAGGGGATAAAAGAAAATAAAACTACAGGTCAATATTCATGATGAGCATAGATGCATAAAACCTTGACAAAGTACTAGCAAACCACAACCAATAGCACATTAAAAGGTTAATCATTATTATCAAGTGGGAGTTACCTTAGGGATGCAAGGATGTTTCAACATATTTAAATTGATAAATCTGATAGACTACATTAACAAAATGAAAGACAAAAGCCACATGATCATCTCAATAGATGCAGAAAAGGTGTTTACTAAGATTCAACATCTCTTTATAAGTTTTAACAACTCTCAAAATATAGGTATAGAAGTCACGTATCACGACTCAAGAAAGACATATATGACTTAACATCATTATATGAAAGTTTTTTCTCTACAATAGGAAGAAGACAAGAATCTTGAGTCTCACCACTTCTATTCAACGTAGTACTGAAAGTCCTAGCCAGAGAAACTAAGAAATAAAAAGAAGCTCAAGACATTGAAATAGAAAAGGAATAAGTGAAATTATTTGTTTGTGAACAGCATTATATTATGTATAGAAAACCGTTAAAAAGTCTTAGAACTGAAAAACAGATTTAGTAAAGTTGCAGGTAAAAAAAATCAACATACCCAAATTAGTAGGATTTCTATGTACTAATAACAAACTATGTTAAAAAAATTAAGAAAACAATCTCATTTACATTAAATCAAAAATAAAATAGGAATAAATTTAATCAAGGAAGTAAAAGATCTGTACACTGAAAACTTTAATACACAGATAAAAAAATTGAAGACACAAATAAAAAGATACGTTCACTGATTAAAGGATTAATATTGTTAAAATTTTCATACCACCCAAAGCAATCTACAAATTTAATATAATCTGTATGAAAATTCCAATGCCATTTTTCATATAAATAGAAAAAAACTTTCTTTTTTTTTTTTTTTGAGACAGAGTCTCGCTCTGTCGCCCAGGCTGGAGTGCAGTGGCACGATCTCGACTCACTGCAAGCTCCGCCTCCGGGGTTCATGCCATTCTCCCACCTCAGCCTCCCTAGTATCTGGTACTACAGGCACCTGCCACCAAGCCCAGCTAATTTTGGTTTTGTATTTTTAGTAGAGATGCAGTTTCACCATGTTAGCCAGGATGGTCTCAATCTCCTGACCTCGTGATCCGCCCGCCTCGGCCTCCCAAAATGCTAAGATTACAGAAGTGAGCCACTGTGCCCGGCTGAAAAAAAACTTCCTAAAATATGAGTGGAACCACAAAAGACCCTGAATAGCCAAAGCCACCTTGAAAAAAAGAACAGAACTGGAGACATCACACTGCCTGATTTCAAAACAAATTACAAAGCTATTTTTAATCAAAACAGTATGATAATGTCATAAAAACAGGCATATCAAATAATGGAATAGGATAAAATCCCAACAATAAACTTAAGTATTTATGGTCAATTGATTTTCAACAAAGGTGCCAAGAAGACAGACTGGGAAAAGGCAATCACTTAAATAAATGGCTCTGGGAAAACCAGATGTCTGCATACAGAATAATGAAAGTGTGCCTTATCTCATATGATATACAAAACTCAATTCTAAATGAATTAAAGATTTAAAAAATAAGACCTGAAATTGTAAAACTACTAGAAGAAAACATAGGAGAAGATTCATAATACTAGTCTGAGTGATTATTTCAGGCAAACCACTAAGCTGTTTGGGGCTGAGGTAAGGGCTTCTGCCTCAAAGCCACTTTTATGTGTTTTCCACACTTCTCAGCTAAATTGTGACCTGGAAATAGATGAGTGTCTGGCTGAACTGAAAGTCAGGAGCCCCAGGATAGGGATGTGATAGGAAAACGTATTGAGTTTCTGTTTGCCTAGGATGTGGAACTAGTGCATCCCCCTTTAATCTTGTGGAGACCACATGCATTCTAAGAGTAGAGCCCCTGCCACTCCTATAGGGCTGTTGCCTGCATTTATCACTGGGGTATCCATGGGTGATGTTGGCAGTCCAGCCCCACCCAAATTTGTCCCCACTTTCAGAGGCTGGGTGGGAAACTCAGGGAACCAGGCCATCCATAAACCCGCCTATCACCTGAAACCACAGAGCATCTCCTGGTAAACAAAGATCGAGTACATACACATGTGCCTCCACTGCAGGTGGCCCTTACCCATAGGCACCATCTACTGACCTGGAGGTAGAACTGCACAACTCCATACAAAACCTGCTGACAGAAGTGCACAATGCAGAGCAACAAGATAAATTTCCTGAGACCTTCACAATTCTAGTCCCGCAGAGGGCAGTGAGACCGCTCATATGCCCAATACGTTGGTACTACAACCTGCATTTGAGAAAGCCACTGCACATAGGCTATCTATAACCGAAGAATTCATACAGAGCCTTAGCCCCCTGAAAGCACCTAGAATTGAAGCCAAATGGCCATAGACAACATATATAAGTCATACCCTCAAGAGGGAAAAGAAAAGTCTCATAACACCAAAGTAAATTCAAAGATAAAAAGTGAAAGCTCTCCAGATGAGAAGAAAGCAGCTTAAGAACACTGGTAATATGCAAACACAGGATTATGATACCCCCACAGGATCAAACTAGCTTTCTAGCAGTGGATCCTAATCAAAATGAAACTTCTGAAGTGACAAAGAATTCAAAATATAAATTGCAAAGACGATCAAAGAAATCCAAGAGAAAGTTAAAAACTAACACAAATCTGAAAAACAATTCAGGATATAAATGAAAAACTTACTAAAGAGATAGGTATTTTATAAAACCAGAATTTCTGGAAATACAAAAATGTTTTGAAAGGGTTAAAAACACAATTAAAAGCCTTAAGAATAAGCTAGGCCAAGCAGAAGAAACAATTTTAGAAGTAGAAGGCAGATCTTTTGAACTAGCCATATCAAACAAAAATAAAGAAAAAATAATGATGAATGATGGGTATGATGACTCGTGCCTTTAATCTTTGCAATTTGGGAGGTTGAGGCTGGTGGATCCCTTGAGCCCAAGAGTTTGAGACTGACTTGGGAAACATAATGAAATCCCTTCTTTACAAAAAATACAAAAAATATTGGCCAGGCATGTTGGCATGCACCTGTAGTACCAGCTACCCAGGAGACTGAGGTGGGAGGATCACTTGTGCCTGGAGAGGATGAGGCTGCAGTGAGCTATGATCATGCCACTGCACTCCAGCCTGGGCAACAGAGTGAGACCACCATCTCAAAAAAATTGTTATTAATATTAAAAAATAAAATCTTTATAAAATAGGGGATTATGTAAAGTGTCCAAACTTAACAAGTTATATGTATTTCAGAGGGAGAATAAGAAAAAGTAAAAAAGTATGGGAAACCTATTTGAGGAAATCATTCAGGAAAATATCCCTGCTCTTGCTAGAGGTTTAGAAATCCATATATAAGAAGCTCAGAAAACTTCTGGAACATATATTGCAAAATGAATGTCACCATGGCATATAGTCATCAGACTATCTAAAGTCAACATGAAGGAAAAAGTACTAAAAGCAGCCAAAGAGAAGCATCCATTTATAAAGGAAATCCCATCAGACAAAACATGAACTTTTCAAAAGAAATCTTACAAGCAAGAGAGATTGGGGTCCTATTTTCAGTCTTCTTAAAAACACATTTCAGCCAAGAATTTTAAATCCTGCTAAACTAAATTTCATAAATGAAGTAGAACCAAAATTTTTTCCAGACAAACACTAAGGGAATTCATCATCACTAGACAAAACTTACAAGAAATGTTCAAAAATTTCCTAACATAGAAAAGATTGATGCTATCATAAAAAAACATGAAAGTATAAAACTCTCATGACTTTCAATACATTTATAAAATTGAGCCTGCAAATCAGCTATGTAACAATTAACATTATGACAGGAACAAAATTTCGCATATAAATATTAACCTTTAATGTAAATGTATGAAAGGTTCCACTTAAAAGATATAGACTGGCAAATTAAGTTAAAATAGCAAGACACAGACATATACTGCATAAAAGAAACTTATCTAACTGGTAAAGGCATTTACGGCCTCAAAATAACGGGATGGGAAAATATACTCCATGCAAACGGGAACCAAAAGTGAGCAGGAGTACCTATACTTACATCTCATAAAATGAACATTAAATCAAAAACAGTAAAAAAAATCTTGCAAAGACTGTAATTATTTAATGATAAAGTGATTATTTCAACAAGAATATGTAACAATTCTAAAAATATATTCATCCTATACCAGAGCACCAAAATTCATAAAACAAATACTACTAGATTTAAGAAAAAAGGCAGACAGCTATACCATAGTGTAGGATTTTAATATCCCACTGACAGCACAAGACATATTGTGAGGCAGAAAATCAACAGACTCTGGACATAAATTGAGCTCTAGATTAAGGGGGCCTAATAGACATTTAAAGAACATTCTACCCAACCACCACAGAATATACATTCTTTGCTTCTGCACATGAAACATTCTCTAAAAGAGACCACATGACAAGCCACAAAGCAAGTCTTAATACATTTTAAGAAACTCAAAATCATATCAAATATCTTCTTTGACCACAGTGGACTAAAACTAAAAAACAATACCAAGAAGAACTCTCAACTTATACAAATACATGGAATTTAAACAACTTGCTCCTGAATAATTATAGGGTCAACAATGATATTAAAATGGAAACTTAAAAATTATTTTAAAAAATGAAAATAGAGAAACAGCATATTAAAAGCTTAGGATATAGTAAAAATACTCTTAAAAGAGAAGTTAATAGTGTTAAATGCTAGTGTTAAATTCTATCAAATGGATAGAAAGATCTTAAATTAACAAGCTCATATTGCACCTGAAGGAAATAGAAAAACAAGAACAAACCAAATCCAATCTTATCAGGTAAAAAGAAATGACATGGATCAGAGCTGAACTAAATGAAATTCAGATTTAAAAAATATACAAAGAATCAATGATTCAAAAAGTTAGTTCTTTGAAAAAATTAAGAAAATTGACAGACCATTAGCTAGGTTAACAAAAAAAAGAGAGAAGATTCAAATAAGCATAATCAGAAGTGATAAAGATTACATTATAACTGAAGCCATAGAAATACTAAAAATCATCAGAAACCACTATGAGCATTTCTACACACACAAACTAGAAACCCTAGAGGATATAAATTAGTTGTTGGAAACATACGAACACCCAAGATTGAACCAGGAAAAAAAAATTCGGAACAGACCAGCCATGAGAAGTGAAATAGATTCAGTAATAAAAAAAATTTATCAACAACAACAAAAAAGCCCAGAACCACATTGATTCACAGCTAAATTTTATCGGACAAACAAGGAAGAACTGATACTGAGCCTACTGAAACTGTTCCAAAATATCAAGGAGGAGGGAATCATCCCTAACTCATTCTTTTAAGTCAGTATCACCCTGATACCAATGCCAGGCAAGGATACAACGGCAACAACAACAGCAACAAAAAACTATAAACCAATATCCCTGATGAACATAGATGCAAAAATTCCCAACAAAACACTAGCAAGCCAAATGTAACACCATATGAAAAAATCATACACTGTGATCATGTGGGTTTTATTCCAAGGATTCAAGGATGGCTCAACACGTGCAAATCAATAAATGTGATTCACCACATAAACAAAATTAAAAACTAGAACTATATAATCTCAATAGATGCAGAAAGAGAATTTGATAAAATTCACCATCCCTTCCTGATAAAGACCTTCAACAAACTAGGAATAAAAAGATATTTCTGAAAATAATAAAAACCATATATGATAAACTCACAACCAACATTGTACTGAATGGGAAGAAGTTGAAGGCATGCCATCTTACAACTCGAATAAGACAAGGGTGCCCACTCTCACTACTCCTAGTTAACATAGTACTAGAAGTCCTGACTAGAGCAATCAGGCAAGAAAAAAAAAAAGTCAGCTACACTGAAAAAGAGGAAGGTAAATTATTTCTGTTCACTGATAATATAATGTTATCTCCACGAAACCCTAAAGACTCCTCCAAAAGACTCCTAGACTTAATAAATGACTGCAGTAAAGTTTCAGGATACAAAATCAATGTACAGAAATCAGTAGGATTTCTATACACCAATAACAATCAAACAGAGAATCAAATCAAGAACTCTATCATCTTTACAACAGATTAAAAAATAAGAAAATACCAGGAAATAGTTAGTCAAGGAGGTGAAAGATCGCTACAAGGAGAACTACAAAACATTGATGAAAGAAATCATAGATGACACAAACAACTGGAAAGATATTCCATGCTCATGGATCAGAAGAATCAATATTGTTAAAATGATCATACTGCCCAAGACAATCTATAAATTCAATGCAATTCCCATTAAATTACCAACATAATTTTTCACAGAATTAGAAAAAAATTCTAAAATTTGTATGAAATGAAAAAAAGCCTGAATAGCCAGAACAATCCTAAGCAAAAAAAATAATAAAGCTCAATGAATCACATTACCTGACTTCAAATTACACTACAAGGCTATAGTAAACAAAATAGCAGTTGATGGTAAAAAAATAAATAAATAAATACACACATAGATTCATGGAACAGCATAGACAACCCAGAAATACAGCCACATTCCTACAACCAATTGATCCTTGACAAAGTCAACAAAAAAGTACACCAGGTAAAGAGCTCCCTATTCAATAAATGGTGCTAGGAAAATTAAATAGCCATATCCAGAAGAATAAAACTGGACCCAGATATCTCACCATCTACAAAAATTAGCTCATGATAGATTAAACACTTAAACTATAAAAATCCTAGAAGAAAACCTAGGGAAAATTATTCTGGACATTGGCTTAGGCAAATAATTTATGACTAAGTCCTCAAATGCAAATACAACAAAGGAGACAAAAGGAATTTAATTAAACTGTACAGCAAAAGAAATGAACAATGGAGTACATAGACAACCTCAATAATGGGAGAAAATATTTTCAAATAATGCATCTGACAAAGAAATAGTATCCAGAATTTGCAAGAACCTCAAAACACTCAACAAGAGAAAACAATCCCATCAAAAAGAGGGCAAAGGGCATGAACAGACATTTTTCAAAATTAGTCGTATAAGCAGCCGACAAAAATTTTAAAAAGCCTCAACATCCAGAATCATCAGAAAAATGCGAACTGAAACAAAAAGGAGATAATTTTTTTTTACACCGGTCAGAATAGCTATTACTAAAAAGAAAAAACAACAGATATTGGTAAGGATGCGGAGAAAAGGGAACAGATACATGGTTGATGAGAATGTAAATTGGTACAATGTCCAGGGAAAACTGTGCAGATTTCTCAAATAGCTAAAAATATAACTATCATTCAATCCAGTAATCCCCCTACTAGGTATCCACCTGAAAGAAATCATTATATTAATATTAAAAAGACACCTGAAATTGTATGTTTATCACAGCACTATGCACAACAGTGAAGTCATGGAATTAACCTAAGTGGCCATCAATGGATGACTGGATAAAGAAAATGTGTTTTATATATATACCACAGATACAACTCAGGCATACAAAGAATGAAATATGTCTTTTGCAGCAACATGGATGGAAATGGAGGCAATAAGTGAAAGGAGTCAGAAATAGAAAGTCAAAAATTATATATTCTCACTTATAAGAACAATGGCTAAACATAGAAATACAGAGTGAAATAAAGGCTGTATTAGGCCATTCTCGTATTGCCATAAAGAAATAATTGAGATTGGGTAACTTATAAAGAAAAGAGGTTTCACTGGCTCACAGTTCTGCAGCCCGTACAGGAAGCCTAGTGGTATCTACTTCTGGGGAGGACTCAGGAAGCTTAAAATTACTGCGGAAGTCAAAGGGGGAGAAGGCAGGTCACATGATGAAAGCAGGAATCAGAGAGTAAGCGGGTAGGTGCTACACACTTTTAAACAACCAGATCTCATGAGAACTCACTCACTATTGCAAGGATAGTACCAAGGTGGATGGTGCTAAACTATGCATGAGAAATCCACCCCCATGATCCGATTACCAGCACCAGGCCCGACTTTCAACATTGGAGATTACAATTCAACATGAGATTTGTGTGGGGACACAGATCCAAATCACACCAAAGATATAAAAGAATCTAAGATGTGGGAGGATAGGAGGGAGTGAGAGTTGAAATACTAAAATACTACCTACTGGTTACAATGTTCACTATTCGAGTGATGGGTGCACTAAAAGCACAGACTTCATCACTATGCAGTATATCCATGTAGTGCAACTACACTTGTTCCCCATACATGTATCAAAATAATTTTTTAAAAAGAGACAAAAGGGTTTTCTTCTAGGGTTTTTATGGTTTTAGGCCTTACATTTAAATCTCTAACCCATCTTGGGTTAATTTTCATATAAGGTGTAAGGAAGGGAACCAGTTCCAGTTTCTTGCATCAACACCATTTATTAAATAGGGAATCCTTTCCCTGTTGCTTGTTTTTGTCAGGTTTGTCAAAGATCAGATGGCTGTAGATGTGTGATATTATTTCTGAGGCCTCTGTTCTGTTCCATTGGTTTATATATCTGTTTTGGTACCAGTACCATGCTGTTTTGGTTACTGTAGGCTTGTAGTGTAGTTTGAAGTCAGGTAGCATAATGCCTCCAGCTTTGTTCTTTTTGCTTAGGATTGTCTTGGCTATATGGGCTCTTTTTCGGTTCCATATGAAATTTAAGTTAGTTTTATCTAGTTCTGTGAAGAAGATCAATGATAGCTTGATGGGAATAGGATTGAATCTATAAATTGCAACAAAAGCCAAAATTGACAAATGGGATCTAATTAAACTAAAGAGCTTCTGCACAGCAAAAGAAACTGTTATCAGAGTGCACAGGCAAACTACAGAATCAGAGAAAATTTTTGCAATCTACCCATCTGACAAAGATCTAATATCTAGAATCTACAAGGAACTTAAACAAATTTACAAGAAAATAAAAATCCCATTGAAAAGCGGACAAGATATGAACAGATGCTTCTCAAAATAAGACATTTATGCAGGCAACAAACATATGAAAAAAAGCTCATCATCACTGGTCATTACGGAAATGCAAATCAAAACCACAATGAGATACCATCTCATGCCAGTTATAATGGCGATCATGAAAAAATCAGGAAAAAACAGATGCTGGAAAGGATGTGGAGAAATAGGAACGCTTTTACACTATGGTGGCAGTGTAAATTAGTTCAACCATTGTGGAAGACAGTATGGCGATTCCTCAAGTATCTAGAACTAGAAATATCATTTGACCCAGCAATCCCATTACTGGGTATATACGCAAAGGATTATAAGTCGTTCTACTATAAAAACACATGCACATGTATGTTTATTGCAGCACTATTCACAATAGCAAAGACTTGGAAGCAACTCAAATGCCCATCCATGATAGACTGGATAAAAAAAAATGTGGCACATATACATCATGAAATACTATGCAGCCATAAAAAAGAATGAGTTCTGGTCCTTTGCAGGACATGGATGAAGCTGGAAACCATCATTCTCAGCAAACTAACACAAGAACAGAAAACCAAATACCACATGTTCTCACTCTAAAGTGAGAGTTGAACAATGAGAACATATGGGTACACGGAAGGGAACATCACATACTGGGGCCTGGGGTTGGGGCCAACGGGAGGGACTGCATTAGGAGAAATACCTAATGTAGATGACGGGTTGATGGGTGCAGCAAACCACCTTGGCACATGTATACCTATGTAACAAACCTGCACATTCTGCACATGTATCCCAGTACTTAAAGTATATAAAAAAGAAAAGAAAAAAGAAATAGAAAGAATATTACCTGAGGCTGGGGTGGGGAAAAGGGATGGGGACAGAAGAGATATTGATCAAAGAGCACAAAGTTTCACTTAGACTAGAGGAAAAATTGTTAGTGATCTATTGCACTGCATGGTGACCGCAGTTGATAATAATGTATTGTATATTTATTTATTTTTCTGTTCAACTTTTATTTTAAATTCAGGGGATATACATGCAGATTTGTCATCTAGGTATATTGCGTGATGCTGAGGTTTGGGGTACGAATGATCCTGTCACCCAGCTACTAAGCATTGTACCTAATGTATATTTCAAAATTGCTAAAATAATAGATTTTAACATTCCCACTACAAAAAAAATAAATTTGTAAGGCAATGGATATGTTAATTATCTTGATTGAATATTTCTACAATGTAAACATAGATCAAAACACACACTGTATCTCATAAATGTACAGAATTATTATTTGTCCATTAAAAAATAAATTTTGAAAGGGCTAATAGGCCCTCTCTTTTTCTCTCGGTGAATTACAGATATTGAGGCTTCATCTTCCTCTGTCTGACTCAAGTGCATAAGAGCATTAAATAGAGATGAAGATACATACACACTACACATTTGGATAAATGTGGTTCAAAACAAAGAAAGTAAGAAACAAATAAACACCAAAGGACATACATAAATTCTCAGGCCCGAAGGAACCTTTGTTCAGCTTATTGTTGCTATTTCATAGAGACAAATGGATCCTCTGATGCCACCTCCCCAACATACAAATCAATAAATATAGCCTACATGTGTTCCTAAAATCTGTAAATTGGAGTCATAAATCAAATTAACTTTTTTCCCCAAATGTGGGCAGGGAAAGGAAGAAGGGAAACCCTTCATCTTCTAAATATTACTGTGTACACAGTTCTCATTCTTCACACTTCCACTCTAATCTCACTTTCTCCAGTTAAACAGTTTTGACTATTTTATTTTTTACACTATTTATCAGTTAATTACAAAAGTTTTTGTGCTGCTCTAACTACTTCTTATACAGCACTGGGCCCAATAAAATTAAAATGTATTTGTGTATCTGTCAGGGTAGAGATCACTTAAGTAGAACCAAAATGAAACAAATAAAAATCTAGACTACAAGATGAACTGAGCCAACTGTAGAGACCACTGAGACGATGGCTGCTTTTTTGATACTAGACAGCTACGTATTGCCTAATTCCATTTAATATCAAATCTATGTTGAGAGAACGAATCATTCTCCAAACATTACAAGTTGTTTGATATCAAAGAACAAATATTTTTCTATCATTGTTTCTTTATGCCTGTCCTAAAAAAAAAAAAACACGAATTGAAGCTTATTTGATATTTCTATTATACTTTTGGTGATAGGATAATTCACTGGTGAAAATATTAGAGGAATCAAAATCCCCTATGAGAATGACATCAAGAGACTATGACCGATATTTGGTTAACTGTGTAATGTACAACTGATATACAGAGACTCTGATTTCTGGGGGCGGAGTTTTAAGGCAGAGGTATTGTTTATGTTTTAAAATTCAAACAACGGAGGTTTGCAAATTACACAGATACACACGTCTCCAAAACCAAACTTTAAGTTAACTCTGATATTACGTAGGTTTTATCAATCACTAGATTCTAAAACATGAATAACCATCTAGAGAATATTATATTCATTTTATTTAGAGAACAATAAGGATTGGATGATCAGAGCTAGAGAGAAACCAATATAATTTAAGAAGAAGAAAGCAAGAAAATCACCTATATGTGTACCAGTTGTGAACTGGTTAAGTAGATTTTGATACATTGATGGAATATAGGATGCTGAGTAGACAAAAGCCAAATTTTACATTTAAAATTATTAAATTTAAAAACAACACATCTGTACCTATCTATGTATATATGTATAGAATACATATAAAAATATTTTGTGAAGAAATTTATTATATAACCTCATACATAATATTGTTGTGGATGACAGTCTGATATTTCTTACATACATTTTTGCCTGCTTTGATGTTATTAATGTAATAATATTATGTGCACGTATGAATATTTTAGAAGATAATGGATGACCATGTGTTGTATAAGTAGTTTCTTCTTTTTTTTTTTCTGGACTTATGTTAACTTTAGGTACTTCTCCAAGCCTATTTTATCCAAATATTTGTGGGAAGAAAGAGCTGGAGCTATATAAATTTTGTTACAATGATATATTCCTAATTATTATCTATTATACAGATTATCAGCAACTCTCTTTTTTCTTTAGTTTTAGAATTATTAGAAAATTCAACCTGCTGCCAAATATAAATAGCACATCAGTAACTTGCTGGATGAGATCATTCTTTGCAGAAAGACATGATTTGTTTCTACTACCAACCCAAGGGGCCATCATTAAATAAAACCTTGATTTCAAGTAGGTTCATTGCTCCACCTGTTCACTTGCTTACTGACCACCAAATTTTTTTTCGCGCATCTTTTATTAATTGATGAGGGTCTGAGGTGTACTCAAGATGACTCCAGCAGTTTTGTTATTTTTTACTTTATATTTTTCCTCAACTTATGTTAAAAAGATAGAACAAATATGATGGTTGAGAGTGAATTCTATCAGACTACTGATTGAAAGCATGAGAAAGGCCCTCTGAATTTTTGCTTTAAACATAAAGTCCATTTGCCACATTATCCTAGCAGTGGTCTAACTGCTTGTCTGTTTCTTAAATTAGGCACTTTGTTGTTTTATAAAATAATCTTGCAGAATTTCAATGGGTTTGTCAACTCATCATTTTTGTTCACAGGCTTTGAATGTAAAGGAGCCTGAATATGGACTGGACATATATCATAAACATCTAGACTCTAAGTAAGATAAAAGAAAAGCTGAGTGAGTTGTAAAGTATGTTAACTTCTTAACATTGTATATTTTACCACAACAAATTTATCTTCTTTCACTTTATTCTCACAGAATATAAACGCAATTCAAACATTTCTATTTTACTTCATCATGTATCAGACACAATTACTTGGTTCTAGAAGTATGAAAAAAATAGGTAATTTACTTATAATTTATTTTCTTCCAGATGCTATATGTTTCTTATTTTAACAGTAGTATTATTTATGCAAGAAAACTGAAGTTTAGGTAAATTATGCTTTTCTCAAACACACACAATAAGATGCTGTGAGGAGTAGGAGTAGGATTTAAACCCAAGTAGCTTCTAATCCACTGATGTCACTAAGAAATTGGATGTTATAGATTAAAATAAAACTTATAAAATACAGTCATAAATTTGGTAACTTTCAAAGAATGTTGCTAAATAAGACATAAGATAAGTGCAATTATCTTTCATTTTACCGTGATTTAATAATGAAAGACAGTCTTTTGGTAGTAGGACAGTTGGTATCTTCATTCTGACGTTCTCCAATAGCCAGTGAATAACTTTCATAACAGTGGTGTTACTCCATGTCAATGTAATTTGAGGACTCTTGTGGAAAGACAGAGATATTTTCCTAAAGCGTGTCCAATATAAGGAAAGACAGATGCAAAAGAAGAACAATGCGTTCAACAATACATGTATGCCAGAATACAGATGTAGCTCATAAGAGATTTAATCAACTCCATCAGGATTAGAAAAGAGAGATCATATAAGTAAAATGTTCACCAAAGGAGACATCATCTGAGAATTGAAGGATGATTAAGAGTTGAGAGATTCTAGGCCGGGCGCGGTGGCTCATGCCTGTAATCCCAGCACTTTGGGAGGCCAAGGCAGGCGGATCACAAGGTCAGGAGATCGAGACCATCCTGGCTAACATGGTGAAACTCCGTCTCTACTAAAAATAGAAAAATTAGCCAGGCGTGGTGGCGGGCACCTGTAGTCCCAGCTACTCGGGAGGCTGAGGCAGGAGAATGGCCAGAACCCAGGAGGCGGAGCTTGCAGGGAGCCGAGATCGCGCCACTGCACTCCAGCACGGGCAGCACAGCCAGACTCCGTCTCAAAAAAAAAAAAAAAAAAGTTTAGAGATTCTAATCAGGGGTGAAATACTATTCTCATATTATATCAAAGATATCCAAGGATGTAGTGCTGAAGTCAGGGCTTAAATATGCCAAATCCTGTGTATCGTTTACTCTTTTACTGTGCATACTAGAGAGCCTTCTAGTTCTGTGGAGGGTAGACCTAACAGTGAGAGAACATAGATGTGTATATCACTATATGTTGAAGAATTGGTGAGCCGAAGCACAAATACATCAAATGATTTAAGTACCAGGGAGCCCCTGTATCCATTATATTGAACCTGAGCAGCATTGGCTGCAAGCTGAACAAAGCAGAGGGTCAGAGTTGGGCTTGAATATCACTTCCATCACTTACCACTGTGTTATTTTGAGGGTTTGCTTCTTTGCTTAAATAATTTTTATTAGCTGCGAAACAGATTTAATATTATCATTCAATAGTTAGAAAATAAAATTAAATACTTTAGGTAAAGCATTTGGCTTGTGCAAGGCCCTCCCTATTTTGTGACCCTAGCTTACTTTCTTTAACTCTCTCTCTCATTGTTTTATAACCTTCTTCTAGTCTCAGAAGACCATTACCTCAGGGTTGAAACATAGCTGTCCAAGGACTCGATAAAAAATCCCTGTCGAAGACAGCATCTTCTGGTTGCACCTCTTACCCTAGTTTCTGCTACTCTTCCTATCCCCTCGCCTTTCTTAAAACATAATAACCCTGCCCAGCTCTTCACAATTCCATAAAGCATTTTATACATATTTAATTGTATTATAAAACTTTTTAAATTTAATAGTAAAAGAAAAAAGAAAGAAGGGAAAAAATCATATACTTTAAATGGAAGTTTCTAGAGGCTCATTATATAGTGTTGTGGGAGCACAAGGACCTGGGATTAAGTCATATTCACTGATATATAAACTTTTAATTTTTTTCTGGATGAAGAAGATAAAGAAAGGAGGGTAAAAGTTGGTGATGATGAACGGTATGAGAAATAAAATGTTAACAAAATAACATAAGCTTTGCCATAGACCACAAGATCTTGCCTTGCGTTTACTTGAATTACTAGAGGCAAATTGAGTTTCATTTTTCTCATTGTTGTGTCATTGTTCGCTTATCCTCTCCTGATGAGGTTTTGAGCTCTGTCATATTTGTGCGTCAGTAATGCATACCACACTGCTGCACACAGATGTTTAGAACATCAGTTAAATTCAACTTTCATAAGTGAGTGAATAAATTGCCAGGGTATGAGATTGGTGACAATTTTAAGCATACCATGGTGGCAGAGTTCAGGTATGTGAAATGAACAAGTAAATGGAGAAAACGCCTCCAGGGCATTTCAGAGACCTTTGTGGCAGCCCCTCCCACCGCAGGGCTGGAAGCCTAGGAGGGAAAAAATGGTTTCATGGCCAGCCCGGTGCCCCCCTGCTCTGTGCAGCGTTAGGACATGGTACCCTGCATTGTGGCCGCTGCAGCTCCAGCTGTGGCTAAAAGGGGCCAAGGTACAGCTTGGGCCATTGCTTCAGATGCTGCAATCACCAATCTCACATCTCCTTGTTCATGGTAGAATGTCCCTCCCTGTAACCTGACTTATGTGGTACATGACATCTTCTCACATTGCTGTCTGTATAAAGTTATCTTCATATTTTACCATCTTTCATATTTCAAAAGTTTATACTTCTACCCTACTAATGTCAAAGGCAAACCAGAAATTGAGAGTTAATGCTATAACTCTGGCAATTTGACTATCCTCACTTATTCTCCCTATGTGGAATTTCTAGGTGTCACAACACTCCCTAGTAACATATATCAAGACACCTAGGAACTAATATATGATATAGATTTGGAAAAAACTGCTCTATATGTTTTTTAGGTTGTGTATAAAATTTAAATGTGATTTGTGTGGAGAAAATGTGAGTTATACTGCAAAAGACAGAAAGATCTATTGATATGGTTTGGATATGTGTCCTCTCAAATTCTCATGTAGAAATGTGATGACAGAGTTGGAAGAGGGGCCTGGAGTGAGGTGTTTGGATCATGGTGGGTGTATCCCTGATGAAGAGCTTAGTGCTGTCCCCTTGGTGATGAGTGAGCTTACCTGAGAGAGATCTGGTTGTTTAAAAGAGTATCACACCTCCCTCCTCTCTCTTGCTCCTACTCTTACCATGTGATATGCCTGTTCCCACTTCACCTTCCATCACAGGTACAAGTTTCCTGAGGATCTCACCAGAAACAGATGCCAGCTTCATGCTTCCTGTAAAGTCTGCAGAACCACGAGCCTATGAAACCTCTTTTCTTGTTTTTTTTTTTTCTTTTTTTAAAATTTTACTTTAAGTTCTGGGATACATGTGCAGAACATGCAGGTTTGTTACATAAGTATACGTGTGCCATGGTGGTTTGCTGCACCTGTCAACCCGTCATCTAGGTTTTAAGCCCCGCATGTATTAGGTATTTGTCCTAATGCTCTCCCTCCCCTTGTCCCCCATCCCCTGACAGGCCCCATGTGTGATGTTCTCCTCCCTATGTCCATGGGTTCTCATTGTTCAACTTCCACTTATGAGTGAGAACATGCAGTGTTTGGCTTTCTGTTCCTGTATACATTACCCAGTCTCAGAATTTTCTTTATAGGAATGCCAAGAACAGTGTAATATATCTATTAAGTCATATGAAGTCTTCTTTAATCTTGGGTAGAATTGTCTCTTATATAATACTAATTTCTTTCCAGGGGTATTTTATTTGTATATTTTATAAAATAAGTGACTATCACTTCCATCTTAAAATAGTTTAGATGCTGGAATTGGGGTTACTAAATACTCAAGCTTTTCTCTTTTCCAGTGACCCAGTGAAATAAAAGCTGTAGATTTGATCATGCTTCCTACACACAGTCTAGGCCAGAAGAAATTGAAAGCCTCATTCTAACCCCAGGATATGTGTGTCTGTGTGTGTGTGTGTGTGTGTGTGTGTGTGTGTGTGTGTGCATTCTATAATATACAAATATAGGAATATACATATATTCCTATAAAAAAAGATCTGACATAAATAAAGATCAGAAAATAATACTTGCTAAAATAATCACATCTACAATAGTTTAAGAAATGTTTTTTTCACCCCTAGTCAGTAATCTCACCCTAGCATTGCATAGTTTCCTTTACCTTAAGAGATGAGTCAATACCTCAGTAGGCATAGAAGTGAGTTTTTGTCTTTCTAAAGATCTTATTAATAGCACCCCTTTTCACTCAGAGAATTGCCTCAGTTTTGATGATACGTTTTATGATCACCTATGAAATTCTCATCTCTTGACATGTACTCTTAGATTTTATAGGTTCATCTTCTCAAATGTCTGCTTTCAGGTACAGCATGGCTATCAGAAGGCCATAATCAAATTTTGTTCACTATATTTTATATTTTCTGTACTATTGGTGCAACTAAGGTGTTGCTGCCTACAGTCCCAGAGTTTTTTCTCTGTATTTGTCCATTCTCACACCGCTATAAAGACATACCTGAGATTGGGTAATTTATAAAGAAAAGAGGTTTAATCAGCTCACAGCTCTGCAGGTTGTACAGATTTCTGCTTCTGGGGAGGCATCAGGAAACTTCGTCATGATGGAAGGCAAAAGAAAGCAAGCACACCTTCACATGACTGACAGGAGAGAGAAAGAGTGCAAAGGAGGAAGTGCTACACACTTTGAAATAACCAGATCTCATGAGAAATCTATTAGGAGAACAGAAAGAGGAAAGTCCTGCCCAATGATTCAGTCACCCCACACCAGACCTACAATTACAATTAGACATGAGATTTGGGTGGTGACACAGAGTCAAACATATTATTTTACCCCAGCCCCTCCCAAATCTCATATCCTTCTCACATTTCAAAACACAATCATGCCTTCCCAACAGTCCTCAAAGTATTAATTCATTGCAGCATTAAGTCAAAAGTCAAAGTCCAAGTCTTATCTGAGACAAGGCAAGTCCCTTCCACCTATGAGCCTATAAAATCAGAAGCAAGTTAGTTACTTCTAAGACACAATGGGGGTACAGGCATTGAGTAAATGCTCCCAATTCAAAAAGGAGAAATTGGCCAAAACAAAGGGACTACAGGCCCCATGCAAGTCTGAGACACAGCGA
Source organism: Homo sapiens (assembly GCF_000001405.40). Classification (NCBI taxonomy): domain Eukaryota; kingdom Metazoa; phylum Chordata; class Mammalia; order Primates; family Hominidae; genus Homo; species Homo sapiens. Next base: position 83,618,719 of record NC_000002.12, read on the forward strand.
GACAGTCATCAAATCTTAAAGCTCCAAAATAATCTCCTTGACTTCATGTCTCACATCTCTGCCACACTGATTCAAGGGATGGGCTCCTAAGGCCTTGGGAAGCTCCACCTCATGGTTCTGGGAGGCACAGCCCCCACAGTTGTTTTCACAGGCTGGGGTTTAGTGCCTGTGGTTTTTCCAGGTGCACAATACAAGTTGTCGGTGGCTCTACCATTCTGAGGTCTGTAGGATGGTGACCTTCTTCTCATAGCTCCACTAGGCTGTGCCCCAGTGGAAGACTCTGTTTGGGGGCTCCAACCCATCATTTTCCCTTTGCATTTCCCTAGCAGAAGTTCTCAATTAGGGCTCTCACCCTGCAGCAGACTTTTGCCTGGACGTCCAGGCATTTTCATACATCCTCTGAAATCTAGGAAGAGACTCCCAAGCCTCAACTCTTGCCCTCTGAGAACCCACAGGCATTACAACACATGGAAACTACCAAGGCTTGGGGATTGCACCATCTGATGTGACAGCCTGAGCTGTACCTTGGCCCCTTTTAGCCACAGCTGGAGCTGAAGCCACTGCAGTGCAGGGTGCCATGTACTGAGGCTGCACGGAGCAGTGGGGCCCTGGTCCTGGACCATGAGATGTTTTTCCCTTGTAGGCTTCCAGGCCTGTGATGGGAGGTGCTGCCACAAAGGTCTCTGAAATGCTTTGGCGGCATTTTCCCCATTGTCTTGACTGTTAATATTTGGCTCCTGTTTACTTACAGAAATTTATGCAACTGGCTTGAATTTCTCTTCAGAAAATGAGTTTTTCTTTTCTGCCACATGGTCAGTCTGCAAATTTTTCAAACTTTTATGTTCTGCTTTCCTTTTAAATATAAGTTCCAGTTTCAGACTATCTCTTTGTAAATGAATATGAGCATACACTTTTAGAAGCAGCCAGGCTAAACTTCAAAGACTTTGCTGCTTAGAAATTTCTTCTGCCAGAGATCTTAAATCATCTTTCTCAATTTCAAAGTTCTACAGATCCCTAGACTGGTGACAATGTCACCAGTCTCTTTGCTAAAGTATACCAAGAGCAAACTTTACTTCAGTTTCTAGTAAGTTCCTCATCTCCATCTGAGACCTCATCAGCCTGGTCATCTCTGTCCATATCATTATCAGCATTTTGACCAAAACCATTCAACAGGTCTCTAGGAAGTTCCAAACCTTCCTTTATCTTCCTATCTTCTTCTGAGCCCACCAAACTGTTCCAACATCTGCCCATTACCTAATTCCAAAGCTATTCCTACATTTTCAGGTATCTTTATAGCAATACCTCACTCTCAGTGCAATTTTCTGTATTAGTCTGTTCTCACACTGCTATAAAGACATACCTGAGACTGGGTAATTTATAAAGAAAAGGGGTTTCAGCAGCTCATGGTTCTGCAGGCTGTACAGGTTTCTGCTTGTGGAGAGGCATTGAGAAACTTACAGACATGACAGAAGGCAAAAGGGAAGCAGGCATGTATCACATGGCCAGAAGGAGAGAGATAGAGTAAAGTGGGGAGGGGTGACACACGTTGAAACCACCAGATCTCGTGAGAACTTTGTCAGAATAACAGTGAGGGGGAAGTCCACCTCCATGATTCAATCACCTCCCACCAGGCCCCTCCTAAAACACTGGGAATTACAACTCAATATGAGATTTGCGTGGAGACATAGAGCCAAACCATGTCACTCCCATTTCTGCCAATGCTGCGATCAAGACCTTAGCTAGAAAGAAGTAGAAAACTGGACTTGCCTGATTGGCTCCCAAATGGTCTATCATTGATTCTACCCCTAGTTGTGCTCTGGCTGGCAAACGTTGGATTCCAAAAAGACAATGCAGTAAAATAAATAGAGACAGAGAGTAAGAGAGAGTTAGAAGGCCTGCGTTGTTATCTTCCTATAGTTGATACTCAGGAGATTCATGTTCTACTGTGTCCTTTCATTAATTTTAATAAACTGCCTCTTTATTTTTAAATATAGAGAGACAGTGGTCGAAGTGTGCATGTATGACAGTTAAAAATGTAACTTGGTCTATATGAGATGAATAGGGACCAAATTATGCAGAAACTGTAGTTATGAGAGCAGCATTCTTTGCACTAATTTGAGTCCATAGAATGGATTTTAGAACACGTGTTAAAAATGTAATTCTTATCCCTTCATATATGCAAATTAAAAGTAACTGAAGTAAAATAAAAAAGTGTCACTGAGAAGCAGTCCTCCAGGGTACAGCTTTAGTGAACAATTTATAATTAAATGACACTTGTTTTGCATCTTTCCATATTTTCAGCCAGTTAGTTCCTCTGAAAAAAATAAGCTTTATAAAGTAATTGCCAGACATTCCTATTAAACTTACCTTTAAACTCCAAGCAGGCCTATTCCCAGATATAATATTCTGTGATTTAGTGAATTAGTCAGGTTTTATATTTTGATTCTTTAGAGAGTCTCTCTCCTTGTAGTAACTCAATAACCACTTCATGGAAGTGGAACTCTGCTTGCATTCATAAACACACTGTTACCAGCTGAAGGCGATGATACTGCAGTATTTAAGCCATGCTTATCATACTTGAAGATGAGGAAGGGGCTCAATGTCATGTTCTTGTAACAAAGATTTATTTCACATTTACTATATTCCCAACACAGTGAAAGTTGCAGTTGAAAATGAAAATAGAGAAATATTTCTAAACTCTGACAAATCTTCAAAGAAGGCAGAGCAAGTAAGTGTCAGGTATATCATCTAACAGGTGGAGCTGGAGCAGGTTGATTCTATCTGGGCCAATGGTCTCTTATCGCTCCTCACTTGACTTAGAATTGGTTTTCTTCTCCATTCTGAAAGTTCAGTCTCAGAATAAACTGTCTTCTGTTCATCAAACATCAACCGTGTACCAGAAACGATTGCTTTTCTAAATACTATATATGCATTCTCACAATGTCACTCTGAGGTAATTATTATTATTGGTGAATCAGTCACTGAAATCAAACTGCCTATGCCTCAGTTGTTAATTTACAAGTGTAAATAACAATGATGCCTGCTTGCCTCATACTGTCAATGTGATGATTAGTATAATATACAGGTCAAGTGATTAGATTTATATTGTGTAACTCACTTGATTGCAATATTCACCTTTGCAGAGGTGGTTTAAAACTGAATTCCCAATATCTCCAAGGTATGCCTATATTCTAATTCCTTTGTTGTCATTTCAACACTTTTCACAGCAACTTCAGCAGTAGATTCCATCTCAAGAAACCACTTTCTTTGCTCATCCATAAGAAGCAACATTTCATTTGTTCAAGTTTTAGCATGATATTGTAGCAATTTAGTCACATCTTCAGGCTTCACTTCTAATTCTTCACTTCTCTTTCTATTTCCACCATATCTGCCTTTACTTCATTCAATGAAGTCTTGAACCCCTCTAAATCATCTATGAAAACTGGAATCACCTTCTTCCAAACTTCCATTAATGTTGACATTGTGACCTCCTACCATGAATTATTAATGTTTTTAATGGCATCTGGAATGATGAATGCTTTCCAGAAGGTTTTCAATTTGCTTTGCCCAAAACTATCAGAGGAATTTTTATCTATTCAGTTAAAACCTTATGAAATAGGTTTTTTAAATATTAAGACTTTTCTAAGTCAAAATTAAGCCTTGATTTATGGACTAAACAATGCATGTTGTGTTTGCAGTCTTAAAAACAACAACAATCTTTTTGTACATCTCTGTCAGAACTTTTGGGTAACTAGGTGCATTGTCAACAAGCAGTGATATTTTGAAAGAAATCTTTTTTCTGAGCAGTAGGTCTCAATAGTAGACTTAAAGTATTCCCTAAACCGTGCCATAAACAGATATGCTGTCATCCAGGCTTTGTTATTTCCTATATAAAGAACAGTCAGACTAGATACAACATAATTCTTAAGGGTCCTATGATTTTCAGAATGGTAAATGAGCATTGGCTTCAACTTTAAAGTCATTAGCTGCATTAGCCCCTAACAAGAGAGCCTGTTCTGTGAAGATTTGAAGCCAAGCATTAACCTCTCCTTTCTTGTCCTGAAAATTCTAGATGGCATCTTCTTCCAATGGAAGACTATTTTGTCTACATAGAAAATCTGTTGTTTAATGTAGCCACCTTCATCAATGATCTTAGCTAGATCTGGATAACTTACTACAGTTTCTATATCAGCACTTGCTGCTTCACCTTACATTTTAATGTTATGGAAATGGCTTATTTCCTTAAACTTTGCGAACCAACCTCCGCTAGCTTCAAACTTTTCTTTCTCACATCTATCAGCTTTCTCACATCTATCAACATTTGTGGAATGAAAGAGTGTTAGGACCATACACTAGATTAGGTTTTGGTTTAAGGGAATGTTGGAGCTGTTTGATCATCTATCCAGACCACAAAAACCTTCTCCATATCCTCAATAAGTCTGTTTCCTGTTTTAAAAATCACTCATGTATTCATTGCAGTAGCACCTTTAATTTCCTTTAAGAATGTTTTTGTTTTGTTTTTTTTGTATTAACAACTTGGCTGTTTGGCTGAAGAGGCCTAGCTTTTTGCCTATCTTTCTTTAGGCATGCTCTTGTCACTAAACTTAATCATTTCTAGGTTTTGATTTAAAGTGAAAGATGTGTAACTTTTAGTTTTACTTGAACACTTAGAGGAAACTATAGGGTTATTAATTGGCCTAATTTCAATATTGCTGTTTCTCAGGGAATAGAGAATTCCAAGTAGAGAATTACACAGGGAATGGCTGGTCAGTAGAACAGTCAGAGCAGACACAACATTTATCAATTAAGTTTGTCTTTTTATAGAGCACAGTTTGTTGAGCACCAAGAAAATTACAATATTATCATCAAAGATCACAGATCACCATAAGATATAATAACAATAAAAAAATTTTAAAATCTTAGAAGAATTACCAAAACTGTTACACAGGGATGAGTAGTGTACACATTCTATTCAAAATATGGCACCAACAGGCTTGCTGATGCAAAATTGCCACAAAACTTCAGTTTGTAAAATATGTGCTATCTTGGAAGTGGCATTAAGCAAGGCAAAATTAAATGAAGTACATTTGCACCTAGAAATACAGGAGCATTAATTTTTTTATTTTTAAAATTATATTCACATTGCACAGATAGTTATTATATGTTGGTATTTTTCTTATTTATATATAACAGATTCATTGGATGAAAAGCAAAAATAATCTCTCTACAGTAATATATCAATTCTGCCATGTAAACTCTAAACATCTTTTATAACTGTTTTTCTGAAAGGTGTTATTAGCATCAGAATTATTCAGAAATGTCATATCTATTGGTCTAATAATGTTTGTACTGAAGTGCTGTAAGTTATATTCATAGAGCTCAATGATTCACTTAAATTCTCTATGTAAACGTTGCATGATGTACTTAAAACAGGTAGCAGGCAAAGATGATTGCAGCATTAATTAATTATATGGTGAAATATGCCAGTAGGGAAATTGGCTGTAGGATATGAATCACTTTCCTCACTCTCAGTACAGTCTCAAGTAAGAGGAAAAGGATTAGAAAAAAGCATTCATTAACAAACATTTATTTGAGTATCTCCTATATGCCAATATCTAGATTCCAGAGATATAGCTGTGAAAAAAATATTAAAAATAACTAAAAATCCTGACCTTATAGTCCTTACATTCTACATTAGTTACAGGTTAAAATATTTACAAATATTGTATGTGGGCTGGTGAATGCTATAGATATAAAGAAAGAAAATAGGGAAGTCCAGTGGAGAGGGAAAGGATTACAACTGAAACAAAATGGGCAGGGAAAGTTTTGCTTAAAGAAAGAACTAAAAAACAATTACCAGAAGAAGGTGACAGAATGACTCTCCACGGTGTCTACAGAAACAGTATTTCATGTAGAACAATCACAAGTACAAATGTTTTTAATCATGAGAAAGCACAGCATGAACAAAGAGACAGATTGATGGAAACAGTGATCCCTGACCAGAACCATCCACTGTCATCACCCAGGAGCTTGTTAAAAATGCAGAAACCAAGGACCTATCCATATGTACTGAATCAATTCTGCATTTTGACAAAATTCCTAGGTGATTCTTATGCCTCCTCCCTCCTCTAACCCCCAGAAATTTTTTACTTTTGCCACATATGTGTATTATGTAGACAGTTCACAGATATATGGCTTATTTAGGCCCATGGATCAGAAGCTGTTTGAGTACAGAATTTGTTTTGAGAAATAGACAGATGATAGATAGATAGATAGATAGATAGATAGATAGATAGATAGATAGATGATAGATAGATAGATAGATAGATAGATAGATAGATAGATAGATAATAGATAGATAGAGTTTTTTTTTTACCCCACTCCCCAGCTCTTGCAAAGAAGCATTAGAAATGCATCATAGATTTCTGCACCTTGCATGCAAGGTACATTTTATACTTCAAAATTTTCAGAAGCATTGAACTAAATGAAAAGTAATAGGAGATGCATGAAAAGATGTAGCCAGGGACTAGGTTACATAAAACTTTTTTGGACTCAAAATGTACTTTGACTTTCATTCTGGGTGATTGATATCCATTGTGTGACAGTTAGCTGAACGGTAAATAATCTCAGGTCACCGCCGGCTCCTATGGTGCCTTTGTGTCAATCCTTAAAAAGACACTACTTTCTCAACACTCTATACTAACCATATGCCATAGCATTGTCGTAATTCCACAATGAGTGATATGTGAATGGTGTTCTCCACAATTCCACACTGCACAGTCTGCACAGTCGGATAATATTTGGGAGATAAGATAAAAAACAAAGATATAAAGGATGACACTAAAATTTCTGTACTGAGGTTATGGAAAGTAGAGTTACAATTACTGGGTTGAGGAAGGTTATGGGTAAAGTTGATCTGATGTGAAAAGAGATAGCTGGAGTCTGGTTTTACATAAATTAAATTCGAGATGCCAATTAGACATCCAAGTGGATATAATGAGTCATCAACCACATATATAAAGCCAAAATTTAGGAAAAATCATTTGCTTGGAGATATAAGTTTGAAAAATTTTATCATAAAGATAATGTTTAGAGGCATGAGAATGGATAAACTCAGCAAATGACTGAGAATAGACAGAAAAAAAAAGAATCCATGGGACACTGTACCTGAACTTTGTAGCACACCTATATTTAGAGAAGATCAGAAGCAACCAGAAAGAAGGCTGAAAAGAAACAACCAATTAAGTAGGAGGAGAAAAGTCAGGAGCATTTGGAAGCCAAGGGAAAATACCTTTCAAGGAGGACGTAGTAATTAATTGTGTCTAATGCATCAGATAGATGAAGTAAGAGGAAGACTGGATCCTGACCATTAAACAAGGACAGGACATTATTGACTTTGACAAACACCACAACTGCTGTAGGATCCATGAATTATCAATTCTAATAGGCCTGAAGAGCTGTTGAAACAGAGATGGAAGTAGAAATAAGCTTCAAATCTAAAAGATAAATATTATTTTATTTGCATCTTTCTTATAAAATATTAATGCATGTTTTGTGCAAAATATCCCTGAATCCTTAAATTCTTGTGAGGGGGCATTACAGTATCTTCTTTTGATAGAATATGCATCTTTAGATAGTGGAAATTGATAAATTTTTTTTAGAGACGGATTCTCTCTCTGTCGCCCAGGCTGGAGTGCAGTGGTGCCATCTCTGCTCACTGCAAGCTCTGCCTCTCGGGTTCACGCCATTCTCCTGCCTCAACCTCCTGAGTAGCTGGGACTACAGACGCCCGCCACCACGCCCGGCTGAGTTTTTGTATTTTTAGTAGAGATGGGGTTTCACCGTGTTAGGCAGGATGGTCTTGATCTCCTGACCTCGTGATCCACCCCCTCGGCCTCCCAAAGTGCTGGGATTACAGGCGTGAGAACATTGATAATTTTTATAACAGAAATTCAGGGAGTAGAATCTGCTTCTTATAGTCAGTCCAGTTATTTCTCCTCTAAATCTAAGGAATCCAGGAACTTTGCCTCCTCCCTCCTCTAACCCCCAGAAATGTTTTACTTGTGCTACAGATGTGTATTATGTAGACAGTTCACAGATATATGGCTTATTTATGTCCATGGATCAGAAGCTGTTTGAGGACAGAATTTGTTTAGGGAAATAGATGATAGATAGGTAGATAGATAGATAGATAGATAGATAGATAGATAGATAGATAGATAGATGATAGATAGATAGATAGATAGATAGATGATAGATAGAGATTTTTTTTTTTACCCCACTCCCCAGCTCTTGCAAAGAAGCATTAGAAATGCATCATAGATTTCTGCACCTTGCATGCAAGGTACATTTTATACTTCAATGAGTCATTTTTAACTTTTAAAGCTGATTACTTTTTGTTTTACTTTATTTTATTTTATTTTTGAGACAGTGTTTCATTCTGTCATATAGGCAGAGGCACAGTCTGCAGTGGCACAATCATGGCCCACTTCAGCCTCCACAGACCAGAGGCAAGAAATCCTCCCAGCTCACCACCATAAGTAGTTGGGACTACAGGTATGGGCCACCATGCCTGGCTAATTTTTGTGTTTTTTGTAGAGACAGGGTTTCGCCATGTTTCCCAGGTTGGTCTTGAACTTCTGAGCTCAAGAGATCCACCTGTCTCGGCCTCTTGAAGTGCTGGGATTAGAGGCGTGAGCCACCATACCAGGCCAGTTTTTTTTCTCTGTAGAATTGACTTTCATTTTCCTTGCAAGTTTTTTTCTTGCCAATGGGCAAGGCTCTAGTGATTATAGCATGGGTTTTATAATTATTTATAGCAGTATATTGCATTATATATATAGCATTAATGCATTTATAGCATTATATTGAATTCTAAAATAAATACCTAAGTTAATTTCTTTTGACAAAGAATGTGAGCAAGTATTTATTTAATTAATATATGGCATACAAATGGTAGGCTTAGGAAAGATGCTAGAATAATTTTAAAATATATATATTATATATATAAAATATATATAATATATACTATATATACTATATATAGTATATATAATATATAAAATATATATAATATATCAAATATATATATAATATATATATAATGTATATAATATATAACATATATAATACATATAAAATATATATATATAACAACATTGCAGATTCAAGCCATGCCAGCTTTGCTACAGTTAGACAAGCCTATCCAGATATATATGTATGTCTGTTTATGCTGCTTCTGTTTTTTATGATTTAGATCTTTTGATATGTTAACTCACAATTCCAAATTCTGATCTATTCAAAATATTTCACTTAATGAAGACAAGAAAAAAAAATTACACTAAGTTTTTAAAAAAGTTTTATTTTTTTATTAGAAAAGTAATCTAATGAATAATTAACATGGGATAGCAAATAGATGATAATTATTTGAAATTACTTATGTTTACGATGATGAGAGGGTTGGTTATGAAGTTTTCCAGCCATTCTTACCAACATAGAGTCATTACTGTGTTTACAATCATTCTACATTTACTTATTCTAAGACTGACTCAAATAAAATCACAGGTTTCTATTTTTTAAAAAAGGTAAATTGGTAAACAGTAATAATTTACACTCAATTCTTTTAAAAGGTAAATTGGTATACAGTGATAATTTACCATCGTGACAGGGAATATAGGAGACAATGGAAAAGTCTCATCATAAAGTTTTCTAGTTGAATATATTTATTTTAAATATTTGAAATTAAATTTTATAGAGACAGATGACTTTGCTAATTGCTATAAAGTCTGAAATTGAAACACTGATATTGTGATTCCATGTCAAATATTCTCATCATTGTGTTAAATGACTTCTACAGTGTCACTCAAAAGCATGCATATAAAGCAATGAGTTATGCATGTAATTATGCATGCAATTGTTAGGCATTTGTCTTTCTATAACAATTGAGTTTTTTTTGTTTTTTGTTTTTTGGTTTTTTTTTTAGACAGAGTCTCACTCTCTTGCCCAGGCTGGAGTGCAGTGGCACGATCCCAGCTCACTACAACCTCCAGCTCCTGAGTTCAAGTGATTCTTTTGCCTCAGCCTCCCGAATAGCTGGGATTACAGGCGCCCACCACAACACCTGGCTCATTTTTATATTTTTAGTAGAGACAGGGTTTCACCATTTTGGCCAGGCTGTTCTAGAACTCCTGGCCTTAGGTAATCTGCCGGCCTCAGCCTTCCAAAGTGCTGGGATTACAGATGAGAGCCACCGCGCCCAGCCAGAGCATAAAATTTTTTGAAATAAATACTATGTCCTGTGCACTTTCAAAAATAATTTCAATTTGATAATTATAAATTGACAAATTATCATTGTATATATTTATGGGGTTCAAAATAATGTTATAATCTGTGAATATAATGTGGAGTAATGAAACCAAGTTAATTAGCAAACCCATTACCTCAAATACTTATTTTCTGTCATGAGAAATTTCAAACTGTACACTCAGTGATTTTGAAATGTGCAATACATTATTATTTACTGTATTCACCACACTGAAATATATATCAAAGTAAACAATAACAAAAACCTTATTTCTGTCTAATTAAGGCTTTGATCCCTTTGTCCCTTATCTTCCCATTCCCCCCAACCCCCTAGCCTCTGGCAACTACCTCTCTAATCTCTGTTTCTTTGAGTTTGGCTGTTTAGATTCTTCACAGACATGAGAACATGAGATATTTGTCTTCCTGTATCTGGCTTATTTCACTTAGCATAATGTTCTCCAATTCTATCCATGTTGCTTCCAGTGGAAAGAGTTTCTTTTATTTTTAAGGCTGAATAATATTCCATTGTGTATATATACCACATTTTCTTTATCTATTCGTCTGATGATGGATATATAGGTAAATTACATAACTTGACTATTGTGAATAATGCTGCAATGAACATGGGAGTGTAGACCTCTCTTGGCCAAGTTAATTTTAAATATTTTGGATAAATACCCAGAAGTGGAATTTCTAGATAATATGGTAATTCTATTCTTAGTTTCTTGAGGGACCTCTATAAAGTTTTCCAGTATGGTTGTACTAATGTACATTCCCATAAACATTGTACAATTGTTTCCTTTTCTCCACAGTCTTGCCAGCACTTACCTTTTGACTTTTTAAAAATAGCCATTCTGACAGATGTGAGATGAAATCTCATTTGGCTGTGAGATTTTACTTCTGTGGTTTTGCTTTTCATTTCCCTAATGATTAGTGATGTTGAACATTTTTTCATATATCTGTTGTCCATTTCTATATCTACATTTGAGGAATGTCTCCTCAAGTCCTTTACTTACTTTTTTAAGTTGGATTATTTATTTTCTTTCTATAGAGTTGAGTTCTTTATATATTTTGGATGTTAACCCATTATCAGATGTAAGGCTTGCAAATATTTTCTCCCAATTCATAGGTTATCTTTCACTCTGTTATTATTTTCTTTTGTTGTGCAGAATCTTTTTATTTCAATGTAATCCCATTTGTCTATTTTTTTAATTGCCTGCACTTGTGGGGTCAAATTTTAAAAATTATTGCTCAAACCAATGTTGTGTAGTTTTTCCCTATGTTTGCTCCTTATAGTTTTACAGTTTCAGGTCTTATGTTTAAGTCCTGAATCCATTTTTAGTTGATTTTTGTATTGGGTGTAAAAGAACGGTCAACTTTCATTGTTTTGCCTAGAAATATTCAATGTTCCTAACACTATTTATTGAAGAAACTCTCCTTTTCTTAGCGTGCATGTTTGACACCTTTGTTGAAAATCATTTGACTGTACACATGCATGAATTCATGACTGGGCTCTCTATTCTGTTTCATTGGTCAATGAGTCATTTTTTTTTTTTTGCCAGTACCATGCTGTTTTAATTACTACTGATTTGTAGCAGTATTTGAAATCAGTTAGTGTGATTTTGTTTTGTTTCAACCCTATAGGAAGAAAATAAATAATCCTTAAGTTTTGTTCTTTTTGCTCATAATTGCCTTGGTTGTTATTTTTTTGTGCTTCCATGTGAGTTTTAGGCTTATTTTTTCTATTTATATGACAGGACATTGGAATTTTCATAGGCATTGTTTTGAATCTGCTTTGTTTTAGATAGTATGGGAATTGTACCAATATTAATTCATACTCATGGGATAACTTTCCATTTATTTGTGTCTTCTTCAATTTATTTCACTGTTTTAGTTTTCATTGTACATGTATTTCACCTCCTTGCTTAAATTTATTCCCAAATATTTTAATATTTTATAGCTATTGTAAATGGGGTTGTTTTCTTATTTCTTTTTTTGAATAGTTTGTTGTTGATATGTGGACATGCTACTAATTTTTGTGTTGATTTCTTATTCTGCAACTTTTTGTATACATTTATTCGTTCTAACAGTCTTTTGATGAAATCTTTAGAGCTTTCTATATTCAAGATCATGTCATCAACAAACAGAAACACATTTACTTCTTTCTTTCCTATTTGGATGCTTCATTTTTTTCCATGCCTAATTGGTCTGAATAGGACTTCTAATGCCATGTCCAATAGAAGTGGTGACAGTGAGCATCCTTGTCTTGTTCTGGACCTTAAATGAAAAGGTTTCAGTGTTTCATCATTGAGTATTATGGTAGCTGTGGTTTTATCATATATGGCCTTTATTGTATTGAGGTAAATTCCTTCTGTACCTAATTTATTCAGTATTTTTTATCATAAAAATATTTAATTTTATAAAATTCTTGTTTTAATCTAACAAGATGATCATATTATTGTCTTATTCACTTAATGTGATGTATCACAATGATTAATTTCATATTTTGAACCATCCTTGTACCCAGAGAATAATATCACTTGATCATGGTGAATGATAGTTTGAATGTTTTGTTAAATTTGGTTTACTAGTATGTTGTTGAATGCTTTTGCATCCATGTACATCAAGGATATTGGCTTGTACTTTTCTTTTGAAGTCCTTGTCTTGCTTTGTGTATTAATCCATTTTCATACTTCTATGAAGAATCACCTGAGACTGGGTAATTTATAAAGAAAAAGAGGCTAATGGACTCATAGTTGCACATAGCTGGAGAGGCCTCACAATCATGGCAGAAGGTGAAGGAGAAGCAAAGGCATGTCTTACATGGTGGTAGAAAAAACAGCATGGCCAAGTGAACTGCTCTTTATAAAACCATCAGATCTCATGAGACTTATTCACTATCACAAGAACAGCATGGAGTAAAGCCCACCCCCATGATTCAATTACATTCCACTGGGTCCCTCCCATGATATGTGGGGTATACGGGAGCTACAATTCAAGACAAGATTTAGTTGGGGACACAACCAAACTATATCACTTTGGCATAAGGGCAATGTTGGCCTCATAAAATGAGTTTGGAAGTAGTCCTTTCTCTTCCGTTTTTTTGAAAGAGTTTGTGAAAGATTTGTATTAGTTCTTTAAGTATTTTGTAGAATTCAGCACTGAGGGACCAGGTCATGGGCTTTTCCTTGACAGGGGACTTTTTATTACTGGTTCAGTTACATTAGTCATTACTGTTATCTTCAGCTCTTCTATTTCTTCTTGATTAAGTCTTTATAGATGAATTGTGTTTAAAAATTTATCCATTTTATCTAGGTTATACTTTTTTTGGTATATAATTTTCATCAAAATCTCTTAAGGTCCTTGGTATTTTTGTGGTGTCAGTTGTCTCCTTATTCATTTTTGATTTTATCTGAGTTTTCTTTATTTTTTCTTAGTGTAACTAAAGGTTTTTCTGTTTTTTAAATCTACTCTTAGTTTTGTTGCTCTTTTGTATTTTTTTCTCTATGTCATTTATTTCTGCCTTGATCCTTATTATGTTTTTAGTGCATGCTGATATTGGGCTTAGTTTGTTCTTTTTCTATCTCCTTGGGATGTAAATTTAAGTTGCTTATTTGAGATCTTTCTTCTTTTTTGATGTAGGGCTATGTTGCTGTAAAATTTCCTCTTACAATTGCTTTTGTTACATCTCGTAAATTTTGTAAGCTGTGCTGCCATTTTTGCTTGCCATTTTTGGTAGTTTGATATATATATCAACTACCAAGGTCATTTTTCACAGAACTAGAAAGAAAATATTCTTAAATTTATATGAAACAAAAAGAAGTCAGAATAATCAAAGCAATCCTAAGCAAAAAGGACAAAGCCAGAGGCATCATATTATCTGACTTCAAAAAATACTACAAGACCACAGTAGCCAAAACAGTATGATGCTGGTACAGAAGCAGACACAGAGACCAATGGAATAGAATAGAGAACCAACAAATAAAGCCCCACATTGACAGCCATCTGATCTTCAATAAAATCAGTGGAAATAAGCAAGAGTTAAAGGATCCCTTACGCAATAAATGATGCTGGGATGACTGGCTTTTCATTGGTAGAAGAATGAAATCAACTCAAGATTAATTAAGGACTTAAGTGTAAGACCTCAAACTATAAAAATCCTCGCAGAAAACTTAGAAAATAATTTTCTTAACATCAGCCTTGGCAAATAATTTATGGCTAAGTTCTAAAAAGCAACTGAAAAAAAAAAGAAATAATCAAGAGAGTAAACAGCCAGTCTACAGAATGAGTGAAAGTATTTGCAAAGTGTGCATCTTACAAAGGTCTTATATCTCTCATCTACAAGAAGCTTAAACAAGTCAACAAGCAAAAAAAAACAAAAACAAAAAACAAATAACCATATTAAAACGTGAGCAAAGCATACAAACAGACACTTCTCCAAGAAGACATACAAGTGGCCAACAAATACATGAAAAAATATTCAACATCACAAGTCATTAGAGAAATGCAAATCAAAACCACAATGAGATACCATCTCACACCAGTCAGAATGGCTATTACTAAAAAGTCAGAAAATATCAGATGTTGTCGAGGCTGTGGAGAAAATGGAATGCTTACATAATGTTGGTAGGAATGTAAATTAGCTCAGCCACTGTGGAAAGCCATTTGAAGATTCATCAAAGAACTAAAAAGAGAAATACCATTTGACTCAATAATCTCATTACTAGTTATACACCCAAAAGGAAATACATTGTTCTACCATAAAAACATATTCACCTGAATGCTCATCACAGCACTATTCATGATAGCAAAGAAATAGAATCAGCCTAGGTGCCCATCAAGAGCAGATTGGATATAAAACTGTGGTACATATACACCATAGAATACTACGCAGGCATAGAAAACAACAAAACCATATCCTTTGGAACAATATGGGTGCAGCTGGAGGCTATTATTCTAAGCAAATCAGTGCAGAAACAACAAACCAAATACCATATATTCTCACTTATAACTGGGAGCTAAACATTGGGTACACATGGAGATAAAGATGGGAACAATAGACACAGGGAACTACAAGAGGAGGGAGGGTGGGAGAAGGGCAGGAGTTGAAAATTACCTTTTGGGTACTATGCTCACTACCTGGGTGATAGATTCAATTATATGCAAAACATAAGCATCATGAAATATACCCTTGTAACAAACCTGCACATTGTACTCCTTGAATCTAAAAAGTTGAACAAACGTTTGCATGATTTTAGTGTTCAAATCTATGTCTTTGAAAAAATAGCTTCTAAGTTATTTGTGATGCTTAGAAATGCTTTTCCTACTCCCAGATTAGTAAAATATATTGTATATATAATTTTTCTTTTAAAAATATTTTTAATATTTGTGGGTACTATTGGGTGTATATATTTATGGGGTACATGAGATGTTTTGATACAGGCATCCAATGCATAATTTTTAAAAAAGAAATTTCTCCTCAGACCTTTAGTAATTCTTATCTTTGATTTTCATCCTTCTTCTCTCCCTCCTTCCTTCCACTCCTTTGTTTTTTTTAGATTGCCTTTTCACTTTTTTTGAGTCTTCCACTTAGGGGTCTCACCCTACCAAGCCCCTCTTAGCTACATTTACTAGTTGTACCATGTCTGTGCTTTTTGGTTAAACTATTTTTAAAGCATATTATCACTTGTCTTCTCAATTCTATAATAAGTTTTTTCCTTCTGAGCTACCAACACTCATGAAGTCTTATCCTGGATAAAATCAGTATCTGTCCTTTTGTCTCCAATTTTAAACTGTTTTGCATTTTGAATATGGTGACCTGAATGTCATAAAGGACACACTACAAAAACACACATATCAAATAGTTCTCAATGTTGTCAGACATTCCCCAGGATGGCTAGTACAAATTTAATTTTTTTTTAATTTCAAGATCTGAGAGGCAGCCAAGAGGAGCCTAAAGAGACATGACAATTACATTTAATGTGGTATCCTGGACAGGATACTGGAACAGTAAAAGGACATTAGATTAAAAACTAAGAAAATATGAACTTCTATTTAAGTATAAATAGTAAGTTGTAGACTGTAGTTACTAATAATATATAAATATTGCTTTATTAATTGTGACAAATGTACCATTTGTTTAGTCTGTTCTCATGCTGCTAATAAACACATAACCAAGACTGGTTAATTTATAAAGGAAAAAGGTTTAATTGACTCACAGTTACATGTGGCTAGGGAGGTCTCACATCATGGCAGAAGGTGAAAGAGGAACAAAGTCACGTCTCATATGGCAGCAAGCAAGAGAGTTTTTATAGAGGAACTTCCCTTTATAAAACCACCAGATCTCATGAGATTTATTCACTATCATGAGAACAGCATGGGAAAACCCACCTGCATGATTTAATTACCTCCCATCTGGACCCTCCCATGACACATGAAAATTATGAGAGCTACAATTCAAGATGAGATTTGGGTGGAGACACAGCCAAACCATATCACCATTCTAATGTAAAACGCTATTAGGAGGGGATGCCGCGTGTTGGAATATGAGAACTCTCAGTACCATCATTTTAACTTTTTTATAAATCTAAAAGTATTCTAATATTTAAAGGTATATTCTTAAAATGTGTAAAATATGTCAGTAGGCATTTCACAGCACGTGATATCCATATTGTCAATGAACATATGATATAAATAAAGAAATTAAAGTTAAAACCACAGTGACATCTCACCAGGCATCTTTCTGAATGGTTAAAATTACAAAGGCTGACAATACTAAGGTTTGATAAGGACATGCAGCAAGAGCAACTTTCATACCCTACTGGTAGGCATGTAAATTGGTTTGACCAATTTGGTAATTTTTTTTTTTTTTGCAGTGTGTACCAAAGTACAACATATGCATTCCTTTTGTCCAATCAGTTCCACTCCTACTCAGATACCAACCCATACTGCATGCATGTGTGCACCAAAATAACTTTTACAAAAATACTCATTGCAGAATTATACATAATAACCTAAAGAGAAAACAGTGCAAAAACCATAAATAGAGAATGCATGAATAATCTGTAGTATATTTGTATATTAAGCAGTAAAAGTTAATAAACTACATAATCAATAAAAACATGAAACAGGAATCAATGAAGATAGTATGTTGATTACAAAATGATTAAAAAATATCAATTAAAAGAAGACACACACAAGGATGAATATCATATGATTTTTTCATATAAAGTTTGAAGATAATGTCATGCATTAGACATCTCATTGTACTTACCTTTCGAAAGGAGGGTAGGATGCTGACTGGGAAGAAACTTGAGGGGGACACTGTGAATGCTGGTGACTCTATTGATTCAAGTAGTGGTTTCATAGCTGTTTTCATGGTGTAAAAATCTAAGGAGCTACCCATTTATATTGTACTTCATACATTTGTTTGAAACATTTTTTTAATTACATCTAGATTCTCCACCTTCTGATTATCTTTACATGCTTTTTACCATAGTCACTAGCAATTCCTGTTTGCCTAAACTAGTGATGTTTTTATTTCCTTTCCTATTCCTGAACTCTGTCACACTGTTTATTTCTTGAAGTATTTTATTTGCCATTTCATTCTATTCCCCTTTTGTATCTCTTTCTTCTTCATCTTCTCATCAAATGTTTCTTCTGATAATTCTTAGGTTGTTGTCTCATTCAGTATATAGACCAAAATGTATCCAATACAATATATTCAATGAAAATTAGCCATAGGATGATAAAACTCATTTTGAAGGTCCAAACTGATATATTTAACTAATTATTGAACATCTTCATTTGGTTTCCTTAAGACACTTTAGATTTAATTTACTGGTCTTCTCTTCATTTACTGGTATGCCTTTTACTGTTGTAGACTTAAAGAATCATGAAAAATTTTCAGCTCAAAATCATTCAGGAACACCTAATTCTTAATCTCATAGGCGACTGCAATAACTCCTTAGCTGAGTTTACTTACTCCAAGCCTTGCCCCATTAATACTGCTGCTAATTATTTTCCCTAAATCAAATGTGTTAACTCAACTAAGTTTTGTATAAACTATTTCCTGTCCTCTACATACCTATATGCTAGAGTCAGTTTCTTAAAACAGCATATAGTACATTTCAGTCTCAGTCCTACTTCTATCTCCACTTTACTTTATCGAACCCATTCCCTAACTATGTTAAACCAACATATTCCTCTTCTGTTAATACTCCATCTCCTCACCATCTGTTATGGCTCTGTGCCTATGAACAGACTGTCTTAAAGAAGATTGTCTAACATCCTGCTGTCCATCTCTGCTTGGAAAATTATATTTCTCTGTCAGAGTCAAAACAAATATTATTTACATCGTTCCATATCTAGAGATCTTTGTGTCCTTTTCTATGTTCCCAAGTGTTCCAATTTCAAAAGTATGATTCTAATATTGAAATTAAAAATCAATAATATAATATTAAATTATACTTAATACATTTATTTATGAAAGGTTTTTTAAGTTGATTATAATTATGTACATTGAAAATTAAATCTTCAAAGGCTAGTTAATAAACATCATTCACAACATATTTTGACTGAAAGGACATATATATCCAGCCATCCAACCATATGCTGCAGAAAGCTCCTCAGCTTTATTTTTCTGTAGGATATCATTTAGAGAATAAAGAATAAAAATTTTGAAATTTTGTTAAATTTGAATTTTACATTTGAAAGGACTGTTAAGATGCAATTGACTTCAGAATATTTTCTCTACATTTCCCTTACATTTTCTCTACCTCTCCATCACAAAATCCTCAAGTTAATCACATCTGCAAAGTCTCATGTGCCAAATAAAGTTTCAGGTATTAGGATGTGAGCATCTTTGAAGAGAGATTAGTCTTCCAGACACATTTGAGGACAACCATTTTTTGCTGAACCTTATTATAGATTCTTCTTATTGGATGGGTAAAATGATAAAGGAATGGTGAAATCCTGAGATTTCCTCTGAGCAGTATATCTCAAAATATGCCCCAGGGTTATTACTAGAATGGTAAATTTCTGGCTTTACATAATTCCTGTAAAGTCAGAATTTTGGGGAATGGAGTTTACATATACTAATTTTGGCAGGAATGCACCTCAGTCAGAATGAAGTTGAGTACCAATGTCTGAGAAGTGAGAGCATATATTCAACAACCAAGTCAAAGCTTTCTCTTTTTTTGGTCATCCAACATATAAAGTGAAAGAATGTAAGATGATTAATAAATTAAGGCTGGAAGATACATTTCCTTATTTTCAATCCTTTACGACAACATTTATCAAATGTTGATGAATATAAATTCATGGTCAAAATTAAGATAATAGAAAAAGCAAATGTTAATTCTTTCAGATCCAAAGAATGCTCATCTATCTAATTACTTTCCAGTTTACATAACCTTTAAGGGACTAGAGTACTGCATTTTAACCAAGACAAAAAACCCCATATATGATTATTCCACATTCAAATACATTTCACAATTGAGGGCAAGGTGGCTACATAATAGCATAAACCTTTATATTTTGATCTGTCTTCAAAACAACAAAATATAAAAACAAAAAATAATAACTAAGAACAGAAAGATGAATGTATTAGTTCATTTTCACACTGCTGTAAAGAACTACCTAAGACTGGGTAATTTGTAAAGAAAAGAGATTTAATTGACTCACAGTTCCACATGGCTGGGGAGCCCTCAGGAGACTTACAATCATGGCAGAAGGGGAAGCAGGCACATCTTACATGGTGGCAGGTGAGAGAGAGAAAATAAGATCAGGGAAAACTGCCTTATAAAAATATCTGATCTCATGAGAATTCTCTCACTATCATGAGAATACCATGTGGGAAACTGCCCCTATGATCCAATCACCCCCCCCACCAGGTTCTTCCTTCAACACATGGGGATTACAATTTGGATTACAATCATTGATGATGTTTGGGTAGGGATACAGCCAAACAATATCAATATATATTGGCTCCACAAAATTAAAATCAGTTTTCAATTAATGCTAATGGGACTAATTTGGGTGGGACATAGCCAAACCATATCAATAAATATTGACCCCACAAAATTAGAATCGGTTTTTGATTAATGCCAATTTTAAGTTGGTGCAAAATTAATGCCAGGGGAATTCAATATTTAAAAAAGCTTATTGAAGATCAACTTGATTTTCTTCCTGTGGCTTCTAAGGACTTGACAGATTCCTTTGCAGTTCCCTAACTTGAACAAGGAAAAGCTAGCCTGACCTGAGAAATAAGTAGCAAGGGAAGGTTGAAGAGACCCTGAGCACAAACAGAACTGGGTTTTGTCCATCTATTCAGAGGGCCTCACAATTTACTCATAGATTTGAAACCAATGGTGACTGGGGCATAATGGGGAAGAAAGAGGCTCCCCTTTGTTTTCCTCAATGGTACCAAAGCTTAGCTCATAGTCATTACAGTGGGCTGCATCTCAGAAGTAATAACCTCCTTCTTTCTTTACTCCTGGAGAAAACCTATCTTAAGTTGTACTTAACTATAAGTAAAGAATGGGGAGCCCAACTTTCCTCTTTCCAATTAGAGTATATGTTTGTATACTCTAGTAATTTTAGAATAATTTTCTAAAAGTTCATTGCTTCTATAAAAGTAGTACAGAAGACAAAAGGGAAATGAACTTACAAAAATAATGAAGGTTAAATGTAAGTGACTGAAAATTTTTAAATATTGGTGGCAGTAAATAGATTAATTTTCACTAGAGATGTAAACTAGAAGATAAAGTTTTTTGTCTCCAAAATATGTGTAAATATATTAGGTAATACAATGAAACAAAATAAGATCATATTAAGAAAGACGTATGTTCTGAAATGAATAATAATTCCTGAATAAGAGTTTAACAGAGAGGGAAGAAGCATATCAACTTTTAAAAATTAAACTGTTTTATGGTAAATGTAGACTCACATGAAATTGTAAGATATAATACAAAGAACTGTTTCCTTATCGTAAGATCTTACAAAAATATAATGCAATATCACAACCAGAAGGTTGATGTTGAGAAAATTCATCCTCCTTCTTTAGCTTTTCATCATTTTACCTGTACGTGTGTGTGTACATATGTATTTAGTTCTATACAATTTTATCATGTGTGTAGGTTCATATATCCATGACCACAGTCAAGATATTTAAAGCAGTTCCATAGCCACAAAGGTTCCTCACATTGTCCTTTATAACCAAACTTACCACTCTTATCTTTCTACCTCCTCCCAAATAACAATAACCACTGTCAATAACTAATCTATTCATGATT
The DNA here is from genome assembly GCF_000001405.40 of Homo sapiens. Classification (NCBI taxonomy): domain Eukaryota; kingdom Metazoa; phylum Chordata; class Mammalia; order Primates; family Hominidae; genus Homo; species Homo sapiens. The sequence goes on from NC_000002.12 coordinate 83,640,315, forward strand.
TCTACAATTTTGTCTTTTAAAGATGTAATATAATGAAAACATATGGTATATAATCTTTTTAAACTGGAGATTTTTACTCAGTATAATTCCCTAGAGAATTATGATTGTTGTGTGAATAAATAGTTCAATCATTTCCATCACTGGGTAGTATTCCATGGCAGGGTTATACCATAATTTGTTTAACCACTCACCTATTAGAAGGCATCTAAGTTGTTTCCAGTTTATACATATAATGAGTAAAGCAGATAAAAACATCATGGATAGTTTCTTGTGAAAACATGTATTTTTATGGAATAAATGTGCAACAGTGCAATTGTTGGATGGTATGGTAATTTATGTTTATTTTTATAAGAAACTGCTAAAATGTTTTTCATGCCAGTGGACATGCCAGTGGACATTCCCAGTCACAATGTATGAGTGATCCAGTTTCCCATATCCTCACCAACATTCTCCCTTGCAATTTTAATCTGCAGTTCCCAGAGACAAATGATGTCAAATATCTTTTCATGTGCTTTTTGCTATTTACACATCCTCTTTGGTGAAATGCTTGATTACTTTCTAATTAAATGGCATTCTTTTTTCCTGTTGTGTTTTGAAAATTCTTTATATTTTCTAGAGACTATTGTAATGTTAATCTTGTGGTTTGTAAACATTTTCTCTGGTCTGTAGTGTTTCCCAGAATGTATTATTGCCATTTTACTTATTTTTCAAATGTCATAACTATTTTGTTTCTTATTTTCTGCCTTCCTTCCTTTGTGTTTAGTTGACTTTTTAGTGACATTTTTTGATTATCTGCTTATTTCTTTTTGTATATATTTCACAAGTGTTTTCTTTGTGGTTATCTTGAACAGTACATGTAACATCCTAATATCCCAGATCTAACAATCTATTTTTAATTAGTGCTAACTTAAATTCAATTGCATACAAAAACTGCAGTCTTTAACAGTTCTGCCCTCCTCTCACTTTTTGTTTCTAATTTAACAAATTGCATCATTATATATTGTGTACTCATTAAAATAGACATACAATTACTTTAAAATGTATCTTTAAAATCTTATAGAAAATAAAAAGTGGAGTTACAAACAAAAATTAAAACAATACTAATTATTTATGACTGTCCTTTTATATACCTTTACTAAAGAACTTTATATTTTTATATGGCTTTGACTTACTGTATAGCATTCTTTCATTTCAACGTGTAGTACTATCGTTAGGCTTTCTTGTACAGCAGGTCTAGGTGGTAATGAATACCCTCAGCTTTTGTTTATTTTTGAAGTATTGTTTTACTAAACATTGAATATCAGGTAACATGTTTCTTTTTTCTTTTAACACTTTAAATATATCATCCCACTTCAAAGGTTTCTTCTGATAAATCCACTTATATTCATATTGAGGCTCACTCACACATGACAAGTTACTTTCCCTTGCTATTTTCAAGATTTTCTCTTTGTCTTTGATTTTTAACAGTTGATTATAATGTGTCTCAGTGTGGGTCTCTTTGAGCATTATCCTACTTGGAGTTCATTGACTTTTTGCATTTGTATATCCATAACTTTTCTCAAATTTGGAAAGTTTTTGTATAGTATTATTATTTCAAAGAAACCCTCTGTCTCATTCTATTTTTCTTTTCCTTCTTGGAAATCCATAATGTGTATATTTGTTCATTAGCTGGTACATCATAAGTTCCTTAGACTCTTTTCACTTTCCTTCCTTCTTTTTGTTGTGTTTGTTCCTCAGACTCAATAATGTCAAATAACTTGTCTTTAAGTTCACTTATTATTTCTTCTGCCTGTTTGAGTCTGCTCTTGAACTCCTTCAATGTGTTTTGCTTCAGTTATTGTATCTTTTAGCTCCAAAATTTCTATTTTGTTCTTGCTTATAACTTTTATTTCTTTATTGATAGTATCCTTTTTTATATATTATTTTATTTATTTCTTTGTTAGTGTTTTCCTATAGTGTTTGAGCACATGTAGGCCCATAGTTTTAAAGTCTTTGTCTCTTAACTCCTGTCTGTATTTTTTCAGGAATGGATTCTGGAGATTTAGTTTGTTCTTTTGAATGAGCCATGATTGTATGTTTCTTTGCATTCCCTCTGATCTTTTGTTTAAAAAAAAATGGGTGTCTGGAAAAAACAGGCTTTTCCCCCAATCTTTGAAGACTGGTGGGACAGACCTTCACTAATTAATAGGGCATGTTCTCAACCTAGGAATAAGCCCAGGATGAAGGCTCACGGTCTCCTCCAGTCTTTTCTAGCGATGCATACTCTCTATGCCTATGCACATTTCTCTGTTTCCCACATACATGTGGATGCTTTTAAATGTCTTCAGATCCAAAAGAGTCTCACTGCAGCTTCTTCTCGGGGTTGTAGATGATCAATTGCATTTCTCTACCAACTCTCTCATTCTTCTGCAGATTCCATGCACTGCCACACCCACCACTGTCTTTCATGGTCTTGCTCGGTCTGAGATCCATGCTATGCCAAGCTACGCTGCCTTTCATCGTGTGAGCCCCAGTTAGGGAAAATAGAAACCAATCCCTCAGGCATCCCACAGACAGGTTAGAACACTGCAGTTAACTTTTGTCCTGCTCTTCTAGACTGAAGGAGAAAAGCATGAGTTGGGCTACATTGTTTTTTGTTTTTGATAATGCCATGTTGCATAGGGGAGAAGGCCTGGCAAGTATGAGTAAAAATGCCATAAAATAGATAAATCGGTGAACATTTTGAATGTGTATGGGGTTTTTTATGGGCATTTGATTGGTTACTATAATTTTTTACTTATTTTGGGGCTCCTATGAAGTTATTTTATTCCAACTCTAGATGTTACATTAACGTTTTTGTGCAAAAATGAGGACTTAGAGTTCCTTGTTCATCTCTTGCTAACATCACCTGCTGGGATAATTATCCAGGAAGCTTTTGAGATTTGTTCTGACCCCAGGAAGTGCTTCCTTATCTATCTCTTTACCTGATTATCTTAGGTAAATGAGGTGACCTATGATTTAGCTTATTGTATTAATGGGGCTAGAGCCTCATAATCATTTTCCACAAAGTATGCATTATTTTAAAATGTATCTTTATGTTGTAAATTTCCCACACTCTGTTTCCTGATGAAGTCAGCCATAGGGGAGAGCATTAGAGCTCTGTTTATGTGAATGTCCTCTCCCTCTGCAAAAAATTCTTTGATTCCCTTTTTCAGAGCTAGATTTATGAGCTCGATTCAGATTCTGCTTTATGAGCTGGATTTTGCCACCTTTCTCATACTTTGGAAACTGTATCATACAAGTGATCAGAGCCTCAATATTCTCAACCTGCTGTACCTAGAGTAGAGCTTTCACCCTAAAATTGAGGCTTGTGGGATGAAGTGGCACCCTGATCTAGGTCACACTTGACAGGAATTTAGCCTCTGATTCTTGGAGCAGGATGAGTTGAGAAACCCTGGTAGCTTGGCCCTCCTGGTGAAATACCATAACTCTTGTCTAGTGACTGCAAAAAGAAGGAGCCCTATCTTTTTGGCAACAACCACCCACAGTGAAGCCTCTCTCAAAAATACGTAGGGAGTGGGGAAGAAGTAGGTCATGGCTCAGGTGCTATAGAATCTCCCCATTATTGCCTAGATTTAGTGAATTTTCTTGAATAAATACCGCTTTACTTTTTTTAATTCCCTTGGGACAATTTCCAGAGATTATGATTTTTTAATAGCTTCCCCACTTGTGGTTGTATATTCGTTTTGAAAAGCTTCCCTAACAAATTACCACAAACTGGGAGGTAAAAAACAAAATAAATATATTCTCTCATAGTTTTGGAGGCTAGAAGTCTGGAATCAAGGTGTTGGAATGGCTGTGCTCCTTCTGAAGTCTTCCCTCCCAGGAGAATCCTTCTTTTCCTCTTCCAGCTTCTGAGGGCTCTTGAAATTCTTTGGCTCATGGCAGCATGGATCCAATCTACACCTCTGTCCTTGCACAGCCATCTTTTCTGTGTTTGTGTGTGTGTCCTTTCCTCTTCTTTGACATCACAGTCATTGGAGTTAGGACTCACCCTAACTGCAATGATCTCATCTTAAATCCTTAACTTGATTATATCTGCAAAGATTCTACTTTGAAGTAAAGTCACATTCTGAGGTTCTGAGTAGATGTGAACTTTGCGAAGCCACTTTTCAATCCTCTCCAGGTTGTTTTACTGGGAAGCAGGTCTGTGGAGCACCTCAGGCTGCCATTCTGGAAGTGAGATTATACTTATTCCAAAAAAGAATATTACTTGGCTGTCTTGTTTCCTAGAAATATTCATACCCTGATCAATCTTCCAATTATATCATAATCATCTAAGATAAAATAGCAAATATTACATGCCAACATATTCTATTTTTATTATTTGAATTTTTTGGAATGACTTTTTTTTTTATTTTAAACTATTTGAAGAAAGTGTTCTTTTAGCTTTTGTACTTTTTCATTTAAAATACATAATCTACATAACAAAGATGTGTACTGCTATAAGGACACTTTTAATTTTTTATTTTTGAGATGGGTTCTTACTCTGTCACCCATGCTGGAGTACAGTAATGCGATCACGGCTCACTGCAGGCTCTATCTCCTGGGCTCAAGTGATTCTCCTGCCTCAGCCTCCCGAGTAGCTGGGATTATGGGCACCTTTCACCATGTCCAGCTAATTTTAAAAAGTAATTTGTAGATACAGGGTACCACTATGTTGCCCAGGCTGGTCTTGTACTCCTGGGCTCAAGCAATTCTTCTGCCTTTGCCTCCCAAAGTTCTGGGATTACAGGCATGAGCCACCATGCCTGGCCTAGCAGAATACTTTTGAGAGAGGAAAAAATAGAATTATAACTTGAATAGTTCCACATCCAAAGTGTAGGCACTGATTGACTTGAACAGTTAACCAAAATATAATAATGTCATCCTTTACGTTAGCACAGTAAGTCTCATTGCAGAGAGTTTCCCTGCATGCTGACCTTAGGAATTTGGATTCGCCAGTAATATATTTTACTAGCACTCGAGACAAAAACTAACCCTAACCTCTAAATCCTATGGATAGAAAGATACCTACCATGATGCATATAAAATATTAAATACCACTGTTCCATCCCAAATCAAACAATTTTAAATATAATTTATGTGAAAAACAGAACAATGTGTGAGTGGATTAAAATAAACACCAAACTGTGTCTACGCTTCTAAGCAGCACTGCAAAAGCAGAATTTATTTTAACATATTTGATAAGCTTTAAAATATGAAAATTTATACTATCTATACATCTACAAAGTAATGAAATATAATGATTTCCTACAGGTGTAGACTGATGGATTGATGGAAGTTAAGTTTTTGAGAGATGATTCAGAAAGGGCAGGCAGGAGCCAAGTTATACAGGGCCTCGAATTGCAGGCTAAGGAGTTTACACTTGGAAATTTTAAGAAGAAAAAATTATAATCCAGGAAAGTATTATTCAGTCTTTGAAAAAGAGATTCTGTTATTTGCCACAATATGGATATATCTGGAGGATATTATGGTAAGTGAAATAAGCCAGAGAAAGAAAAATATTAAAATGTTACATGATCTCACTTATGTGTGCAATATTTATTAAAAAGCATAAATACAGAGAGATGGAGATTGAAACTGATTACTGTGGATGAAGTGGGTAGGAAATGGATAGACATAGGTCAAAGGATACAAAATAGCAGATACGATAAACAAGTTTAGAGATCTAATGTACAATATGAGGATTAAAGTTAATTAAGTTGTATTTATTAGGAATTTTTGTTAAATAAGCAGATTTTAGTTGATTTTGCCACAAAAAGGTATGTGAGATGATACATATATTAGTCTGCTTTAATATAGTAATGACTTTACTATGTCTATGTGTCCCATAACACCATATTGTAAACCTCTAATACAATTTATTTTATAAAAAGAAAAAAATTATAGCAGTAAGAATGTATTCTGCTTTGTTTCCATTAGAGCTTCTGAAATTTCTTTTCTTTTCTTTTTTTTTTTACTTCACACACACAAATTCTCTTTAGTTGAAATTTTACATGAGACCTCTGTATAATAGACAAAATTAAAACACTCTGATTAAAGTAGAAACAGGGCTTAAGGTCCTGTGTCTTTGGACTTCTCTTGGTTACCCTGCCCCACCAGATGCTGAAATTTCTCCAGGGAAACATTACTTTCTCAAGATGCAGAAACACCTTGTTCACATCATAAGCCATCCTGGAATCTGGGAGCCCAAACAAGGCTTCTCAATTACTATTTTGCTTTCTTGGTTTTGTTTTCATGAGAAAGATTTTAAAATATAGTCAGTTTTTTGATCTCAGAAATAAACGATGAAAAAGCAATTTCCTTAGCATTTCTTTCATTCAGCTTATGTCAGATATACTGGGAGTGATTGGGGAGAAATTGTGTTCTCCCTATAATTGGGTTCTCTTTCTCACATGTTCTTCTAGGTCCTTCTCCTGGCTTATATCATGGCACTTATGACACGACTATGCAATTTTTGGAGACTTATCTGACATCCAGTTAAGCTATAAGCTTCTTAAGAGAAGGAACTGTGCATCCTTTTTATTTGTCTAGCACTTTGTGCAGTGATTGATATGGACAAAAATTTAATGTACATTTTAATACATAAATAACATTAGTAAGATATGCACTTTGAGTTCTGAGTTTTTCCATGCACTAGTAGATTTCCTTTAAATCTCTGATACCTGGGAGACACTTCATTATTTACTGAAAATATTCTTTCTCTGAAGATGTATCAAAGGCCACAAGATCATTTTATAATGCTTTTGGGACAGGAGCTGTAGCACCTGGGGCAAGACCAGTACAAGCTGGCAGAGCAGCAAAATCCATTAGAGCTCTTCTGAGACCTGTGTCTCTAAGTTTGTATTTGATATCTAGAGAATTATTAGCTTTGCTTGGCCCTTGCCCTTCATGACTTGGGTTCCTCTTTGAAATGATTACAGGGTCTCCCCATGAAATTCACCATTAATGAATACATTGGCAGCCAAGAAATGCCCTCTGGACAACAGATTAGTTAAATTCTAATATCACTTTACCCTTATTGATTTAACTATTGTAAATTTTATGCCAAATTTTAAATCAGTGCAAGGCAGCCAGATGGTTGCCTAGAACACCAACTCATGGACACTTAATCATCTGGAAATATAAGATGATGGGTAAAATGTTGTCTTTTACTAGAACTTCTCTTAAGAAGTTCAGTTTGAAAAAGTATGCAGGGTTAGTAATTGCTCAGACTCTTACAAATGAGCATCAAGTAAGACCGTCTAAAGTTGTGCAAAATTATGAGCCTGTCGTGGCCTCACCTGCTTTCATAGTGTTGAGCCAGTCAAGTACAAAGGGGGAAGGTCTCCAGAGAATCTCCATCCCGCCTGCGCACTGGGAGAATGGGGTGGAGCCACAGAAGTTTGCATTTGCCAGGGGAGAAGCCTGGCCTCTCCTGTTCCTGGGTGGTAACCGGGTATTAAATCTGTGAGGCGGGACACCTGCTAGCAGGACTCTTACTTTGCTGAGAGTCCCTGTTTCCCTTTTTAATCCTTTTCACCCAATATATCCTACCCCTAATCCTTCAAAGTGTCTGCTAGCCTAATCTTTCCTGGTCGTGTAACAAGAACCCTGATCTTCCTACAACAACGTCTTCGTCAAAGTATGTCACTTTTGAGAGAACAAGAAATGAATGTGTTGTATAATAGTAAACATAACAAGCATTCAGTTAATGTTTGTTAACCAAGCATTTATTTAGCACCTACTGTTTGTCTGACATGGAGATCCTTCTTTCATGCTTCTTACATTCTGGGTAACAAAAGTAACAAACATGAAAACGTCAGATAAAAAGAAATGTAAACAAAACTCCATCAGTCATGTCTTAACTGTGTAAAAGATGTAATAATTAAGAAAGCAATTCAGGATAGGGAGATACCACTTTAGCCAAATTTAGCTTAAGTTGAAAATAAAATATCAAGAAAATGTATTTTAACTGAGATTTTTTTAAATGGAAAAGATCTTAGTAACATCTTAGATATGGAATTCTTTAATTGAAAAGAGCATGAACATTAAATTTATGCCACCACTCCCCCATAGAACAAATAGCATAATAATATAAAATAGTATAGTATAGTATAAAATAGTAGAAATATATACTATTTTATGTATAAATATAATAGTATAATATTTTATATATAAATATAATAGTGTAATATATTATAGTATAAAATAGTATAAAATAATTGTTTGGAGTTGGGCTAACTGCAAGGATGATGAGGCAATGAAGGCACTTAAGAATGTTATAACTTGCAGTATATGACATGCAGTATATGACATGCAGTATAAGAATGCAGTATATGACAGACATATACTGCAGGAAAAAATGTATGCAGTTTCAGAAATTCATAACACAGCTTACAGGAATGACAAGACCATGGGTTAGAAATACAGAGGTATGCCCCCTGAAATTAATAGCAACTTTGATATTTATGAACTAAACAATAGAAAGCACCTGTCCAACTCAGAACCCTAAAAATTATATGATAAGTTATTTTGTTTCACATATTTTAATAGAAAATAAAAACACTTAAGATTATAGAAATTTTGCCAAAATGCCAAGATAATTTTATAAATTTCTTAAAAATCTAGAATAAAAATAATAATTGCCTAGCTATTCCAATGTATACCTGAGCAAAATGTGCCACAATATTCTCCTTCTAATTTTTACTGATCTTTATCTCCTTTGATTTCAAGACACCAGAAAGCACAGGGCACATATATATTGTATTTGAAAGGGATATATTTTGCTTAGTATATGATATTCCTTGGTGCATTCAAGGAAGACATAAAATACAGTTCTGTAAGTTTCTCTGTGCTCTCCCAGCATGCTCTGAAGGTCCAGTCACAAATGTTCCTAGTATTTATTTTTGAAAAAAATCTTTATTTCATTTTATTTGGCAAGTGAAATTTCTTTTGAGTAGTTACATGATATCAAAATATTTCTGTTCAACATGAGCATTTAAGCCAGTGCACCATTATGTCAGATTCTAGGTTTAATCTCTAAGCGATTTTATTCCCCATATTGTCATTTCCTAAAGCATTTTGAAATAATACTGCTGTGATACTACACATTGTGAATAAAAATCTATAATCCTGGTTGGAACTCCAGTTCATTCTAAAGGCAATTCAGCCTCATTTCTTTTACCTTGTTATTTGCTAAGAGTTAAATTTTTACATTGATAAATTGAGATGCTCTAGAAATAACTGAAGTAATGGAAACCACTTAAATGTTATGAATTCAACAAAATTTATGTTTTCTCAGCCTGCTTTTCAATGTTAATATTTCAACATTTTGCAATTTTTAAAATTATTAAATAAAGTTAAATAAAAATATTTTAGGGTGCAAGTTTTTATAGATCATCATGTTAATAAAAGATTGGAGAGTTTGGATCAATAAGCTAGAGGAAATAGCCCCAGAATTCCAGGTCCTCTTCTCTTCATTCCAATACTGTAATGTTCAAACCTTAGTGCACATTGTGAAGGAATTAAGAGATGTGTTTGTTAAAATCACAGAATTATAGGTACCACTCTCAAATATTCTTATTTAGTAGGTCAAAGATGAACCAAGGAGCTGGATTTAATCAGTTTCTCAAGTGATTCTGATGCAAGAGACTGCTTTGATTACTCTCCCATCAAGACTTCCTCTTCTATAATCTGTGATACTTGGAAAAATTTTACTTGTTTTCTGACCTCACGTGTTTTTATTTACTATAATTGACCATGAACCAATTCAGAGGTTATTATAAATTTTGAACACTGAATATTCTTCAGAAAAACAAAACAAAACAATTTTCAAAATAAAATGAGTCTAAAATACTTTCCCATGACTGCAATTATGATAGTTTCTCTTGCTGTAAAAACAAATATGGGGCTTGCTAATAAATAATTATGGTGCATCTTGTATGTTAGGCCAACATATTACGTAGATCTCTACAATATTGTTAATAAATCAGAATTTGGCCACATTTCAACCCTGTGAGATCAACGTCAGTTTCTGAATCATGCTGTCACTTTTCCCAATTTAAATTAAGCAAGTGGTTTGTATGAATGTGCTGGACTTGTGAGAATTATAGCCCTTCATGAGAAATGAATACAACCTTCTATAGTTTCATATTTATGTTTCTAGTCTCCCAATAGAGGCATAATTTAAAGAAGCAACCTTACCTCCCTAATGCACAGCAATAAGCAAGAAATTCATTTATTGGTTAAAAAAAAAAAAGAGTGCTCACAGCTCTGTCCATATCTGGGCTTAGGTATTGTTTACCTTACGTTTATCAAGTTGTTTATTTCTAGTCATTCCTGCCTTATTGGCCCAGTTCAAATGAATGTACAAATGCCTCGGTCTCCTGCTTAGGATGTCAATGCCTCATTGGAGCCCACACTCATTTACCAGTAATGTAAGATTCATTGTTGCTCTTGCCAGCCCTATTCTAAGATACCCTCTTTCTCCTATCCTTCAGATACTGATAGAGGTTTGATTCCTGTGAACTGATTTTCTGTATCAAAGACGCTACTTCCTAACCTCAGTTCTGTTGTCCCACAGGATGGTAGTACAATGCTTACAGTCTCTCATAATCTGGTTTTGAAAAGTCCTGGGTGGTAGAGAGAATGATATTATGCTTTTTAATGGGTTCATATAGTGCAGACATTCTCATTAAGTATCAATTCATATGGTTTACAGTTCTGCGAAGCTGGGAATACTGCCATATCCCTTTGTGTGGTTAGGGAACTCACAGATGTATTTATGCCAAAATTCACAGCCACTCTGAGTCAACATTTTATTGCCTGCACTTAGGGGAGGCTCTGGCAAAGGCAGACATGTCATAAATGTGTGAAAAGTAAATTAAATATTCAATTATGTCTAGAATCTATTATTATAGAGTACATAGGAAAAGTGATGCATTGTAAGGTTCAGGAGCATTGAAAATATACAAAAAATCGGATTCTAGAGATAGTGTCTTTGGCAAATATCTGTAGCACTTGAGATTCAAGCATTGAATTTTCTAAGTGCAACAGAAGTATGATATGGGATCTGAAAGGTAAACTGGTATAGTAAATTGACAGATTTCTCTCATAGTACACCGGAAAACTAAATAGCTTACTCAGTTCTATTAAGAACTCCCCAGTGGTAAATAAAATATATCATTCCCTTGGCCATCAAAATAGTTCTCATATAAAATTACAAGCATATATTCCAATAGGTGTTAGAAGGAATGGGCTTTCTATTAGAGAATAGTGGTTTTTAAAAGATAGACTGAGAACTTCTCAGATAAAAGCTAATTAGCCTTTGAAACATGCAGAACTGGGAATGGAAAGACACCATAGACAGCTCTGAAAATCTTTGATAAATTACACGTGTCCATAGGGCATTTGCATGTACACACACACACATATATACACAGTAGGCTTGTGTGTGGTACCCTAAATAGATTTTTCTTTATTCCTTCTTTATCTTCTTACTACTGTTCACAAGAGAGAGAAAATGGAAAGAGATAGACAGTGGAAAGACCACACAACTGCCTAGTGATTACCTAATTGGCACACGCCAACAGAACAGAAGAAACTTCTGCGGTTGCATGCTGCAAGCAAACTGCTCTGAGCAATGTTTTAAGAAAGATACATAGAGAGGGAGAGAGATACAAATTGGTATGTACAGTCATCCTTCAGTATCAATGGGGCAGTAGTTCCAAGACCTCTTGTGGATACCAAAATCTACAGATGCTCAAGTCTCTGCCTCTTTTGGGTACTGAAATCTATGGATGCTCAAGTCTCTGATGTAAAATGGCAAAGTATCTTTATATAACCTGTGCATATCCTCACATCTTCCCATATATGCTAAATCATCTCTACATTACTAATAATATCTAATACAATGTAAATACCAGTGAATGGTGATTATACTGTATTGCTGTATTGTTTAGGGATTCATGACAAGAAAAGTAGTCTATACATGTCTAATACAGACAATTCTTTTTTGAGACAGTGTTTTGCTCTGTCACCCAGGCTGGAGTGTGGTGGCGCAATCTTTGCTGACTGCAACTTCTGCCTCCCAGGCTGAGGCGATTCTGCCATCTCATCCTCCCAGGTAGCTGGGATTACAGGTGTGTGCCACCACACCAGTCTGATTTTTTGTATTTTTTGTAGAGACAGGGTTTTGCCATGTTGCCCAGATTGGTCTCAAAGTCCTGAACTCAAGCGATCCACCTGCCTTGGTCTTCCAAAGTGCTGGGATTACAGGTGTGAGCCACTCTGCCCAGCCCAGACACATAAAAAAAAATATTTTTGATCTGCTCTTGGTTGAATCCACAGATATGGAGCCCATTAATATAGAAGGCCAACTGTATACATATATTATATGTAGATATATATACATATATATTATATATGTACATATTATATATATACATATATATACATACATTATATGTACATATAAATTTTATATATATGTACAACCCCACAGCCCAACTTTTCAATCAGTCTCATGAAACATCTGTCTTATTCAAAACTAAGCTAGATTAATGCTTAGCAAAAAAATCAAGTATGGACCACAGCAACGTAGGCTACATTCAATGTCTTTGAGGCTGTGACTCCATCAGACTCAGAATTCTGAATTACTCTTTTCTACCTGAGATATGCATTGGTTTCAGATCACAAACATATTAAACTACATTTATAAAAATAATTTACATATAACTACTGAACAATGTGTAATTAGATAAACCAATTGGGTGACAATTTTTCTTAACATCAAACTCTTTCTACTAAGTATAGAAAAAAATGAAGAGACAGAATCTAAAAAGGAGATGGATATACCAAACGCACACTTTGCTTTATTCACGTGGTGGCCAAGACACTGAACTTCTCTTTGGCTCATGGTTGTTAAAGCAGTGTAAGCAGATGAATGATCTTAGACAAACTGATAAATGGACAAGAACCTCAAAAGGCTAGTCACATATGTGAGCACTGAATTGACTTTAAAATAACAAAAATGATAATAATTATTATAATTATTGAAATAAAAACAAGAGATATTTTAACTAGATTTTGACTATTTAAAAATTCTCAGTTCTGGATTATATCCCATAAAACTCAGTTGTGTCAAGTTTAAATATAGGTTTTTTGACAAAAATCAAAATATGTCTCCTGGGGGTGATGGCTCATTCCTGTAATCCCAGCACTTTACGAGGCCAGCTCCTCGCTTGAGCCCAGGAGATCGAGACCAACCTGGGCAACATGATAAAACCCTGTCTCTACAAAAAGGAATAATTAAAAAATTATCTGGGCATGGTCTTATGCACCTGTGATCCCAGCTACTAGAGAGGCTGAGGTGGGAGGATTGATTGGGCCTCAGGAGATTGAGGCTGCAGTGAGCCATGATCTTGCCACTGCAATCCAGACTGGGTAATAGAAAGAGACTCTGTCTTAAAAAAAAAAAAATCATACATGCACTAAAATTTTGTGTACAAATAGGCAGTGTAGGAAATTCCCAGGGATGTTCTTAAAACACTGATTTCATTTTTAGACTTAGCATAACTAATACATAGTGATGGACATATTTAATAATCCAGGAGACATCTTAAAGTATTATATTTCTAAAGATTTAATTTGTTGTCAGTAACTTAGGTTCTTAGGAAAAATATAGTCTCAGTGTTAAAAAAATATATTTTCTGTCTTATTTTCTGGATTCTAAAGTGATTTCTTTTTTATTTTGTTCTCCTTTAGAATTATTAGCATGTATGACATGTAATTCATATTGCAAAAATTACATGTATTCGATTGGAAAAGACCTTAAAATGCATCTAGCCCAATGACTCATCAACAGCTCCAAATCTTATAGATCATAGGATAGGAGAAACACATAAGGTCTTGAACTTTCTGGCCAAAATTCCCAGTGAATACAGAGCTGAGAGGTCTTCACCAATGACACAATCTCTATTATCACATATAATGTTTCCCCAGTAATGAGTTTCCTCCATCATCAGATTTTTAAATCATCTGAGCAGCCACTTAAGATGCTTTACAAATTCTTTTCAGTCATTAATAATGCTGTCACATGAAAGTGCTTCTCTCTGCCATCACTGGGCTCCTCTGCCAGCCACCTCTTTTTGCTCACTGTGCTGCCATTTATCAGTATTCTGCATTTATGTTCCTTCAATCCATTTGGGAGTTCCACTGCATAACAATTTGAAATATAGAAATATGTGGTGGTGATGAATTTTAATAGTTTCAATCAATTCTGGGGTGACTTGGTTCTTTGAATATCTATATATTTATCTTTGTATAAAATATACATCTCTACATCTATTTCTGTCTCAGTCTCTATATCAACATTTATAAAAATCCTGGTTGTATTTTCAGTGATAAACTATATCATGCTTTATAGAAATTTTCAGAGAATTCATCCAAATCTCTACAATTTTTCAGGAATGAGCAATTTTTTAAGGTGGTCATAGGAAATAAAATAATCAGATACATTCCATTTACTTAGCTCCAAAAAATCAAATTAGCAACAATTAATATATGGAAGAAATTTGCATGATTTATATAAATGAAATGCAAATTTTCACTAAGGACCATTGATTAATTATGAATACTAATGATGTTCTTAGTACTTCTCTGGACTCTAAAGATTCAGCATTGAAAAAAACCAAAGACCATGCCAATGAGTTATGCCATCGTAGAGAAAATTAGAAAATAAATAGGAAATGTAGCTTCAGCAGTGATAAATGCTATGAAGAAAAATAGAACAAAGGAAAAAGATGGGCTATTAAAGACGTGGGACAGAAAGAGGTAAGAAAAGTTGGCTTAGCTGAGGAAATTTCAGTAGAGACCTGAAATGAATTAGATAAACCTGATAGATTACATGAACTGACACAAGAAATTATAATTGCTGCAACCCTTCTGTAAAGCAATTTGGCTATCTCTATATAGTGCATGGGAGCCCACCAGTATAATTAGGGGTTAATTGTGGGAAAGGCAGTGCTAAAGAGGGAACAACTAGTGCAATGAACCTGAAGCATGCTGTAAAAATAAATCACGTGAAATAAATGAAGACCTATAATATATTCTTTAATGAGAGCACTAAGTGATGTAAAGATTTTAATATTCATAAAATCAATGCATACATTTATCCCAATAATAAATTGATGCATGGAGTTAAAAAGTGCCCTCTATTACCCTCTCCCTACACCAGAAAATAAAGATTCAAAACCTGTCAAAATGAATGCAAAGTGAAAGAAACAAAAAATTCTGGTAAAACAGGAAAAATAATTTTCACAAGAAAATAATGATTGCATATTGGAACAACTGTCTGTTAAATGCTATTATAAAAGTACTATAAGCAAAATAACAAGTTTCACAATGAAATAAACATGCACATCAATACAAAAGAAGGAACATAGTAACAGGTAAAACTATATATAATTTAACGCAAGCTGATATCCCATATTCATGCAAAATAACAATATATTTTTTGAGAAAATTGGATAACTATTAATGGAAAAAGGATACATTGGTGCTTCTCCTCATAACTTAAAACAAAATTAACGTCATTATAATTTGAAAGTTAAATATTAAAAATGAAACCACAAAATAGTTAGAAATATAAAGATGAAATTTTATGATTCATAATATTTAGTAATGAATAAAAATGAATAAAAATGCTACAATGTCAGCAAGTGAAATATAGCATAGAGAAGTTTAAAATATATATGTGAAAGTAAAAAAAAACTATTTTGAATACTTTTTACTAACCAGGTACTAGAAGCTTTAATATATAGGTGCCTGACAATTCATTATTTAAAAGGAATAAGAAGATACTCTCATAAAAATAATTGAAAACATGTACATCCAACTCTTAAAAGAAATATAATTCACAAAAATCATCTACAAGAAATATTCAAATAAATTAAAATGCAAGCAAATTATATCTCTGAAAACTCATAAACTCTATATAAATTAAAATTAAAAACTAGCTACTATTAGCAATAGTTCATGATGAATTAGGTAAACTACTATTGGAAGTGTTGTTACAACCTTTCTATAAAGCAATTTGGCTATCTCTACCTAAAGAACGTTTTGCCCCACAAATAATACTTTTGCCCCACAAATAATGCTTCTAGGAATTTATGATAAGTGGATTACAAAGAACAATGCGTACATGTGTATAAATATGTTTGCCCATTACTAAATTATTCAAAACATAAATGCCAAAGAGTGAATAATTATATGAATCATACTTTTGAGACATAAAGGGCTATTACATGGACGTTAAAGTTGTATTTTTGTTAAAAAGTAAAATGAGAATTATTCAGTTTAAAATACTTATACAATGATTTCATTTAATTTTCACGAAGGCATATTCTGTATTCCTGTGTTCTTAATTAAAAATGGTAATGTTTAGATAAGGCAAATATTTTTCCCAAATTACACAAGCAAATTAGTATGAAGTCTAGATCATACTGAATGTTAAGTATATGTTTATAAATTTATTCCTCTATTTCTCATTATAATATTTTATTTACAAAGAAATATTAGAACATACTAATATATAAAAAGTGGCATGATGTAGGTACATGTATTTATTTATATGTGATATTTATGTGTTTATACTGGTATGTATAAACAATGGTATAAAAGAATGGTTCCCATTCTTTTACAAAATTGATATGGAAATCACACTAAATATTGTTGCATCTTTATAAGTACATATGTGTATTATATATTGAAGGAACAGAGATTAAAATAAAGGTACAGTGCTAATACATAAGTGATTTTCTTATTGTGGTTTTTAAATCACCCTAACCTAAAATTGTTAAATTGTTCAACGGAATTACAACAAATATAACACATTATTGTTCAATATACACAAATGAATTTTCCCAGTCTTATTTTTTCATCGAAAATATTTCCAGAATACTGAGTTAGACTACATCTCCAACTACCATATTTTTTGTAGACATACCTGTACGTTATCACTTACAGCATATTTTAAAATGTGTCCAAATGTCTATTTCTTCTTTAATTCTAGACTGCTTTAGAGTAGTTCTCATAATATTCTTCTTTTCCTTCACTTTAACTCTCTATTAGCACATAAGTGGGATTCAGTAAACACTAAGTCAAATATTAACTTTCTAAAGGGTCTTCAATTTGCATATATATTTAAGTTCGATCATATGATGTTAACAATATTTGAGAATTTTTACTTCTCAAATAAAAATAAAAATTGGTATAAAAGTAACAATTTCATATTGATCTAATTAAAATATTTCATTAAGTAAAATATTCATTTATGTTAATTTCCTTTATAACTTTGTATATAGTAAATACAAACTATACTTCTACTATAAAAATAAGTGAAGGTCCAGTTTGGCAACACATATACTAAAATGGGAACGATACAGAAAAGATTAGCATGGCCCCTGTGCAAGGATGACATAAATATTTATATGTTTCATATTTAAAAATAAATAAGTAAATGAGTTAATGAGTGATCTATTGGTCCCTTATAATATCTTTACTCATGGTATAATTGAACTGTAAGTTTGGACAAGCTGAATCTCAAAGTTGGTGTTAAATGACCACAATAGTAAAGATTTGAAAAAAGTTGAAAAAGCTTTGTGGATTTTTATATATTTACAGGAGAATGCCCTCATTATGATAATAATTGCATTTGTTCTTTTTAAAATATGCAACACATTTTCCTTTAAAAAATAAAGGTGGGATATAAATGAAATTTAGGCATATTGAGAATTGCATATAGTTAAGAATTAAAACAGATGATTTACTATTATGATACGATATGCAGCACAGACTGATGTAAAGTAATGGATCATATTTGTTAAAATAATTGTATGCAGCTGCATAAAGATGTAAATGAAGTCCACCTATATTGTGCATGGTGAAATCAAAGAAATTAAATCTTTGAAAATAATTATGTTTCATTCAGTTCATATAAAGTTTTATTGTTATTTGTTAGAGCAAAACTTCCACATCTAAACATAAATCACTATATATGTACATTTTATTTTTAAAGAGACATTTTATAATGCCATTATTATATAATACGGAAGATAACATTCTCTGATCATATGCAAAAATATTCTAGTAGAAATAAAATGAAAATAGATTTTATAAAATATTTTCTCTTCTTTTTGATAAGTTAAAACTACCATTAAAAATTCCGAATCACTGAAGGAGTTGTATAAATTCATACACCAAGAGTTCTATCCTCTCACCAGAGATGTGTTAGAATGCAAGAACAGATTAGGAGAAAGCCACATATTTTGTGAAATCGCCTTCAGTGATTAAGTAGGACCTTGCAAATTCCCAGTTACAACTAATTAGATTACTGGAATGAAGTAAAGAGACTGTTCTTCAATAACATCAATAGGCTTTACAGTGTGTATGTGTGTGTTTTAAGGGTACAATGAATTGTTTTATATATATATATATATATTTGTAGTGTTCTGCAACAATAAAAATAATTAAATACAGAATATTTCCATCATCCCTCCAAGAAACTCCATACGCATTGCAAGTTGGTCCCCATTTTCCTCCTTAACCCCAAGCCTAGGGAACCACTAATCAAATTTTTGTCTCTCTATATATGTCAATTATGGACATTTCATATAAATGGAAACAGACGCTATTTAGTCTTTTATGACTATTTTATTTATCACAATGTTTTCATAATATACTCATGTTAATTACCAGTACTTAATTCCTTTTTACTGTCAAATAATATTAGATCATAGAATTAGACCTCATTTTGTTTATCCATTAATCATTTAATAGACAAGTGTATTGTTTCCACTTTTTAACTATTATGAATAATGCCATGATGAACATTTATGTATAAATGTTGTCTGGATATTTATTTTTATTTTTATTTGGTATATACAGATGAGTCGAATTGTCATATAACATGGTAACTCTATAATTAACCTTTTGAGAAATGGCCAGACTGCTTTCTAAAGCAGCTGCACACTTCACATTCCCACTTGCTAGTGTATGAGGGTTCCAATTTATTTGCATCCTTGTTAACACTTGTTATTATTATATCTGTGTTTTTTTTTTATTATGGCCACCCTCATGTGATGACTAATGATGTTGAACATATTTTAATATTTTTAATTAGCAATTTGTTTATCTTTTTTAGCAAAACGTCTATTCAAATCCCATGCCCATTTTACTTTTTATACACTTTATTATTGAAATGTATGAATATTTATGTATTCTATATATGGGTCAATTTTCAGATATATGATTTGCAAATATATTCTTTCATTCTGTGGACTGACATTTCACTTTCTTGATGCTATCATTTAATGACAAAAACATTTCAGTTTTGATGATCTGTAATTTTTATTTTGCTTTATGTGCTTTTGGTGTAATATCAAAAAAACGTGTTGCCTAATCCAAGGTGACAAAGATTTTCTCATAGAATTTTTTTCTAAAAGTTTTATAGTATTAACTGTTACAATTTGGTTTATGATCCATTTCGAGTTAAATTTTAAGCGTGGCATGAGGAAGGAGTTCACATTTACTTATTTATATATTTTTCACATGTATATCCAGTTGTCTCAGCACCATTTGTTGAAGTGACTATTCTTTCCCCATTGAATTGTCGTGACAGCACTGTAAAAACTAATTGACCCTAAATGTACAGGCTTATTTCTAGACATTGAATTCTATTCAATCAATCTCTACATATATCTCTAGGTCAGAGCAAATTGTCTTGATTATGGTAGCTTTTTCTTTGTTTTTGTTTTCTCCTGGCTCAGCCACCTGAGTAGCTGGGATTACAGGCGCTTGCCACCACTCCTGGCTAACTTTTGTATTTTTAGTAGAGATGGGGGTTCACCATGATGGCCAGGCTGGTCTTGATCTCCTGACCTCAAGTGATCTGCCCACCTCAGCCTCTAAAGTACTGAGATTACAAGCGTGAGCAACCATGCCCGGCCTGTGGTAGCTTTGTAGTAAAATTTGAAATTGGAAATTGTGAGCTTTCTAACTGCTATTTTTGCAGATTTTTTAAAGTTATTTTGAGTCTCTTGCATTTCCATATTAATTTTAGAATAGGGTTGTCAACTTCTGGAAAAAAAAACCTCTAGCTATGGTATGAATACATATTTTATAGAATCTGTGGATTAATTTGGGGAATATTGCCACTTTAAAAACACTGAGTTTTCTGGAACAAGAACATGGGAAACCTTTCTACTTATTCATGTCTTTAATTTCTTGAAGTAATATTTTATAGTTTTTAGAGTATATGTTTTGCTCTTCTATTAAGAATTTTTTCCAAATTATTTTATTCATCTTGATACTATTATAAATAAAAAGTCTTTAATTTTATTTTTGAATATTTTATTGTCAGTGTATAGAAATAAGTTATTTTAGTTCATTGATCTTGTATCCTAAAACCTTGCTGAAAATATCTATTGTCTAGTAGATTTCTTAGGATTTTCTATATTCAATGTCATGCCATCTGCAAATAGACATTTTACTTCAGCCTTTTCAGTCTATACATTTTATTTATTTTCTTGCCTAATTGCCCTGTCCAGAACCGTTAGTATAATATTGAGTGGAAATGGCAAGAGTGGATATGGTTGGTTTGTGCATGATCCCAGAGTGAAAGCTTTTAGTTGTTCGTCATTTACTATGATCTCATGGAGATAGAGTATACAATGATGGGTATCAGAGACTGTAAAGGTTAGCAGGGAGGAGAGGTTGTAGAGAAGTTGATTAATGGGTAGAAAAATACAGTTAGATATTGTGGGTTTGATTTCAGACAATTGTAATAAAGTGAATATTATAATAGAGTCACAAAAATTATTTGGTTTAACACCGTATACAAAAGTTGTATTTACACTATACTGTAGTTCATTAAATGTGTAATTGTACTATGTATATAAAATGTACCTATCTTAATTTTCAAATATTTTATTGCTAAAAATTTCCAGTGATCATCTCTGCTGGTGGAAAGTATTGCCTCAATGTTGATGGCTGCTGACTGATCAAGGAGTGGTTGCTAAAGGTTGAGGGGGCTGTAGCAGTTTTTAGGATAAGCCAAAAACAAAGTTTGCTGCATTGATTGACTCTCCCTTTCATGAAAGATTTCTCCGTAGCGTGTGATGCCATTTGATAGCCTTTTACCCAGAGTAGAACTTCTTTCAAAACAAGGGTCAATTCTCTCAAGCCCTCCAACTGCTTTAACAAGTAATTTTATGTAATATTCTAATTTTCTTGTTATCGTTTCAAGAATGTTCACAGCACCTTCACCAGGAGCAGACCATATCCCAATAAACCACTTTCTTTGGTTATCCATAAGGCACAACTTCTTGTCCATTAAAATTCTGACTTTCAAGTTTCATTATTTTAGAAACACATTTCATCAGGCTATAGCTTCCACAAATGGTGATTCCTCTGATGGATCTGAGCAGAGTAGATTGAAAACCTCTGGAATGGATTCATGGTTATAGCTGCCATTAAGAATATTTATGATTCATGGGAGGAGGTAAAATATCAACATTAATGGGGGTTTGGAAGAAGTTGATTCCAGTTCTCATGGATGACTGAGGGTTTCAAGACTTCCGTGGAAGAATTAACTACAGATGTGGTGGAAATAGCAAAAGAGCTAGAATTAGAAAAGAGTCTTGAAGATGTGACTGAATTGCTGCAGTCTCTGGGCAAACTTTAATGGACAAGCTGCATCTTATGGATAAGCACAGAAAGTGGTTTATTGGGTAGAGTCTACTCCTGGTGACAGTGTTGTGAACATTCTTGGAATGACAATGAGAGAATTAGAATATTACATGAACTTACCTGTTAAAGCAGTTGGAGGGCTTGAGAGAACTGACCCTTGTTTTGAAAGAAGTTCGACTCTGGGTAAAAGGCTATCAAATGGCATCACACGCTACGGAGAAATCTTTCATGAAAGGGTGAGTCAATCAATGCAGCAAACTTTGTTTTTGGTTTATCCTAAAAACTGCTACAGCCCCCTCAACATTTAGCAACCATTCCTTGATCAGTCAGCAGCCATCAACATCGAGGCAATACTTTCCACCAGCTGAGATGATCATTGGAAATTTTTAGCAATAAAATATTTAAAATTAAGATAGGTACATTTTATATACATAGTGCAATTGACTCTTGTTTTGATACAAGTTCTACTCTGAGTAAAAGGCTATCAAACGGCATCACATGCTATGGAGAAATCTTTCATGAAAGGAGGAGTCAATCAATGCAGCAAACTTCTTCGTTGTCCTATCCTAAGAATTGCCACAATTACCCCAACCTCTATCAACCACTACCTCCATCAGCCAGCAGCCATAAACATTGTCTTCATTTATTTCTGTGCATTCTCAAAGTCTCTGGTAGCATTTGCTTAATAAATATAGCTTTACTCTCATCTTCCTATTTTGTGCTGTTAATGACAAATACATGACATGTTTACGTTATAGATAAATTTCTTTTTAAATCAGATAAAAGAAAGAGAGAAAAGTAATACATATTTATGCTTTCCTTTAGAAATATATAATTATATTTCCCAGTTCCCCTTATTGTATGGATTCTGATTATTTTATGGGGTCATTTTACTTTAGTGAAAATCTTTCTTTCCTTTTTTTTTTTGTAATGCAAATCTGCTAGAAAAAGTTCTCTCAGTTTTTGTTTTTCTAGGAATGTATTTTTTAATTTTTTTATAAAAAAGTTTTGTTAAATATACTATCTTTTGTTGATAGTTATTTATTCTTTCAACACTTTGAAGATGGCATCACACTGTATTCTGACCTATATTGCTTCTAAAGAGAAGGCAGCTGTTAATTTTCACTTGTGTGTGATCACTTATATGTGATGAGTTGATCTTGTGTTCCTGCTTTTAAAATACAGTTAGCCTCCCATATCCAGTGGTTCCACATTCATGGATTCAACTAACTGCAGGTCAAAAATATTTTTAAAATAACAATACAACAAAAATACCAATAAAAAGTAATATAGTATAACAACTCTTTACTTAGCATTTATATTATACTAGGCATTATAAGTAATTTAGAGATTAAAGTAGACAGGAGGATGTGCATAGGTTATATGCAAATACTATGCCATTTTATGTGATAGACTTGAGCATCTGCAAATTTTGGTATGTATGGAGGGGTCTTGGAAACAAACCCCCCATAGACGTGGAGGGCTGATTGTGTTCTCTTTGTCCTTGTCCTTCAACATTTTTACTATGATGTGTCCTGGTGTGGATATCTCTGTGTTTATCTGTTTATCTTACTTGGAGTTCATTGAGCACTTGTTGTCTTTATAAATTAATATTTTAATCAAAGTTGATAATTTTTCTGCCACTGATTCTTCAATTTTATTTCACCCATTTATCTGTTTATGCTTCTTCTGGTACTGCTAGTATATATATATTATATAATATATATATTAAATATATTAAATAAATATATAAAATATATAATATAATATATAAATATATATTGTATATATTTTTACATAAAATAAATATATATAATATATAATATATAAAATATATTATATAATTATATATATTTATATATTATATATGTTTATATATAATATATTATATTATATATAGTATATTATATATATTATATATTATATATAAAATATGTTTTATATATAATGTATATTATATATAATATATATAATATATTATATATTTTATATATAGTTGATGTCATTTCACATTTTACTGAACCTCTATTTATTTTTCTTTATTCTTTTTTCCCTTTGTTCTTTGTTCTTCAGATTGTATGATCTCCATTAATCCTTGAAGTCTTGTTAGGTTCTTTGACATTTTTGTTTGTTTAATTTTGACATCTGCACCTTCTCACAGGCAGTTTTTTCCTGCCCATGGATCACACATTCTTGGTTTTTTTATATGTCTCATAACTTATTTTGTCAAAGAATGAACATTTTAGATAAGATACTGTGGCATCTCTGAAAATTGATCCCCCTGGGGCTTGTTTTTGTTGTCATTTGCACCTTTGTATATGAATAAATAAATGAATAAGTAAATATAGTGACGCATTATTTTAGTTGTCTTATATATTATATAATGTTTATGGCTACGTTTGTACATATTATACTAAAACGTACACTACATATTACATGAATGTGTGTGAGTCCCTGGCTCAGGGCCTTGCAGGCTACCATCAAAGTGCTGGCCATCCTGTCCTCTTTTCTGCAGCTCGGAGTCCTCAGTTTTTGGACTGAAGTCCTCAGATGCTAGAAGATTCCTTGCAATTCCCTGCCATGTGGCCCTTTCCATAGGCAGTTTATAATATGGCTGTTTCTTCTTCAAGGCCAGTAACAGAGTCTCTCTCTCTCTCTCTCCTCCCTCTCCTTTCCTCTTTCTCTCTCTCTCTCTCTGTGTCTCTCTCTCCCTCCCTCCCTCCTTTTCTCTCTCCCCTTCTCTCTTTCTCTCCTCTTCTCTCTTTCCTTCTCTCTGTCTCCCTTTCTCTCTCTCTCTCTCCCTCCCTTCCTCACTGTCTCTCTCCTCTCTCTCTGTCTCTGTCTCTCTCTTTTATGTCGCTTAAGGCAGATTTTAACATGAGGTGAAGTAATGACAGTAACTATCTCATTATTTTTACCATAGTCTGTTGAGTAGAGGGAACTCAAAGGTTCTTCCCACACTCAAAGGTAGGGGATTACATTAAAGTGTAATTTATTGTAGGTCACCCTGCAGTGTATCATACATAAGTATATGCATATATAATAGCATTGGGTAAAAAGTTTACAAGTGATATGTTTATTTTCCCTTGGTATTTTTCTGTGTTTAGCAGGTGCCCATATATTAACTATTTATTGTTTTTAGTGATAATTCATGAATAAATTAAGCTTTTGGCAGAGCCTAGAAAGCAAAAATAAAGAGTTCAAACAGAAAAATTATCACCTGTCTCAGACCTACCCTGTCTGGCATTTCCTCTGAGTCAGTTTGCATAGTAGTGCACTGCTTCTCAACTCAATTTTTTTTTTTGAGACAAAGTTTCACTCTTGTTGCCCAGACTGGAGTGCAGTGGTGCAATATTGGCTCATTGCATCCTCCGCCTCCTGGGTTCAAGTGATTCTCCTGCCTCAGCCTCCCTAATAGCTGGGATTATAGGTCCTGCCACCACTCTTGGCTAATTTTTTGTATTTTTAGTGGAGATGCGGTTTCACCATGTTGGCCATGCTGGTCTTAAACTCCTGACCTCAGATGATCCACCTGCTTCGGCCTCCTAAAGTGCTTCTCAAATCTTAAAGGAAAATATTGGAGTTCTTATTTTTATGAATGAGTTAATTGCAAAAAGTTGTGAGTTTTTTTAAGTCTTAATAACCGTTTGTGTCACTATAGGTCATTTATGTCTGGTAAATCTGAATATTCCTGAATATTATCTCTGGAGATTATAAATTTTATATCTTAATATTGAATATTCCATTTGTGATTTTTATAATTTTATGTATTTCATATAAAGACCATTAGTTCATTATTGTTTTCTCTATTTTATTCAAAAAGAAAAAAATGCAGAAGAAAAAAATTAATTTTACAGGATGCCATATAAAATAAGATAAATATACAATCCAGAAGTCTGAAAGCAAGCTGAGATACAGGCAGGCTCCTCCCTCAAATCTTAGTAATCAATCATCTGTATAATATCTGCATAGTCATCATACTATGATGACAAGAGCCATGTTTTCCCTATTCACTACTATTCCCAGTGCTCAACAGTTTCTAGGAAATTGCGTTAGCAAATATTTGCTAAATGACGTAAAAGGGAAGCTGACACATGAACAACCCATGCCTCATTCTTCCTGGTGAAACAGAAAATTGGAAAAAGACTTTCAATCAATACTAAAATTGTATGCCATTCACTAGATTTAATATAATAAAGACAATATTATTAATGAATTATGTAATATATAAATGAAATATTATATTATATAAAAGAATATAGTACATTAATTATATAATCTACAAAATAGTTTACCCCTAAAAATTATCATTTTCATTTATCTATATTCACATTCTTGAATTTATATTCAAGAAATAATTACTTCTTTTTTTGTTTCCTTTGAAACAGAGTCTTGCTCTGTCGCCCAGGCTAGCGTACAGAGGCATGATCTCGGCTCAATGCAACCTCTGCTTCCCAGGTTCAAGTGATTGTCTTACCTCAGCCTCCTGAGTAGCTGGGATTACAGGCATGTGCTACCATGCCCAGTTAATTCTTGTATTTTCACAAGGGACGGTGTTTCTCCTTGTTGGCCAGACTGGTCTCGAACTCCTGACCTCATGTGATCTGCCCGCCTTGGCCGCCCAAAATGCTGGGATTACAGGCATGAGCCACTGTGCCTGGCCTCAGGCTAGAAAACTGTCATTTTGTTTCAGCTAAGTGTTGCATTTGGGTGATGTTTTGGGATGGCTAAATTGTGTCCAGAAATTCACCTTAGATAACGTCAATTCCAGCACCTCTAAAAAGAAATAAAGGTTGCTGTCCAATGTAATTTCAGTTTTGGACCACAAGTTTTAAATCATTATACCTAGGCTCAAACATATCTTTATTAATCAAAATAGGAACCGTTACAATCAGCACATTTTTGCCAATGAGAAATAAGTTTGTTTATGCCTGTGGTGTAAAAATTCACGTTTCAGGATTTGGTGAACTCTTGGAAAGTGTTTTCTGCATCCTTCTGGTTGTGGAAGTGTTTTCCCTGCAAAATGTTGTCCAGATGCTTGAAGAAGTGGTAGTCAGTTGGCAAGAAGTCAGATGAATATGGCAGACGAGGCAAAACTTTGTTGCCCAATTCGTTCAACTTTTGAAACATTGGTTGTGTGACTTGCCATCTGGCGTTGTCGTGGAGAATTGAGTCCTTTCTGTTGACCAATGCTGGCTGCAGGCGATGCAGTTTTCACTGTATCTCATCGATTTACTGAGCACACTTATCACATGTAATGGTTGCACCGGGATTCAGAAAGCTATAGTGGATCAGACCGGCAGCAGACCACCAAACAACGGACCATAACCATTATGTGGTGCAAGTTTGTCTTTGGGAAGTGCTTTGCAGCTTCTTCTCAGTCCAACCACCGAGCTGATCATCACCGGTTATCATACAAAATCCTTTTTCTGTCACACATCAGTTTATTAGAGAAACAGTTCATTGTTGTGTAGAAGAAGAGGACACTTCAAAATGATTCTTTTTTTCATTGTCGCTCAGCTCATGAGGTACCCACTTACCGAGTTTTTTCACCTTTCCGATTTGCTTCAAATGGTGAACAATCATAGAAAGGTCGACAATGAGTTCTTCGGCAACTTCTCGTGTAGTTGTAAGAGGATCAGTTCTGATGATTGCTCTCAGTTGGTCATTGTCACCTTCCAATGGCCAGCCCCTATGCTCCTCATCTTCAAGGCTCTTGTCTCCTTTGCAAAACTTCTTGAACCACTACTCCGCCATACGTTCGTTAGCAGTTCCTGGGCCAAATGTGTTGTTAATGTTGTGAGCTGTCTCCGCTGCTTTATGACCCATTTTTAACTTGAATAAGAAAATTGGCTGTAATTTGCTTTTTGTCTAACATCATTTCCATAGTCTTAAATAAACATAAAATAAAGAGCAAGTAATAATTTAGCAAAAAAGCATAAAGTGAGAAATGTGCATTAAAATGATGTATAACATAACAACATTTATTTAAGAATGTATGCCAGTATCAAACAGCAAATTTCAACAATGCAAAAACCGCAATTACTTTTGCATCAGTCTCACTGCTTATTAAAAATATTAATCAGTTTACAAAGATAACAGTTAAAATAATTTGTTGTAACTCTGACTCAACTTTTGTTTTAAAAAGCCAAGCTATAATATGTTTAGAATATGTCAATGTCAAAACTGTGAACTAATTTTTACAAATTAAGGAAAAATAAAATATTAGAAAACTTGCTATAATAAATCAATAGTCCAAATGCTTACCCCTTGTTAACCTTTTGGGTAATCACAACATATCTGAGATAGATCAATGAAATAAAGACCAAATTAAGTGCTATTTGGACAACAAAACATAGGTGAACAAAGTTCTCAAAGCCTCACTATTCTCAAGATTGTGTAAATGGATAGATCATGCATGAATAAATTGGTAAGTCAAAGAATAATTAAAAGTTGAGGCCAAGAGGCTGTTGGCATAATGAAATTTGACCAACATTCCTAAAGGGAGTCTGGCTAGAATAAGGCAGAACTTTTCTGTGTCTGAGGGGAAATGGAGAATTCTACAACTTACTACAGCAAGGTTTTGAGCACGAAAACATAGAGGAAAAAAAAAAAAAAAAGATGACCAGTCAGTAATCATGATGCAGTTGCTAATATTGTTTCACTGGAGCCTTGTAAAAATCTCCTGCCCAAAGTAAAGATAGATCCTAGACACTGGAAAGACTTTGCTTATGAATAAGTGTCTAATTACTTTAGGTATCAGACTTCATACAATTTCTGGCAGTTTCCCTGTTATCTCTTCTACATCCATTAACCATAAAATCAACAGCTAGTGTCCTAATACTGAGCTATACCTTGAGTGAATTTTTAAGTGTAGGAGTGAAAGTTAAAAATTGTAATTAAAAGTGGAAAATAGATTTTATTAAGGACATAGCAAAATAAATAATAGAGCATCTAGATAATGGAACACAGTTAATAGAGCTTACAGTAAATGTTTCAACTATATACTTATATTTTATTGCAGTTTATGGTATGGAATGCACTATTATCTGAACCATCCCTCAAAAAGCACAACGTATGTCAAAAAATTAATGAGCTTTGAGTGTTTTCTCGTTGGGAGTGAGTCTATAGATGGTTTGTTTTGTTCCTTTTAGTTTTTCAGTATTATCCAAATGCTTCATAATGACTTTATGTTAATATTACAGTAAAAAGTATGTTCATTTATTTCCATTTTAATAACATTGTGTGTAGTTCTATTCCATTACTAATACATTACTATTCATTTTACAAGCCCCAAGTTTGGTTTTACAATCTGGATAAATTCCTCAGAAGTTTTTTGAAAGAGTGTGTGTGTTTCTTTGTATGTTGTGCATGTGTGATTGTGTGTGTATGTGTGTCTGTGTCTATGTGTTTGGTTAATTTCTAAAGCAATTGCACCACCATGGTGCAATGGTATTGTAATTGTTCTTATTAAACTTACTGTGTCAAAAGCAGGAACTAGGATCTTAGAAAAAATTGATATAAAATGGGTGCTTTGACAGATAATTGTTAAGTGAATGAATTAAGAAAAAAAGTAAAACGTTGAAAGAAATTCACTTTTTTAGAAAAGAATTTAGCAGACAATTCTTGAATTCTTTATTGCTATCCAGGATATGATCAGTGTAAAAAATTGTTTTACTAACTAATGTGTCATTTGTAATAGAATGTTAGGGAATACAGAGCAATGGGCAAGGTACAACTAAGAGAATGAAGTACCTGGACTAATCACTAAATCACTGTGAAATCTTTAGCAATTCATTTCTACTCTCTGAAACTCAGAGCTTTTATTAAATATAATATTGGCAATTAACCAAGGAACCTCTAAATTCTCTTTTGCGTTTGAGCCATTTGTTCCATGGATCTACTGTCCATGGCATGTTTATGGCGCTCAGATTTTTCAAATGAAATATCAGCACAGATATTCTAAAAAGTGAAGATTCCTTACTATATTTAATTTAGTGAAAAGCTTAAAATGGCATGAAGTTATACTAAATAAATTAGCCTTTTTCAAAAGAAAAACAATTTCTGACAAATTCTAGAAAGTATGGTTTATTTTTTGCTGTATTAGTTTAGTTTAGAGGAAAATTAACATTTTATATTCCAGTAACTATGTCATGTTTCTTGTATATATTAGTACAATTAGTTACCTAACAACAAATAAAATTTTGTTATGTGTCTGTAAATTTTCTAATAAAAGAAATTGAGTTTCAAAGAGATGGACTACCTGACAGAGCTACATTTGGAATACAGGGCTCTCTGATTTCTACACATGAATTATCCCCCTCCTAGATTTTAACTCCCTTGAAGATAAGCCCTACATGTTGTTTGCCTTTATAATCCTCACCCTTTTCCTTTACTCCCAACATTAGACAAAGAACCTTATATTTAGAAAATATTCAGTAATGGTTGAATGAAGAAAGAAGAACAGAATGGGGTAGAATGAAATAGGAGAGGATGAAATGGGCTGAGCTCAAGATGAATGGAATAAATTAAAATGAAATTGAATGAAAAAAACTGGAATGGAATGGTTGCATTGAAGTGCAAGAAAATATTTTCTTTTCTTCTTCTTTACCTCTGCATCTAAAATCAGTCTTTGCCCAAGTATCTGCCTAAGTATTTAATGACCATTAGACATCCTTTCTTATGACCTACTGAAACAGTTGAGTTAGCAACACCAAAATTGGCCAAGATTATTATTTTTGCTGTAACTAATATTTGTTAATTTCTTCATCTGTTATTTTAACCCTTATATATTGCCTCTTCCTGATTGGACAGTGGACCACTGTCCCGCCATCCTCAATGATGGTGTCTGCTGAACCCCATAAGTCATGTTCAGAGTCCTCAAATTATAAAATGAAAGTCATTGTATTTTCCCTCTGAGACAACCACTGTGAAGCCACCAAAAAGAGAGCATTGGAATGTAACTTAAGATTTAGGATACAGATTGTATAGTCCATTGTGTGCTGCTATAAAGGAATACCTGAGAATGGGTAATTTATAAAGAAAAGAGTTTACTTAGCTCACAGTTTTGCAGGCTGTACAGGAAGCATGGCACCAACATTTACTTCTGGTCAGGACCTCAGGAAGTTTTTACTTATGGTGGACAGCAAAGGACAGCAGGCCTGTCACATGGTGAAAAGGGGAACAAAAGAAAGGAGGGAGGTCCCAATCTCTTTAATAACCGGATCCCACATGAACTCCTTGTTCTGTGGAGGGCACCAAGCCACTTATGACCCAAATACCTCCCAGTGAGCCCCATCTCCAACACTGGGGACCACATTTCAGCTTGATATTTTCAGGAAAAAACATCCAAACAATATCATACATAGATCTCTTTTGCTTTTGCTTCAGCACCTGCAAAATAGAAATGATAGTGGAACTCACACTGTATGTGGTATTTAGAATATTGCTTGACCCTTAATAAGAATTTAATAAATGTTAGTGTTTATTATTTACCTGAGTGCCCTTTGACATTACCTTTCTTGTTTTTATTCAATTCCACATTTCAAGAAAGAAGCACTAAAACAATATGTATTGTGCATCTCATATGTGCCATACATTTTTGTTTTGTTTTGTTTTAGGTGATGCAGACCTGAACAAATAAACTGGGTGTCTGACCTTATTAGGTCCACATTTGTGGTTTGTGTATCTGTCTGTGTCTGTATTTTGTGACTGCAGCTGAAGCCAATATAAACTTAGAAACCAGTAAACAAAATAATTCCATGTGTTAAGTGAGTTAAAATGAAATTAACTGTAATGAGAGAGGGAGTTTTTGGTTTGCAATTCTAATTGGCTAGGGGGAAGGAAGCCTATTTTTTGGAGGTATGGCTAAGCTGAGATGCATGGGTATATGAGGAAATTTTTAAGTTGTTTAAAATCGGAGAAAGAAACAATTTCAAGGAGAAAGAACAATAAATTGAGATAAGGAGTATCTTGAAATACTCAAGGAGCAGATGAGTAATGAGTGCAGTTGAAACATAGTGAGTTAGATGTATGTCTTCAGTGGGGAGGAAAGTAGGGACAGCATGCTTGAGACAACTTTGAAGAATGAGACAAGGGTCAAACCATATGTGGTTATTATTATTATTATTATTATTATTATTATTATTTTCTAAGACAGGGTCTTATTCTGTTGCCTAGGCTGGAGCACAGGTGGCATGATCACAGCTCACTGCATCCTTGACCTCCTGGGCTCAATCAATCCTCCCGCCTCAGCCTCCCAAGAAGCTGGGACTACAGGTGTGTGCCACCACTCCCAGCTAATTTTTTCTTTTGTATTTTTTTTTTTTCGTAGAGACAGGGCTTTGCCATATTGCCAAGGCTGGTCTCAAACTCCTGTGCTCAAGACATCCACTCACCTTGGCCTCGTAAAATCTTGGGATTGCAGGTATGAGCCACCATGCCTGGCCCCATATGAGGTCTTGATTACTGTGAAAGGAATTTGGATTTTATTTTAAGATACAGGGAAAGGTATTTGTAAAAGAGTAATTGATTTGTAAGAGAGTAACTATCAATGTTGGGTAGAAAATTGATTGCAAGAATGCTTGAGTCAACAGCAAAGGGTACAAAAGATAAGATAATGACTCCAATGATTGATCTAGAACCTTGATCAGGGCATAATGGAAGGGAGTAGAGGTGGCATGTTAGATGGCATGCATGGGTCGGGAGAGATGAGCCACAATATTGTCATGTCTTCAAAATTGGAGGCTACTCGAGAATTTTGGTATGCTGATAGAAATAATCAAACAGAGAAATAAAAATGATAAAGCAGGAGAGAGAAGGTTTAACCAAAGGAATCAACCCTTCTGATTAACATCCTTTATGACCACAACACATCCACCACTTTCCTAGGACAAAAGCACAGTTAGTAAAACTTACATAAAAGTACAACCCAGCGATGTCCTCAGAATATAAATGAGAAGCACCCAGAAAGCAGAAAATGATTGCGAGGCTCAAGGATGGCAGAAGAACAGAAAATGAAATAAAATAGTGTCAAAAATATGACAAAAGCCTCATCTTCTCTGCACATTCTACCTTGGAATTATTGCCACTCTATCAGCCCACTTAACTGACCCACATTGACAAATTGACTTGGTATAAAATTACTCCAAGAAGAAAAATTCATCCCATTTAACCTACAGGCAAGAAACTTCTGACTACCCTCACTAACCTCTGACCATCAGCTCAGCTCTGTGTAGCAGGTCTTAATGCCTCTGTTTCCTCCACTCCCTTAAAGAAAGAAACTGAGATTTCCTTATTTCCACATTTAGTAGGAGTTCCTTAAGTCAACATTGCTTGACCAATTGAGAATAAACACTTGAAGATCGAGTTAAAGAATAGGAGATTCTAAATTTCTTATTGTTTCTTAGCTGTTAAATAAAGTCAGAATCAGATCTGAACTAAAGCTATTTTTAGTGCAAAGCACAGCAAACTGAAATATGGCTGATGCACAAGGGACAGAAATGGGCTGTGTTGACCCTGCTGATCTGAAGTCCACTTAGGTGGAAGAGAGTAGATGACACAGACTTGACTAAAAGCACCTTCCAAACTGACCTGTCGTCATATAGTACAAAGATCAGCTTCTTAAGGAGCATAGATTGGGTCCTGTAGCACAGGATATTACTTTCATGTCACATATTCATAATACATTATTTTAAGTGTGTGACATTCTAGAGTAAAGCAAAGAAAAGTTGCCTTCAATGATGTTGGAACACTCATACATTGCCTTAGCTGTTCCCATATTCACATTATTTTATTTCCTGATGTGTGAGGCACATCACGCAGGAGGAATTACCACTACTAGTGATTTGTCCTCCAGTGTCCTCTGACTATAAACTATTTTGTGTATCTAATTCAATAAAACTGTCATTGGCTCTCTGATAAATGATTACATTGTAAAACGAATTATTC
The DNA here is from genome assembly GCF_000001405.40 of Homo sapiens. Taxonomy (NCBI): domain Eukaryota; kingdom Metazoa; phylum Chordata; class Mammalia; order Primates; family Hominidae; genus Homo; species Homo sapiens. Next base: position 83,674,035 of record NC_000002.12, read on the forward strand.
TTATACATTTGCCAAACTAGCAGTTCATATGGGCATCCATGACTACACTAAGTAGGTTGATGTATCATGGAAATAATTCAGAATCGACAAATGACTGAAAGTGAGTGGACTCATTGCCTAAGAATCAAGTATGTCCCTTCTCTCTCTCACCTTGTACTGTGCTTCACTGATTGCCTTAAGGAGGGAGGGTGCTGAAGTTATCATTTGACAGCCGTCAAAGAAATAATGTCATTGTTGTAGACGTTTCTCTTCCTAACAGCAATGCCCAAACCCTTGTTTCTTAGCAATCTTCCACAGAGAATCTTCAAAAGCCATGCACCCTCCTCAGCAACAAGAGAGGTCTACTGGGCCCAGTTATGGTCAATGAGACATAAAGGCATACTTGCTGCTGGTTTTCTGGGAAGAAAATTGACTTCTTAATAAGAAAGAAAGGCTCTTATCCAGATTTTCTGTCACACTCAAAATGACTGAACCATTTAAAATGTTTTATTAAGGCAACTTGTGATTTACTCAGGACTGTCTAATACCTGGTAACAATTAAATATCTAATTTAAAAAAAGGTTTTCAAAGTCAGAAAGACCTGCAATTAAATCTCAGGTGTGCCATATATAATCTCTGTTATTTTGAATATGTTTCTTAACCGCTATACATCTTAGTTTTCCTAACTCTAAAATATTATATTCCCTCATTGAGATTCTTTTTTTAATATTTAACATATCAATAGTGTAAGTTGCATTAAGAGATTTCCAATTTTGAGCCTGCATCATGATTCAAAAATAAACTTTACCTGATTGGAGTGTGTTATTTGTAAATATGGCCATGTAATCAGTTTACTAATATGTAATAATGTTTTAATCTATATATAAGTGATACAGGGTTGTTTTTTCCAATTTTGTTTTGAAATTGGGCCTAAATCAGGAAATTTGAAGTTTTTCATGATTTTCTTTGCTTTGAGAAAATTTAAATAAGAGAAATACTCATTTTCTTAATATTTTATAAATTGAAAAATAAAACCATATGTGCTTAGTGTCTCTGGAGAGGTAAATATTTGACTATCTTTTTTATATCCCTCCCCATGGCTAACAGCCTATCAGGATTTTAATCTTTCCTTGTGTCCATTTTCATCATAAAAATTTTCTTGAGAAATTATCCATCTCAACTCGACTTTAAAAATTGCAAATATTTGAAATTGCACATTAAACTCTCTAGCATGTATCAATTTGTTTTAAATTTGAATTGATATGTTTTCATATTTAAATTATTATTATTAATCTCTTATTTTAAATTTGGCAGGGCTCTGGTAAGGCTGCTATTTAATATTAATAATTTATTTTAAATAACAATTCTTAATTTTATGTTCTTTACACTTTTTTTATTATCCCATTCTTCTTCTTTTGTTCTTCATTTAGTGTACTCTTCTTACTTTATTTTGATTTGTTTCCCCTTGACTTAAATGCTTGCTTTATTTGTTTTGTGTATACAAAACTCTTAATTAGTTACTCACAAGCTATTCATACTCTCTTTTCCCTTGCCTTCCTCTACTATAGTTGTTATAAAGTACTCAACTTCAACTGCCTTGCACCTAGAGATACTTCTGGCGGTGGAGACCATGTATTTTCAGCACCTTGCTCATGGCCTTCTCCATTCTTCCCACCATAGACACAGATCTTATGATTGGAGGTATCACACACATGGATCTAGAGAATACTGAGGATAGCAAAGGGGATAAAGAAGAAGAGCTTAAGTATATTGATGACAACCCTGAGCAATAACAAAAAGCACTGGGTGGCTTGATCTTGACAATGTATTGGCTGGGATTATAAACATCTTACTTATTCAAGCCAATATTAGTTGGGTTTTCTTTAGCTTTCTGCTGAACACACTATGACTAATAATTTATATTGTTGCATTTTCTACCGTATGTATAAAGCCTATATGAGTACCATTGGACAAATATGTGTCTTTTATACTGGTTATTCTAATAGTCTAGAACACTCTACATATTGTTTTGTTTTCTCTTTTTACTCTTAGAGTTTTTATGAGTGCTTCCTTTTATTTATTTATTTACATATTTTTAATTTCCAGATAGATTTTGCATTTTGCATATGTTGTTCTGTTTTAGAATATGTGGCTCATGCCTGTAATCCCAGCACTTTGGGAGGCTGAGACTGGTGGATCACGAGGTCAGGCGTTCGAGACCAGCCCGGCCAACAGAGTGAAATCCCGTCTCTACTAAAAGTACAAAAAATTAGCCAGGCATGGTGGTGGGTGCCTGTAATCTCAGCTACTCGGGAGGCTGAGGCAGGAGAATTGCTTTAACCTGGGATGTAGAGGTTGCAGTGAGCCGAGATCGCGCCACTGCACTCCAGCCTGGGCAACAGTGTGAGACTCCATCTCAAAAAAAAAAAAAAGGAAAAAAAGAATATAGAGTGATTGTCTTCACTTCCTTTCTGCCAATTCTCTCAAGTCCACATCAATAGTAAGCAGTGCATCCTTACTATTTCTTAGAACTACTCTCGTACACATTACCAATATGATGAAATCAATAAGCAACTATCAGCTCTTATCTTTTCCAAATTATTGGTGTTATTTGATACATTTTTGTATTTCCTCCTTGAAACATTTTCTTTACTTAAGGATCAGGACATTAGTGTCTCTTGTTCTTTGTGGGGTGGAGGAAATTATGTGTCTCTCTTTTTTCGTCTCTTTTGCTGGTTTATTTTCATCCGCTTAATCATTAAATGTTACAGAAACCAAGAGTTTAGTTTTTAGACATCTCTTTATTTATACCTACTGTGTAAGTTGTATAAACAAATCACATGACTTTCAATATCATATATATACTCATAACTCACACATTTATATCTCTAGATTTTACTTTGCTTTTGACATCCAGATTTTTATATCTAACTGCTTACTTGATATCACTACCTGGATATCTTACAGATATCGCAAGCTTTATAGGTCAAAATATACTCATGATTTCTTCCCCTAAAACATTTCTCTCATAGTTTTCCCTATTTCCATGACAATTTATTCTCCTAGTTAGTCAAAAAAACCTGGGGTCATTCTTAAGTTTTCCTATTTTCACACAACCATCAGCAAATCCTGTCAGTTTACTTATCTTTCAGCAAAGTAAGTTTCTTTTATTGCTATTGGGTAACCTACCATAAATACATAATCTACCATAAATTTTTATTACCCTCAAAATACGTGTAAATTGATAATTCATATGTTTTTTGAGGGTAATAAAAATTGTAACTCCTTTCTTGTGTATTTGGAAAGAATGTTCACATATTCTTTGTATAAAGCTCCATAAACTTGCTGTTAAATTAGTTCTGATTTTTTAATTATAGCTAAGGTCAAAGAAGGCTCCAGCTTAGACCTGTTAATGATAGAAGATAGGCCGTGAAAGTCTGAGAAAGGAACATTTTAGGGAAACAGAAAGCAAGTATAAAGTTTCCCAGTTAAGAATGAATTTAACTATGCTGGAGATATGAGAAATAAGCCATCTTTACTGGAATGTAATAAATGAAGGCAGAGTAGAGAAAGGATATCTGATACTTAAAGCCTTTTGTATATCCAAAAAATGGGCTTGAAAAATGTTATTGCTGGGCATAGAATTTTCGGTTAACAATGTTTTGTTTTGTTTTTTGTTGATTGTTTTTGTGAATACTTTAAAGATGTCATTGCACAGCTTTCTGGCTTGTATTGCTTTCAGTAAGATTTTTGCAATCATTGCTACCTTTGATCTTCTGTATGTATCTTATTTCTCTGGATGATTTAATTTTTTATCACTAATTTTAAGCAATTTGATTATGATGTACCTTGATGTAGTTTTTCCATGTCTTCTGTTTCAAGTTCATTGAAACTTTTAGATCTGTAGGTTTATAACTTGCATTAAAAGACTTGAAAATTATGTTTCCTGTCTTACCCTCTCCTCTATTATGGGACTCTAATTACTTACATAGCTACTTAGTTTTATTTACAAAACAATGATGCTCTGTTCATTTTTTTTCTTTACTCTTCTCTCTCTATTTTATTTTGGATAATTTTTACTACTATATATTCAAGCTCACTAATATTTCTTCTGTAGTGTACAATTTATTGTTAATTACATTGAATGCATTCTTCATTTTAAACAATGTAACTTATGTCTCTAGTAGTTTAATGTAGTCCTTTTTTATATTTTCTCTATCTCTCACCATACACATGCTTTCCTCTAATTTATGGAACAATATATTGTATACTTACAGTAGATGTTTTATTATCCTTGTCTACTAATTTTATTATGTGAGTTATTTGGGGGTCATCAGCTTTATTGATTTATTTTACTTTTATTTACATTTCATATTTTTTGTAGTTCTTTCTATGCTTGGCAATTTTTGATTGGTTGCTGTATTAATTTCCAAGAGTAGTTGTAGCAAAGTTCCATGAACTGGCTAGTTTAAAATAACAGAAATTTATTCTGCATGTAAGAAAAATCCCCATGTAAGGGCTTCTTTATTTTTCTCTGTAACAATAAGTCTGGAGATGTAGCTGTTCTATCTTCCACTGGGTGGTTCTGACATACGTGCATATAATGGCTCAAAGGACCTAGGCAACAGAAAGCTTCAGTATCAGTTCAATCCACCAGCTTAAGCTGAATTTCAGGGCCCAAGTTTCTAAAATTCTCTTGACCTTCCCATCATGGACACAGAATGGCTGCTGAAAATCAGCCCTCATATCATTATGTAAACTGAAAGAATGATATTGAGCGGGACTATCAAGCACCAGCAGACTTCTGTTTACATCTCATTGGTGAGAATCCCGCCCTGAGAGCCCTAGCTGCAAAAGAATCTGAGAGAAAACTTAGCTTTTCAGCCTGTATAATAGAAGAAAATAATCAAAAGGAAGTTGCAAATGCATGTTGAGTAAGCCCACCAAAAATATTTCTCACTTTTCTTATAGAGGTTTAATTTCGGACCTCATTTTAGGATTGTTTCCTCCACCCCCATCATTTTTAGTAGCTGCAAACCTACAAGAAGGAAGTTGGTAAAAAAAATATGCTTAGCTGAAAACATAGGTCATTTTTTTAATAAAAAAGATGAGTGATGAGGCCAAAATTCACATTCCCTACTTTTTGAACTAGAATGCCATTGTGGTTACCTATCCCTGTCTCAACATTGCATATCAACATGTCAGGGGCAGACAATGTCTTCCTTTAGGTCAGAGGTCTCCAAATCAGAAGTAACCAAGAAGTTATGTCCTCAAAGAATTGTGTCTGTGGAGCCTTCTCTATACCAAGAGCTACTTTAGATGACATTGCCATTGGATCTTTGGAGTGGGTGAGTGAGTTTTGCAAATCAAAAACAAAGTGAATCACTGTGGACGGAGGGTAGAGTATGATAGGCTGCATTTCCCAAAGAGGTCCACATCAATATTTCTCATCTCTTAAACTCTTTTGCAGTATGACTTACATATCCACTCTTAGAAAGCAAACTCTATGATTCACCCCCTTGAGACTGGACAGGCCCTGAGATTGCTTTGACCGATAGGATATAGCACATATTATAATGTGTGAAGTGAGTTATACTCCTGTTATGAGTTGTGTCTCCCAAAAGTGATATTCTAAAGCCTTAATCTCTAGTTCCTCAGAATGTGACCTTATTTGGAAATTAGGCCTTGGTAGATATAATCAGGTTAAAATGGGCTAATTTGGGTGAGCCCTACTCCAATATGACTGTGTCCTTAAAAAGAGGAAAAAAGACATAGAGACACACACATAATACAGAGGGAAGACTGTGTGATGATAAAGGATGGGAGTGATGAGTCTACCAATGCCTACACCTTCCAGAAGCTAGGAAAGTGGAATGGAACAGCACATTTCAGGGAGGATGGCTTTGTCAATACCTTGATTTTATATTTCTGGTCTCAGAACTTGGAAATAATAAATTATGTCACTTTAAGCCGCCTAGTGTATGGTAGACCCATTTTATAACAGCCCTAGGAAACTAATACAGGCCCTTAGTTGACTTGGTAGCTTCTGTGTTCCACCTCTTGGGGTGCTCATTTTGAGGATCCTGACTCAGAACCATACCACTTGCCTTGAGAAATCTAAGCCATATGGAGAGGCCACATGTAGGCATTGTTATTACATGGTTGGTTAAAAGCCCCAGTCAAGCTCCTTTCTGACTTGATCAGTTGCCAGCCATATGTACGAGCCTTCTTGGATGTTGAAAGTGGTTGAGCCTCCAGATAACCACGTTCACCATCTGACTGCAGCTGCATGAGAAATTACAAGTAAGAATTGCCCAGCTAAGCCCATTCAATCTATAGATCCCTGAGAGATCATAATAAACTGGTATTTAAGCCACTAGGTCTTGGGGTACTTTATTATAAAGCAACAGATAATGAGAATTATAAGCTTGGCATTAAACCTCCAAAATCTTCCCAACTCTAGCTTTAAATTAAAAGTTGAATATTTAATATATGGGTACAACTTTTTATTGAGTGAGGCAAATTTCTTTAGAGTCCATTGGTATGATAAGAAAGAGTGTCTCCTAATTTTTAAACAGAGATAGTTCAGCCAGAATTTTCAACCATTTGAATTTGACATGTTGTTTTGAATACTGAAGGTTGAAGAGACACCAGGTCAAATTGATTAAATAATTGCAAAATAAGGCAGTAATAATCACAACTCAATCCTTCAGTATAAAATGTATTGAAACATCTATAAAAAGCATCTAGCGTAATTGCACTTGTCACTTGGCTGACCGTCAGCATGTCACTATCTGAGTAAAACAGTTCATTTACATGATCAGACCCACAACGTACACTTCTTGTTTGTTTAATAAACAGGTTTTTTCTTTTTACGAGGTTCTTGTTCAGCTATGCCAGCAAATTGCAGCATGTATCACCCTTACCTGCCAGGTTTTCTCAGTTTAATCTTCCTTTGAACTGAAATTACCATTATCATTTACATTAATCAATATTTACTTATACACCTGTGATGAGTTCTTAGTCCACCAAAAATACCAGGGCAAGGTGAATCACTGTCTCTTCTTTTAGGGGGAAACAAATTCATCACTAAATACTGGTTTTCAAAATTACAAATCAGAAGGACTCATGAGAAATGTAATTCTGAATCAAGAGATAATCTCAATTTATACTAAAATTTTATTTCTCACTACTGTTTTTCATAATCTTTTCATTTTAGACACATGGAAGGAATTGATCTCCACACCTTATACACCTTATAGCTTTTCAAAGTAATATTGAATGTTTTATACAGTGATTTAACATATCATATGAAAATTGTAGGCTTTTTATACATATAATTTTATGTATTAAAAGATATAAATGTCCTTCCAAAGATGCCCTTATTTATCCTAATGCTTCTGAATTATTTTCTCTGCCTTCCAGTATCTGATTACCCAGATCACACTCATCTCACCAAATTCTTAGACTACAATTTCAAGAAAGCCTTTTTCCCTTCACTCCACTAAAATGAATCTCACTGTCTCTTTAACATCAATTGGTGTTTATCTCCTCCTATTTTGTGGCTTTCCTGAGTTTACCATGAATTTTAATTATTTACTCAGTAATAAAGTTAAAGGTTATAAGTTCTATATATTTGGAATCTTAAGGATCTAGTCAACTTAGTATTTCTAAAGTCCTCCCTTGGTATCTATGGGGAATTTTTTCCGGGAACCCCAAGAATACCAAAATCATTGGAAGCTCAAGTTCCTAATATAAATTGGCATAATATTTGCATGTAACCTAAGCACACTTTCCCATATATGTTAAATCATCTCTAGATTACTTATAATACTTAATTCAAAGTAAATTCTATGCAAATAGTAAGTATATCCTATTTTAAAACATTGTTTTGAATTTTTGTATTTTTATTTTTATTGTTTATCTTTTTCAATATTATTTATCTGAAGTTGGTGAATTCCTAGATGTGGAGGTCCACATCAATATTTCTCATCCCTTAAACTCTTCTGGGATGTAACCTAAGCACATTTTCCCATATATGTTAAATCATCTCTAGATTACTTTTAATACCTAATTCAGTGTAAATTCTATGCAAATAGTGAGTATACTCTATTTTAAAACATACTGTTTTTTAACTTTTGTATTTTTATTGTTTATTTTTTAAAATATTATTTTTCTGAAGTTGCTTGAATTCCTAGATGTGGAACTCACAGATATGGAGGACCAATTTATATTCAATTTTTGTAATTAAGTAGCTAGCTGACTGACAAGTAGGCAGGTTGCAAGGAATAACTTTCCCTGTGAACAGCATTAAGTCAATAAGCTAGTAACAGCAAAAACATTGCAAAGTAAACCCAAGTGTTCCTAGGAATATATACTAGCAGATAAAAGAAGTTAGGCAGTGACTAATATAATAATATTTTTTATAATAGCCTAAAACTGGAAATTCTCCAAATGTTTATCATTGGAGGAAGAACAATTATATATTTATACAATGGAAGAATCTGCAACAACAACTAAAGAATTAACTACTGATGTATGCAATCACTTGGATGATTCTCAAATCATTTTTAATAAAAAAGCCAGATGCCAGCAAAGTATGTATTGTATGATGATATTTTTATAAAGTTCAAAAATAGGCAAAAAAAAAATCTGTTGATAGAAAATGGAGCGCTGTCCCTGGGCATGGTGAATTTAATGGAGTAATACTAAGACTTTGAAGGATAAGCTGACATATCCACAGTCACAGTGGAAAACAGTAACATCGGCAGAGAAACAAAAGACTGTGTATGGAAGATTTATAAATTAAAAAGCAAGTGTGGTTTAATTGATGTATATAGAGAGTGGAATGATGATTACCATGTGCTGGGAAGGGTAGTGAAGTGGCCGAGGGTGGGGAAGTGGGAATGGTTAATGGATACAAAACTATAAATAGAATGAATAAGGTCCAGTACTTGATAGCACAACAGGGTCACTTCAGTTAACAATATTTCATTGTGCATTTAAAAATAACTAAAAGAGTATACATGGATTGTTTGCAACACAAAGGATAAATGCACTAGATGCCTATATCAAAATATCTCATGTACCCCATATATATTTATAAGTACAGAAATTACAAATAAAATAATAAATAATAATAAAATAAAATATAAATATAAAAAATATCACTATTTTATGTAAATTTCTGTGTACTCACAGAAATTACAAATAAAATAATAATCCTCCAAAGCAACAAACATTATCATTTTTATCATTCTTTTGATGCTCACATGAAATATTTTAAAAACTGACTTCAAAAATTCCATGTAAGGAATCTCAAAATTTTTAAATTAGCTGCATTATCATATATTCAGCATGAAATTATATATACAGAAGAAATTTGCTAAATGCATTGTAAATAATAAGAACCAATATTTTGAAGTTTCATATGTTCGTGTGTTTGTGTGTAAACATATAAATTGTTAGATAGATTTACTTGGAAAGATCATACCCTCATATAAAATTCTAAAATATTTAGGAATAAATGATGAGAAAAAATCTATTTATCAAAGTATGAGGGATTTAGAACACTAGAAATTAAAGAAAAATCAGAATAACTGGAGATAACATATCTCATCAAAAGCAAATAGCTACTCAGTTCTGGAAGATTCTCATCTTGTATGAATGTGGTTCCCATGCTGACAAAGTTTCCAATTTTACTTTTTTAGATTTTCCAGGGAAAAGAACTTTATTTGAAATCTTTCAATTGATAAATGTTGGAAATCAACTTTTTAAAAAATATACTACAAGATAAGAAAAAATATGTCTGCAAACAAAATGTTCCAAAGCAGTGATCTTTAAAGTTAAGCGTCTGGTGTATTTCACATCTGTATCACCAGTGAACTTGTGAGGAATGCAGATGCTCAGGCTCTGTCAATACCCCTGCAAATTCTATGGAATCTCTTTTTAACAAGCTCATTCTTAGACACCGTCAAGTTTGAGAAACACCGTAAAGAACTAGAGGTTTGACTACAATTTCCCATCTTCCCAAAACAATTTTTTTTGTTTTTTTGAGTTGGAGTTTCACTCTTATCGCCCAGGCTGGAGGGCAATGGCGTGATCTCAGCTCACTGCAACCTCTGCCTCTCAGGTTCAAGCGATTCCCCTGCCTCAGCCACCGAAGTAGCTAGGATTACAGGTGCCTGCTACCACTCCTGGCTAATTTTTGTATTTTTAGTAAAGACAAGGTTTCACCATGTTGGCCAGGCTGGTCTTGAACACCTGACCTCAGGTGATCCACCTGCCTTGGCCTCCCAAAGTCCTAGGATTACAGGCATGAGCCACTACGCCGGACCCGTTTCTTTTTATCTTATTGATTCCTAACAATGGGTCTCTTTTTTCACATAGCATCAGATTTGGCATCAGTCAGAAAGACATAGAATTTGTCAGCTCATTGAAAGGAAATGCTTGGTCTTTTAAGAAAAAAGATATAGTAGAGGATAAAGAATTTAAAAACATTAAAAATGAAAAGATTAAAAGAAAAAGCATATTATATGGCCTTTAACTTTTGAAAAGAAAGCAATACATTGATTCACCCCTACCAAGGGACAAAATAAGTTCAGGAGACTGAAGTGTTAAAGGATACTCTTATTTAGATAGAAAAAAATGCAAAACATAAGAAAAAAACAAGAAGGTAGGAAGATATGCTGGTGAAGAGCTACCCATGGTAAACGCCCAGTGTAGTTTACTCTAGAACTATACATGCTCTGATTGAGTTTTATGGTAATACATCTTTCTAAAAGCAAAAACTTTTTTCTTCATCGTAACTACCTGCTATGTTGATTTGTTTTCTAAAGAAACCCTAAACCCTAACAAGGCAACGAAGAGTCATATAAACCTAATAAAAACCAGACAACTTGATTTTCTATCAAGAGACATTCTAGTGAATAATTAAATACAGTTCGATTACTTGCTGAGTTGTTAGCACAATGTTAGCCTTAGGGAAGGAAAGTGTGTTTCATAGTGTGTTGTATGTGTTTGCATTCACAAATAGCCAGTGGAATGTTATTAATCAAACATAGAATCTCAATTTCTTGTGTGTAGCAAATCTTCCAAGATCGAGCCACAATAACCATAGCTAAAGTGCAGAGACAGTAAATAATAAACACAGTGATATATTTCACCACTTATACTCCTTTAGTAAGATCTAGGAACAAACATAGACGAAAATGAAATCATTTGACTTTTCTCATATATTTCCCACCTGATGAATTGAACTTTGAAATTCATCAATGAAACTTTGTTTTTAAGCTTTTAGTCTTCTTCAATGGTCTCATTTTAAGTAATTGAATGGAATGACTAATTTATAAATGAGCTTGAACTCACAATCAACTGAGGACAGATAGTGTTTGTGAAAGCAGCTGGAATCAAATATGTTCAAAATAAGGCTCACTTTGTGATTGGGTAGATGACTGAGTTTACAGGCATTGCTGATCATTGTTGAGAGGAACAATCCAGAATAACTTCTCAGAACAAGTGGTTGCTTGAGACTAATAGGTTTGGACTGATTGGAAGAGGAGGAGGTGTGAGAAAACATGCAGATTGATATGACCTGGTGATAAACAAAAGGCAGACATTCACTCTGATTCCCAGTGGGAAATCTGCTCCTTTTCTCTCTCAACATTTTAAATAATTACAAAATAGCTAGAAGTTTCATGATGGGGGCAGGAGTATTGGTCCCCTTTGTGTTGGACGAAGGGTTTTTCCTCAACATTTTCACCATGTTGAAATGCAATACATGTATATTTATATAGAGATATTTCTTTTAGCAGAAGCTTGATCATTAGAAGAGGCTGCACTATTACAAGTGCTGCTGGACTTACAATGGGGTTATGTTTTCATAGACCCATCATAAGTTAAAAATTCATTTAATACAGCAAACCTACCAAACATCATAACTTAGCCTAGCTTACCTTCAAGTGCTCAGCCTACAGTTGGAAAAATCATCTAATACAGAGCCTATTTCATAATAGAGTGTTGAATATCTCATGTAATGTATTATTAAGTACGGTACTGAAAGTAAAAATCAGAATGGTTATATGGGTCTCTACTGAATGCATATCACTTTCATACCATTGGAAAGCAGAAAAATTATAAGTCAAAGTTGGGGACCATCTGTATTCCAATTGGATGTTAAATTTTTCTTTCCAACTTAGATGAGAAAACTTAGTCACATGTAAGTATTATAGCATAGTAATAAATAAATGTTAGGGAGAGTCAAATGCCACTGCTACACTATACCTTTCTTTCTCTTATGGTTTCTTATACAGTAATTACTATTTTTTTTTAACTTAAAAATAGAGTTTGGGGGTCCAGCTGAGTTTTGGTACATGCATCTATTGTGCAGCAGTGAAGTCTGGGCTTTTGATGTAATCATCACTCAAATAGTATACATTATACCCATTAGGTAAGTTCTCATCTCTCACCCCCTTCCACACTTCCACCTTTGCTAGTCTTCAATGTCTAGTTTTCCATTCTCTATGTCCATGTGTACACACTTAGTCAAATGCCATGAGAACATGCAGTATTTGACTTTCAGTTTATGAGTTATTTCACTTAAGATGATAGCCTCCAGTTCTATCCATATTGCTGCAAGAAAACAGCACATTAAAATTTAATGAGAGCTGTGGTATCTTTCATTATTCTGCTTTAATTTTTCCTAGTTTTGCCCATTTAAAAAGAGAAAAGAAAATAAAAAATAATTAGCTAGAAAATTATTCAATTATATGTAACCCACTTAATACTATAATACATACATAATAATACATAATAAACCCAGTATCTACCCACATGAAAACAATAAAAGGGTGATTTGTGTTGAAAGAGTCAAGAGATGTTATGAATATGGCAAATTGAGTTTGGTTAGACTGGGAAGGTTAGGGTTAGATTTGGAGAGATCTCATCAGGCTCCATGGGCAGGCTATGTCACTGTATTCAAAAGGCACAGCAAGTCCAAATCTGATTCAGACAGCCAGGGATACCACATGGTGCAACATGGCAGCTGGCACATTGAAGCAGTGATGCAACCACATTTGGAAGCCAGACAGAGCTTCTGTCAGAATCAGGAGGGTTTGCTTCTGTGGCAGTACTATGAGAATTACATCATGGTTGGAAACTGATGAGCATGGGTCATCAAACAATTTAAGTTTCATTGTCTTTTTTAACCTTATGTGGTAGTCTGCAAAGACTCAGTAGGCAAAATAAAATGGTTGATTTTAAATGCCTAAGTTTGGGATCAGATTATGGCAGGAGGTCATGATGTTCTGGTAGTATTGCACAGGCCAATAAATTAACAGAGACAGATTTGGATTATAAGCATTAAAGAAGAAAAAAAAACTAAACCAAGAAGTATAGTTAAATGAGAATGAATTTATAGTTAAGGCAAGAAGAAAGAGACAGTGTTGTATTTACTCATGGAAAGGGAGGACTAGGTATGCTAGGAACTTCCATTTCTTTAATTTTTAGTTTGTATAGAATCTCAAAATATCTCACGTTGTCATTGTAAATAATTTGTCATTGTAAAATAGGTGCATTTTCCAGAACAATACTGATTCTATGTGCTCTATTCACTCTTGAATAATTTCAGTCTTATGCCAATGCTGATAGGCTAAATGTGGACTGTTCTTTTCAAGAAAGTACAAAAACATCTCTCATGTGAGCAATCATTGAATAGAAAACCATTTGCAAGAGTAGATATCATCACGCCTGAATTCAAATGAAAGCTCATGTCATCTTTCTTGTTTGTTCTTTCTTCCCTTGAAAACAAGTCATTTTATTTTTAAGCTGTTCTGTGAACACAAAAATCTGATCAATAATTTATGTTACATTTTCTCTTCTTATGGATATGATGTGTTTGACTAAAATGTGGAGAAATTATTTGAGGAATGTTTTAAGTTACGAATGCTCAAAAGCAGGTTTTTGAAAACAAGAAGTTGATGGGTGTGGTTCATCTTTGTCTTGTTTTTCTAAAAATTTATCTGACAAAATAAAATAATGACTTGATTAAACATTTTAATTTTTGTATTTTTATTTGGATTTTCTTCTAAGGACAAGAATACAAGTGAATTCCTAGGCAGCACAAATATGTTCTCCAGAGGAGAGAAAAAGATAATGACACTTTCTCAGTGTGATAGGGGCTAGTACTCTGCCATGAACCCCACTCGTTTAGACACATCTACAATCAGTAGTAGGGAGCACTTGGCTATTGCTCTGCTTCAAAGTAAATGTGACATCTTTTATCTTCTCAAGTTCAAACAGTGCCATTTGTCATTAAGCGAAACACTGTACTGTGAGGATAGTTTTAGTCTTTTCTCACTTTTAAACCTCCCAGCTAGTAACATGCCCATTTGTCATTAGGAAGAACATTGTACTGAGGATGGCCTAAACGTAAAAGTTTTTGTTCCTGGAGCAGCACAGCCTCGAAAGTTAATCATAGAGATATGAAAGTTTGAAACAAAATTTTTATTTAAGAATTTCCCTCCACTGAATAGGAGAACAAAAATGCATCTTAAAACATTCCTACCTATTTCTTTTACTGATAGCTGGGTGAGCCAATGTCCATGCTGCTTGCTGAAGCACTTTAATTATAGTGTAATGTACCTACAGTTGGGTTGAATTGTTATAGAGGAAAGGTTAAGAAAGGATTGAAGCAGAAAGTTTTAAAAGTTTTTTAGCTCCAACTGTTCTGCAGAAGGAATTTGTATATTCAAAGGAATGCAAATAATGAGAGTTAAGGGGCTTGGGAAAAGGGGAAAAGAAGAACATTTTTATCATCACCCTGGGTCTTTTTGGCGGTAAAACAAACAAAAACATCCTCCTACTGTTGCACAAAGGAAGCATTTTGGAACAAATGGTGCAAAGTATTTGTAGGAGAAGTTATATACCTCCTGAAATTCTGCACTCTCATGCATTTGTACAGTATCTGATTAGTAAAACAAAGCTGAGGACAAGAGAAACCTTTCTGTATTCCTGCCCCCACACAATTAAAGAACATAAATACTTCCAGATGTAAGGTGATAACCAAATAAAGACTGATGTTTCCTACTAGAGAATTATGTTAGAAATTTTAACGGGCATGCATCTTCAAAAGAGTTCCTTAGTTCAATGGTTCTCAAGCCTTAGCATGCATCAAAATCACTTAAAGAGATTGTGAAAACACAGATCAGAAATCTGGGAGAAGCAAGCTGCCATGTTGTAAGCATCCCTACAGAGAGACCCAAGCCTGACTGTACCCTTTTAGAGACCTTGGGCCAGAACCAGCCAGCTAAGTCACTTTCAGATTCCTGATTCCTGACCCTCGGAAACTGTGTGAAGTAATAAGTGTGTGTTAAGATGCTAGGTTTTGGTACTCATTGTTATACCAAATAGATAACTAATAAAATAGTACAGAACACTGTACATAAAACTCCAAACTTTGAGAAATTGTAGACAAAGGCTTGGAATAAGCTTCAATTAAAACCTCAACTCTGATATATGGAATAAGTAGAAAGGTGACCACTATGAAGTACCTTTTCATGAGTCATAATGGTAGGTGGACTGGTCTAGGAAAAAAAAAAAAGGATCAATGACTCATCCAGAACAAATTGGCAAGAAGAGAAGTTTCAAATGAGATCAGGACAAAGCTGTTCCAGGTTCATTTATTTCAAAAAAAGATTTCATAAATACATAAGATCTGAAATTCATGGCATGTATAGTTTTAATTTATAATTTAAATACACATTTAAATGTATACATTAATCTAATTTACAAAACTTGCTTACATATATGTGTCAAATTCAAAATAATTGTTTTATAAACCTGCATGTACAACTTTGTAGAGGTTGACTTCTCTATTAAGTATACGGCTATCTCTATGAATTATCAAATAATAATATCAATAAGCAAGGATGGCAAATATGTTTCAAGTTATAAACCAACTCTCAGGATTTCACAGAAATTCAACAGATCACTGTATTAAGAACTCTGACCCCATAATCAGACTAAATGAGGAAAATGTGATCATTTGCAGATGTCTGTCTTGGGTATAGTGTTGGTAGTTATTGACATCTCATCAGAGAAATCAAGGCAATAATAAAAAATAGAATCTTGTTTCCCAGAACAGATGAAACAGATAAGAAGCACCTGTAGGTTTGGTTACTTATTTGCTTTGGGTAAGGCAAATTCAATGAAACTCAGCTTACATCAATTCAATTTCACAGAAACATGTGCCATGCAATAAAATGACCCTTTAGTAAAATGAGGAATAGGGCATTCACTTTGAGATCTTGAATATATTTTTCACAGATGTAAATACATATCTATATAAAAGGTTTTCTCCTTTTGTACTACCACAACACACTAACTTAGAAATAAGTTATGCACAATATGCACTCAAAAACAGTAACAGTGAAGCCAAATGTCTTCTTCTCTGACATGATCATTATCATCAGTTTGCTCCAGCCACTTCAAATATTAAATCTACAGTTAACACACAGACTGGTGTTAAAAAGGCAGAGTGATGTATGGATCCAGTGATTCCTGTTATACAGTCAACTCTAAAATATCACCTGTTTTCACTCAGGAATTCATATCAACCTTGGTCTCCATAATTCAGTTTAAGAACAAATGATATCTACTATCTTTTACTATACTTACACCTAACAAATGTTTTAGCTGATTTTTTCTCATCACAGAATTCATATGGTTTTCACTGCAATGTCAGTCTTATTTCATTTTCTTTGTATGAAAAAAATACACTATACAACCCTTGAATCATGCTATCTGTAAATATGATATGAATCAATGACTATGATTTTCTAATAATAAAATGTGAAATATTGTAAAGCACCTTGAGATTTCCTTTTTACCAGAATAGGGAAGTAAACCAGTGGATGTTATAGTGCATAAAAGTTTTATGGAAAGAACACAGATAAGTTGTAACCTTTGAGGTCTGTACATTCTGGAGCACAAGTAGGAGTTTGAAATATCTGGGTTCTAGATTCAAAAATTAACTTTTCAGAAGTGCTAACCTAAATTATATATATTAGTTTTTCTAGCCCTTTCGTAACAATATAACACAAATGAAGTGGCAAAAACAGCATAAAGTTGTTATCTCACAGGATGCCAGAGATCTGAAATTAAAATGAGAACATGATTGGTTCCTTCTCAGGACTGTCAGAGAGAGTCTGTTCCACGTCTCTTTTCCTAGCTTCTGGTGGGTTGATAATTGTTGGCATTTCTTGATTTGTGGAATCATCCATCCCTCAACGTCTGCCTTCATCTTCACATGGTATTTTCCCTGTGTGTGTTTGTCTATACTCAAATTTCCTCTTTTTATAAGGACACCAGTCATATTGGAATACAGCCTATCCTGATGACCTAATTTAAAATAATTATATCTGCAATGATCCTATATCTAAATCAAGTCACATTCTGAAGTACTGATAGTTAGGACTTCAACATATAAATTTGGGGGGAGAGGTGGGCACAATCAACTCACAGTGTCACGTGCATTAAGAAATACTGTTGTGGTCATCTTTAAAAAGTACAATCTGGCAAGAAGATTTTATTTGGTCCAAGTGAGGTATAAAACAAAGCCATAGCCATGGATTATATACTAAATTGTATGTGTTAGTCCGCATGTTATATTAAGTGTCATATACTTAATAAGCTCTGTGTTAGGAGTTATTAGAGTATCAGAATATTGAAATGAATCAAGAATAATGTATATTTTCCTTGCCCTCATAAAATGCCCAAGCCAATGAAACATAAAACATGACTGTAA
The DNA here is from genome assembly GCF_000001405.40 of Homo sapiens. Classification (NCBI taxonomy): domain Eukaryota; kingdom Metazoa; phylum Chordata; class Mammalia; order Primates; family Hominidae; genus Homo; species Homo sapiens. The sequence continues at coordinate 83,691,817 of NC_000002.12, forward strand.
ACATTTGTAAAGGATTTTCTTTCATGCTAAAAGGCTGTACACATTCAGCAACTGGGCTCAGAGATCAGTCAGTTCACAAAGGAGGTGGGCCCTTGACTGGGTCTTGAGGAAGAGGAACCAGTTCAATTCATGGAAGAGTTCTAGTATAAAACAAAAGCAAATAAAGCAAAATTGTTTCTCTGGAGGGACATAAAAGATAAGATAGCTATGCAAATGGGCATATAAAAGAAGATATAAAATCTCGGGAAGAATAGAGAAAGATCTTTGAAGATGTTAGCATTTGAGATTAACTGGGAAAATGCAGAAGATTTGATATATAGAAAAGGAAGATAGAAGTTTATGATTTTCTGAATAAGGCATATTACAGAAATATTCATGTAGTCTAATGTAGCAAGAGTATATATTTAGTAAAAGGTGAAAAATAAGAATAAAAAAATAAATAGAGTCACAAAGTAATGAGCCTTATACTTTTCCAAAGAGAATGTATACTCTGGATAGCCAGTTTGTACGTATGAGGAAGATGGTGAAATGACTGGACACGAGCATTAAGAAGTTATCTCGCTGGGCGCGGTGGCTCACGCCTGTAATCCCAACACTTTGGGAGGCTGAGACGGGCGGATCACGAGGTCAGGAGATCGAGACCATCCTGGCTAACACGGTGAAACCCCGTCTCTACTAAAAATACAAAAAAATAAGCCGGGCATGGTGGCGGGCGCCTGTAGTCCTAGCTACTCGGGAGGCTGAGGCAGGAGAATGGTCTGAACCCGGGAGGCGGAGCTTGCAGTGAGCCAAGATTGCACCACTGCACTCCAGCCTGGGTGACAGAGCGAGACTCTGTCTCAAAAAAAAAAAAAAAGGAAAAAAAAAATTTATCTCATTCTGGGAATGCCGAAAGGCTGAAACAGAAAAAATATGTAGAAGCAATGAAATCTGGAGTCCCTTTCAGTGATTGGTATTCTTGTTTATTTTTAATTCCATCAAACTACCTTCTCCACCAGTAGTCATGCTTATCAAAATGTTCCCCAAAGCATCATATTTGCTAAAGAAATAACTTGAGAATCTTTCTTCTTGGATTTTTTTCTTATATTTTCTTTGATATTTCTTTAGTGGTTCAGATTCAGAACAAATGTTGCTATCCATATATTTTGTATTGTCATGCATTTTAATATAGAAATCACTCATACAAATAATATAAGTTTAAACATGTTGAGTCTTCTACCCAACTTTCATAGTCTTAACCATTCTACATTATGGAATATTCATACTTCCGTCAGGATATCTTTATTATTCTGTGTGATACAGGGTCATCTTACACAGATACTAAATGAGGGTACCAATGGCAATCCATATATCAAATATTGTAACTGGATAAACATGTATATTATATTGTAAATCATACATAATTATATGTAAAATTGATGTATTTTATATTAAATATTACACATACATAAATATTTTCAAATTACTAAGCTCAATTTCTTCTTTATTTTTAGATAAACTATAAATTTTTACACAAATTTTAGGATTTTCTTCATGTGCTCCTCTGGATAATCTTCCAAACTCTTAGGAGTGCATTAATCTCACTTGGGAGATATCTAGAGTAAACCTGTGAAAATGAAGCTGCTGAAGACAGGAGATGGAGAAGAAATAATAAATGTAGACAAAATGAAATTGGCATCTCACTGAATATAGGGTTTTAGACAGTCCTTTTGAAAACTCTCATTGTTTGTGTGGAATATTGGCTAGTTTCGGCATAAAACAACAACAATTAACAATACGAACATCAAAAGCTTTATCTTGGTGTTCAAAACATACTGCTTAAACTATATGTAGTGTTTTCAATGTGATATTAAATTTACCTACATTACCAAACAACACCCACTAAGAAGTGAATGTATCAAGAAGCTATCCAACATAAAGATTCAATTTGGGTAACGGAATGCACAACAAATCAGCATGAATTTTGTGTACTTTCTACCATAATAAAGAATTATCTTTCAAAAAAGGAAAACTGGCAAAACATTTGTTGGAAGAGCCCTTTAAGCTAAGTGCTAAGTACAATTCATTCCAACACATTTCAGTATTCATCTTTTTCAACAATCTCATCCAAATAATCAGCTGTCATTATATCAGAAGACAAATATATCCATCAAGAGGATGTTAGAAGAAAAGCAGAGAGCAAGACAAATGTCTAAAAGTTTGGGACAAAACACAGTAAGAACAGAATCTAGAATGGGAAAGATGCATCATGAGGACACACAGTGGAGACATAAACAGAGACTAAGTTTATCCCACAACACAATGAGGCAGAACCTCTTTTTATTTATTTATTTTTTGAGACTGAGTCTCGCTCTATTGTCCAGGCTGGAGTGCAGTAGCACAATCTTGGCTCACTGCAATCTCCGCCTTCTGGGTTCTAGCAATTCTCATGCCTCAGCCTTCGGCTTAGCTGGGGTTACAGGCACCCGCCACGTGCCTGGCTAATTTTTGTATTTTTAGTAGAGACAGAGTTTCACCATGTTGGCCAGGCTGGTCTCAAACTCCTGACCTCAAATGATCCACCCGCCTCGGCCTCCCAAAATGCTGGGATTACAGGAGTGAGCCACCGCGTCCAGCCCAGCAGAACTTTATTAATGTGGCCTTGACCTCCCTCATTAACCAGGGAGCTTCACAAATTTCAGATATTATTTGTATCTCTAACCTCTTGCTTCCTGTTTCTAATAAACTTTTTTTTTTTTTTTTTTTTTTTTTCAGATGGAGTACTGCTGGGTGGCCAGGCTGGAGTGCAGTGGTGCGATCTCGGCTCACTGCAATCTCTGCCTCCTGGGTTCAAGTGATTCCTCTCCCTCAGCCTACCGAGTAGCTGGGACTACAGGTGTGCACCATCACGCCCGGCTAATTTTTTGTCTTTTAGTAGAGACAGGGTTTCACCATGTTGGCCAGGATGGAGTCAATCTCCTGACCTCAACGATCTGCCCGCCTCGGCCTCCCAAAGTGCTGGGATTACAGGCGTGAGCCACCGCTCCCAGCTTAATAAACTTTCTTAACTCTCACAGCTTCCCTTCCAGTCTTACATAGCTTGTTTCACATAAGAGTTACCTAGCTAAAGCAACTCATTTCTTTAAGTGCTGAGCATTTCCTCCTGTATAATCTCTACTTGGGGCTGCTTACCGGTTCTACTCTAGTTTCTACACATTGTCATGAGATGGGATAGTTCCCTTGACCCCCTTCACAGGCATTTCACCCCCTTCAATCATTTCACTTAGCTTGATGCTGGCCACTTCTCGCGAGAGGGAGCCTGTGAGCAAATGAGTGTGTGAACCAAGTGAACAAACTCTGGAACTGAAGTGAACGAATGCTGAAACCAGCCGGTCGCACCTCTCTGGTGGGAGCAGGCTTTGTGCAGGGCCCGCAGCAGCGTCCAAGAGAGTTACAACCAATGGTCTTTCAGCTCTGCCGTCTGGGGACGGCCAAGTGCCAACCACCTCAGGGGAGGGTCAGGGTGGCAGCCCCTGCCCTCCCGACACCCAGGTTCTTGTCCAGCATCCAGGAAGAATCAGGTCACACGAACTGTTTGAAAGGTGATGAATGCGGAAGACTTTATTTAGCGGTAGGTGGCTTTCAGCCGAAAGGGAGGCTGGAAAGGGGATGGGAAGGTGATCTTTCCCTGAAGCCGGCCATCTTTGGCTGGGCTCCTCTCCAAAGCTGCACCGTTAGTTAGGCGCATCTATTTGTAGTCTCTCTTACTCAGTTGCTTCTTGGCTTGCTGCTCAGCCACTTGTATCCTCCATGTTTAGCTGCTTGTGTTGCTCTCGGAGCTGAAGTCTTTTATGAGCACAGGATGGGGGCGGGACAGGCCAAAAAGGCAACATTTGGGCGGAAAAACAGGTTCAGCTGTTTTCACTTAGGGCCGCGGTTCCAGGCTTAAGGGTGTGGCTTAGCCCAGAGCGCAGCCCTTCTGTATCAGTATCTGTGACATATGTATAGTCTGGATACTTAACTCTCTATTTTGCTCCAGACCACAGATCCTATGTGATCCTGACCTCATGTGTCCTCCCTTTTACTTTTCTAGATGTTTTGTTTGGTGATATATTAGATGCACTACTTGCTTTTCTGCCCCTGACCCAAATCAAATACCTTTTCTGGAATTCTTATTAAACATCATTTTTTTGACAAGAAACCTGCTATATACCTCTCCTGAGCTTGTGAAAGTTTACAGCTAGAGAACTGAGAATTGGTATTCTGGTTTTGTTTGTTGGTTTTTATGGCAGAGGTCAGAAAACTACAGGCCATAGGCCAAATCTTGTCCAATGCCTGTTTTTATAAAGAAAGTTTGATTGAAATAGTCATGCCCGTTGGTTGATCTATTGCCTGTGGATGCATTTGTACTATGGAAGAGTTCAGTAGTTGAGACAGCGACCATATGATATACAAAGCCCAAAATGGTTACTATTTTGCCCTTCATAGAAAAAGTTTGCTGATCTCTGAGTTAGAATTTTTAAGAAATGAGGAATCCATTTGAGTAATGCAAATATACAGTATTTAACTTCTCCAGAAGAAAAATGGAGGAAGTGAAGGTTGGTGCAAAAGTGGGAAAGGTGGGATTTTTCCATGGCTACTCTCATTCTGGATTCCCCTTCTTCCCTTTAGAACAGATGTCCAAATACTCTCACTAATCTGCTGCAGAAAAATTTATTTCTCTATGACTTCCTCTGATCCTGTGGCATGTGCCTGAACCAAAGCTATCCAGTAGAATTTCCTGTGATGATGAACATATTCTATATTCTGTATTTTCCAGTAGAGCAACCAATACCACCATGTAGCTATTGAGTAATTAAAATGTTGTTAGGGTGATTGAAGAACAGACTTCTTAAATTTTATTTTATTTTAATTAAGCTAAATTCAAATTACAATAGCCATACGTAACTAAGGGCAGTCAGATTGAACAAAACAGTTCCAAACTTGGATCTTCTCTCTACTTGAATTATCATTAAATATTTGTATTTTCTTAGTAGAGCGATAGATTTGATATTAGATATGGGAATCTCCAAAAACAAATAATGCTCTTTATATTGAGTCACTAATATTGCATATGTATTAGCTCTGAAAGCTATATTTGTGTCTAAAAATAGAAAGATTCTTTATTCGATGAATGATAACTTTTTTTTTCAACCCACTCTGCCAAACCACACTCTGGGCCTTGGGGCTGTGGCCGAGAATGAAGCACAGAGACAACAATAAACTACTGTGTACTGGGGGAAGTTATTATCAGTTTCCCATGAGAGAAAAAAGATATCACCAAGGCAGCTGGGAGATTCATCTGCCTTGGTTCTGGATACAAGAAATCAAATTGCTCCTTAGATTTTATGTTAACCGGTCAGGATTTAGGTGAAATTAGACCTGAATTTACACGGTATACAACATCCATTTAAAGTGGTCACTTAAAGTGGACCAAATGACAGAATTAAAGTAAATCTTTGGAAGAACACAATCTTTAATGCAGGCCTTACAGATTCCTCCCAGATAAACTTCCAGCAAATATACAGGTTAAACACACACACACACACACACACACAAACGAGGCATAAAAGGTAAGAATAATTTAAAGACATGTAATGTAATACCAGAATTGCATAGACAAGGACTTCAGTGAAGTATAAGCCAGGACTTAACGTTTGAAACAATGTAAGAATGACCTCAGAGCTTTTCAGAAATTATCAGGGCTGCTCCTTCAACCACAGGCCCAGAGTTCAATGGCCTGTGGAGCAGAATGATTTCAAAGGAGAGGCCCTGCTGCCAGCACTGCTTCATGTTTCAGGCTTGGGTCCGGCCCTCTATCATTCTGCTTTTCTGTAGCCCCAGGTAAAGCTCAAACAGACCCCTGCTGTAGTGTGATGCTCCCAGCACAGCTGTAGGGGCAGAATCTCAGCTTTAGTGTGTTCAGGAGTGGGGACCTCCTCCCCAGTGGGCCTGGAGGGTGTAGCATGTAGTCAAAGAAGATTATTCTCAAGACTTAGGGTTTTGGACTTGCTGGGGACTTGTCGCTCCTTTCTTCTTTCTCTCTTTTGGAATGGGAATGTCTGTGCTGAGCCTGTCTCATCACGATATTTTGGAAGCACATGATTTGTTTGACTTCACAGATTCACAGCTGAAGAGCAATTTGCTTTAGAATGAATTCTGCCTTTAATCTCACCCAAATCTAATTTAGATGATATTTAGATGAGACTTAGGACTTACCCTTTAAAATGGATACTGGAACAAGTTAAGACTTTTGGGGCTATTGGGATGAAATGAATGTGTTTTGCATGTGAGAAGCACATCCATTTTGGGGGCCAGGGTTGTGATGCTATGGTCTGAATGTTTATATCTCCCTAAAATTCATATGCTGGAATCTTCACCCCCAAGTTGATGATGTTATAAGATGGGGCCTTAGGGAGGTGGTTGGGTCATGAAGATAGAGCCCTCATGAATTGGATTAATGGTTTTGTAAAGGGAGCCTGAGAGATACCTCTCCCCAGTTGGCCATGTGAGGAAAGAGTAAGATGTAAGCTAGGAGGAAGTAGAAAGTGTGCCCCTCACCAGATGTCAGATCTGCTGGTTCTTTGATCTTGGATTTCCCAGATTCCAGAACTGTGAGAAATAAGTTTCTGTTTATAAGCCACCCCTTCCCAGTCTATGGTATTTTGTTATAGGAGCTCAAATGGACTAAAACAGTAGGCATCCATAGTTTTTACCTAATTTTCATGGGAGTAATTCTAATAGCTAATTCATGAGTTAAAGGACCAGCAGAATGTTTCTGATACAGGGTTTGGCAAACTAGATTCATAGGCCAAATGCCGAGAAGCCTGTTTTCATAAAGGTGCACTGGAAATTTAGACATGCCAGTTATTTACATATTTCCTATGGCTACATTTATTCTACAATGATGAGCAGAGCTGAATATGGATCACTAAGCTAAAAGTATTTTTATCTGACCCTTTACAAAAATGTTGGCTGAACATTTAGGTAGATAGGTAGATAGAAATATATTGATTATAGAAATATAGGTAGATAGACATATATTTTATTTATAGGTATATATAAAAATATCAAATATATTTCTTTACAAACATGGCATATTATGAGCTTTTAAACAAAGGTTGAACTATATCAAGTACTTTTTTCTACTGTTGGTATTATATCTGCTTTACTCTTTAATCTTTTAGTGTAGTATTTTTAAAATTAAATTGTAATGTTAAAGTATTTTATCACTAGGATAAACAATATTTATTTATGATATCTTCTAATACACTGAGAGTTTTAACTTGAATATTGGGGGATATTTGCATCTCTATAAATAATGTGTTTTATAAGTTTTCTGTATTATTTCTATAATTTTAATATAATTACATTTATCTCATGGGGAGGAAAGTACATTATAAATCATTAAAATGTCACATTAAGTATATATTCTGGATGTTTTCTTTAAAAATTTACTGAGTTACATAAGTTTACTGCCTCGGGAGCATTTTTGATGTTAAAAAGTTTTAATTTCTCCCACATATTTCATCTATTAGCATATTCTATGGCTCTTGAATTATAATTTCTAAAGTATATTTATGCTATTTAGTTTTGCAAATCTATTAAAAATGATCATATATAGCAATGGTCAACTATAGACACTGTCATAGCAATATCTAGATTATAGATTATATTGCCAACTAAAAATAAAATGACACTCGGGTGATTACAAATGGTACATCATTGTTTTAACAATAAGCATTACCCTAAACCTAAGAGGGTAAAAGATATACAGTTACAGGCAATTAAATTTCCTTTCCTGTGAATGTTTTATTTATATCCTTGAACTACTTCTTCTTTGAGGTTTTTTTTTTCTCATTGATTTGCAGGTACCTTTTATGTAATCTGTAGATTATCATTTTGTCAATCATAATATTATGATTATATTACTCTTCCAGTCTGGGCTTGTGTTTTCATTTGGTTTATAGCTTGATTGTGGTTTGTAGCTTGGTGTTTGGGGGTGATAATGCCTAGAGTTACTTCATTCTCAGATGGGTAGGCAATTCCTAACTATCCAATGAACCCAATTGTTACCTCCTGCAACAAACAGGTACAGAGGTTGTCCCCGTACTCTGAAAGATACTTATGTCTGGGCTTCTATGTCTGTGTCTGCTTCTTACTGCTTACAGCTTCAGGTGTAAACCACAACTTAACATGGTAGATTCTCTCGTTTTTCACTTTAATCTCTAGAAATTCCCTTTCCTTGTATTTTAACCTATGATTTTTTAAAGTATTTAAAACATTCAATATAACATTTTTGATGTTTGCAATGGAATGAAAAGATCTCAAAATATGTTCAATTCACAGTATAAACTTTTAAAAAGTTGTATTTTCTGCTTCTGTTTTAATTTTAATATTACTTTATATATAAATATATGTGTATATATATAATATATGTGTTTGTGTGTATTTTCTCCTAGTTTCTTTTCTGGGATGGAGTGGTGGTAAGGATTATTTTAATGTAGCTTTTGAAATTGTCTAATGAATACATTTAAAACTATAAAATTCCCTCTTTATTTTCTCTTTGGCTATATCCTTTAGGTTGGAATATATAGTATTGTCTTTGTCCTTTCCTTCCAAACAGTCTAATTTTAATGATAATTTTAAAATCTAATTTTAAAAATCTTTTTAATGCTAGTGTTACTTATTTTAAAAATACAAGTGATTTTTTTGACTCCTCTGTTATATTAAATTCTGACTTTATTTGGTTTTTGTAAGAGATTATAACATACCAGCTCTGTGTTACGGCAGTTATTGAGTTCACGTGTGTGTGCATGCACATGCTCAAATGTGACTGTTTTCTTGTAAATGGCCTTTTGAATTAAAATTCTCTTTAATTCAAATACACAAATATGCATAGGTGCTGAGCCTGAGGAGACCACAGAGAATAGAGTTCTTCTCAGGACGAGATTTGGCAAGAGTGATGATATCAGCTCAAGCTTTCTTCTCATTTTTTTTGTTTTGTTTTGTTTTGTTTTCTAGTAAGAATACAAAGCATACACGTGGGGGCAAGAACACATGGTAATACGAAAAGAACAATCCCCAGGATCTTTTTCCCCATTCACAGACGTGTTTGAATTTTGGTGATATCATGGCCCATACTTAAAGTGTGATCCATCACATCACAAAAGCCCAGATTATGAACTTGCTGCTTTTCTCCCTCTATAAGCTAAGAAAAATTGTGGTCCTATTTTTTAGTCTAAGAATTCTTTGTTTTGCTTTTTCAAATGTTATTTATGTTTTCTTTCCCAGTTTAGTTTGAAAGGAACTTCACATATATATGCTCAAGTGCATTTGACATACAGTAATGTCAATGTCCATTAAACTTCCATACATTAATTTCCATTTCCCAGTACCATTAAATAGCTTATGAATGACCAACTTTTCTTCTGAGAATAACTAGCAACCTAAATAAAATACAAAGACAACATAGGACTGCTGAAATAATGAGGATGAAGGAACTGAAATTCTGTAAGAAGAGAACCATGAAGATGTCAGTTGATGGTTTTCTAGGGCCATTTACCAATGTTGGGTAAAGAACAAGAGACCAATATAATGGATTTTCATGGTCAGAGGGCTACTTCTGGAAGAGAGAAAAACATCTAAGCATTTGCCTGTCTTGTGGTGCTTATGAGAGAATATTGTAGTCCTGGGTGGTCAAGTTGTTCTTATTTCTGGATACACTTAAAATGGATATACATAAAATGTAAAGAATTTCGAATGGGAGTATAAAAAGTGAATGCCCTATAAAGCAAATATAAAATACAAAGCTATATAGATATAGGTATTGATACAGATGTGAAGGTAGATTGATTACCTTTATCTTTCTTGCTTCCTTATTCTTTTTAATGAATAGGATATATAGTAAAAGTCTGAGTTGCAGTAAAGATGAACAGAGGACATTTGCCTTACTTCAATTATCAACATCAACCTACTGAGAAGTAAAGCAGATAATTCTAAAAAGCCTCTACATGTGCAGGTGTTAATTAGGGCCTTAAAGTGATTACTAATATTTTAGGATCACAGTTTAGCCTATTAAAATAACAACAATCTCTTTGTTAGTATATGTTAAGCTGTATAAAAACAGTTTCTGTGTTTCACATGTAAGATGTTTCTTGAGTTTGTTTAGTTCACTAATTTTATGGTTCAGACAGAGTGGGAGATCTAACTAGTTTAGTACGTTCAGCGTACGATATAGCTATGTGAATCAAACACGTTTCAATATTCTTCTGTCAAAGTACAATATTAAATCAATCAAAGAAATAGTTGTGGCCTCCAGCTGTGTTATATTATTAACAATAATCTCTAGAGGTAATTATTATTCTCTACTTTTTTGAATCATTTGATATGCTTTGAATTTTTTGAATCTTTTTTTAATCACATCAAATGATTCAAAAAAGTAGAACATCATTTTAAATACATTAATTACCACCAGCCATTAGTGATGAATTCTCTGTCCCCTCCAAAAATGTTTAGCAGTGCCTAACACACACAGAGATCTAGTGGTGCCATAAAAGAAATTTTGAATAATGAGTGTGAAACATAGCATGCAAATAGTACAATTTAACTTTGCCATTTTACCTTGATTATCTTCTCTGTACAGATACAGTATATAATTTAAGGTGACACGTCTTTAGTAACCTGCTGAACAGTTGTAATCCTTGGAAATGCCAGGCTTCCTCACAAAGTCCTGCTCTTAAAAATAAACAGCATCATCTGTGTTTTATGTCATATGTGGCTTTGGCCTCAATCTCTACCTTTAACTCATCAGGAACAATTTCATCAGTTACATGACTTCTGAAAAATAAGTGATTAACAATCATTATGCAGACATACAAACACCACTGAAAGGGGTCTGCTCTGAAAGCAGCTGAATGGCTGATTTTTCTGTTTCTAATTAAATGACTTTCTGATAAATATGCCACTGTGTTTATAGATATATTTATATTATTTGCATTTGTTAAGTTCTTCAAAGTTTGTAACTGCTATATCTTTCCAGTGTAATTTATCGTCTATCAGTCATAAACATGTCTCCTTGTTCCATTGAATTCTTTTCAACTTTTATTTTCTTTTGTGTCACACTGTCTTTACCTTACTTTATTTTGTCATTATTTGTGTAGTGAATTACACATGTTTTTTTCCCCAAGTTTTTTACATCCTTTGGTTTTAAGTGTGTCACTTATAAACGGCTGGATTTTATTTTTGTTATTGTCCCTGATCTTTGTATGATGGTAGTAACAATAATAGCTAACATTGTTCTCTTACTACGGCCAGGAGCTGTTCTAAGTGCTTTACATGTTAAGGATTGAATCCCTAGAATAATTTTAAGAGATAGTTACTAATCCTGCTTTACACATTGAACAATTACTTTCCACATGGTGGAGAGAAAACTGGCATTCAGCAGTCTGGCTCCAAAGCTTACTTTTTAACCACTGCATTCCTTCATGTTTTGGTCTTTTTTTACTTCTCCATGTGTATTTAATTGAGAGCAAGAAAAGACAGACCAGGGAATATTATTCTTATGTTATCCTAGTTGGTATAATGTATTAGAATTTATTTAGCTAAATGCTATAGCGTAGAAGTTATAACCTCTCTTTCAAGAGATTTATAGTCCATCAGGAAGTTAGGGTTGGCAAACATACCTATTACAACAAAGAGTTTTGCAATAGTCTAGAATGAATGCTGAATTATTTCATATACACTAGGTATGCTATAGAACTCAGAGAAGATGAAGAGCCTCATGAATAGGTTTATTTTAGGTATGTTGAACAATAACTATATAGATTCAGCTTGCAGTTAACCTGGTACATATCTTGCTTTGCCATGCTAAATGGTTACAATTGCAGTAGAATAATTTAGAAGCACCTATAAATTAATATATTTAGAAATAAGCAGAGATATTGAAGGGGAAGCTGACTCAGCTTTTTCTTTGGTAGCTACTTATAATTTAAACAGATATGTTGACTCATTTAGTCATTGTAATTATCCTGAAGGCAGAAGGAATACAAGGAGATGGAAAAAATAACTATGTTTGTGCCACGTGACACCCTTTTCATGTATTCATTCATTTGTGCATCCTTGAATGTATGTGTGTTTTAATACTTTGGTTTAATAGTCACTGAGCACCTTACTATGTGATTGGCATAATTACAGATAATGGGGATGCAGGAAATACTAGACAATGTAATCCTTATAACAAGCCCCCCAATTTACAGGCAATAAAACATATTCAACTGTTTTGAAACTCAGGGTCAGAGTAGTGACTGCTAAGCCACAGAGTCACACATAATTTCTCTAACTTTAAAGTCCATGATCTTTTCACTACTGTAACTTTCCACAGAGAATGAGGAAGACTCTTAAAATGTTGCAATAAGATAGATATTTGGGTAGTGAACATTATTTTTACTTCTTCATTAATTCATGAAATAGTAATTCAATATTAGATACATTAATTTTAAAGAATGTTTGCTTGATGGATTCAGTGAATAATCAAAATAACCAAACTTTATTCCTGTTATTAAATATATGATTACTTACTGTTTCTCTATTATTTATTGACTGTTGTTTGCATGTCACAACAAAAATTGCATGTTTCTCAGTTATGTGGCAAAGCAGTTTTCAGCAACTGTTTACCAATACTGCCCCTCAATCATTTATATTAATGGCTCCAAAATGTTTTGTTTACATTTCTTTCTATAATAACAGTATAGAAAGACTGATGAAGCTGTTCACCAATTACCACTGGAGATATTATTCTAATGAAAAGAGGGGAAAAAACATAGAATTTAAGACTCTAAAATAGAGCTATCAGCATACATTTTTTAAAATGACAAGAGGCCAGCCAACAACATCACTTGAGCTATTGAGCCTAAGAAGTTGACAGACAATACTAGTAATCCACTTCTTTAAGTCAAAGCCCTTACTAGCATAACAATAAATTCATCTCCTCAGTATTAAGCTATCCAGAGACTTCCAGTTTCTTTTTCTTTTTCTTTTTCTTTGAGATGGAGTCTTGCTTTGTTGCCCAGGCTGGAGTGCAGTGGCGCTATCACGGCTCACTGCAATCTCCACGTCCCGGGTTCAAGCGATTCTCCTGCCTCAGCCTCTCAAGTATCTGGGATTACAGGCACATGCCACTATGCCTGGCTAATTTTTGTATTTTAGTAGAGATGAGGTTTCACCATATTGGCCAGGCTGGTCTCGAACTCCTGACCTTGTGATCCATCTGCCTTGGCCTCCCAAAGTGCTGGGATTACAGGCATAAGCCACCCAGTTTCTTAGATATAAATGCATTTTAAAAACCCTCTCTGGAGACTTTTGAATCTAAATATCAGCTGTTATATTGCAATTGGAAAATTCTTAGTATGCATAGGATTATGTCAAAAATGAAAAAGGAATGAATGGAGTTATCCCAAGTCACACCAGTTCAAAGGTTACTTCCAGTAATTTCAGCTTTGTTCACAAATGCTGAAGTTAACTTCCTGGTGGCCCTGGAGAGATGCCAAGCACATTTAAATTACCATGAAATTTAAACTGGGTGCAATACATTTTCTAGTGAATGACAGTCATCTGTCTGGAATGAAAGATGAACTCAGTTAACTCTCTATATTGTTGTGTTTTATTTCACCAATAGCCCAATATTTTGCTTATTCGCAATGCTGGGTAATGCTTTTAAGAATTACAGATAAGGAATATACAAAGTGCATGAGCTAATGAGACATCTGTCTATTATTTTCCTTGCATTGCAGTGAACACACTACCTATAAAATTATCTTAAAGTGTTCTCTTTGATTGCTATGGTTATAGGCCTAATGTTCAACCCCTCTCCATCTGGTAATCTGTCTCTATTGTTTATTTAAATATTAAATGCTAGCTTACCAAAAGACTTTGGTGCAAGAAAAATAATACTGTCTCTTAATAGTTTTAAACTAAAACAAGAAAATTAATAATTTATTTACATGTTTATATGAATTTTAATAAAAATTTTCACATATTCAGGAAATGATAGCAAATATTACAGTGAATGCAAGTATATCCAATTATCTTTTTTTAACTTTTAAGTTCAGGGGCACATGTGCAGGTGTTATATAGACAAACTTGTGTCATGGGAGATTGTTGTACAGATTATTTGGTCACCCAGGTATTAAGCCTAGTTCCCATTAGTTATTTTTCTTGATCCTCTCCCTCCTTCTACCCTCCACCCTCTGGTAGGCCTTAGTTTGTGTGGTTCCCCTCTATGTGTCCATGTGTTTTCGTCATTTAGTTCCCATTTAGAAGCAAGAACGTGCAGTATTTCTTTTTCTGTTTCTACTTTAATTTGCTATAAATGGCCTCCGGATCCATCCATGTTCCTGCAAAGGACATAATCTCATTATTTTTATGGCTGAATAGTATTCCATGGTGTATACGTACCACATTTTCTTTATCTAGTCTACTGTTGATTGGGATTTAGGTTGATTTCATGTCTTTCTTATTGTGAATTGTACTGCAATGATGATATGCGTGCATGTGTCTTTATGATAGAATGATTTATATTCCTTTGGATATATATCCAGTAATGATATTGCTGGGTCAAATGGTAGTTCTGTTTTTGAGGAACTGCCACACTGTTTTCCATAATGGTTGAACTTATTTCCACTCCTATCAACAATATATAAGCATTCCTTTTTCTCTGCAACCTCGCCAGCACCTGTTATTTTTTGACTTTTTAATAATGGCCATTCTGGCCAGGTGTGGTGGCTCATGCCTGTAATCCCAGCACTTTGGGAGGCTGAGGTGGGCGGATCATGAGGACAAGAGATTGAGACCATCCTGGCCAACATGGTGAAACCCTATCTCTATTAAAAATACAAAAATTAGCTGGGTGTTATGGTGCGCACCTGTAGTCCCAGCTACTCGGGAGGCTGAGGCAGGAGAATTGCTTGAACACAGTAGGCGGAGGTTGCAGTGAGCCGAGATAGCACCACTGCACTCCAGCCTGGCAACAGAGCGAGACTCCATCTCAAAAATAATAATAATAATAATAGCCATCCTGATGGATGTGAAATGGTATCTCACTGTGGTTTTGATTTGTGTTTTTCTAAAGATCAGTGATTTGAGCTTTTATTCATATGCTTGTTGGTTGCACATATGTCTCCTTTTGAAAGTGTTAATGTTCTTTGCCTACTTTTGAATGGAGTTGTTTTTTTCTTGTAAAATTGTTTAAGTTCCTTATAGTTGCTGGATATTAGACCTTTATCAAATGCAGTTTGCAAAGTTTTTCTGCCATTCTGTAGGTTGTCTGTGTATTCTGTTGGTAGTTTCTTTTGCTGTGCAGAAGCTCTTTAGTTTAATTAGATCTCATTTGCCAATTCTTTCTATTGTTGTAATTGCTTTTCAGATCTTCATCATGAAATCTTTGCCTATTCCTATGTACAGAATGGTATTGCCTAGGTTGTCTTCCAGGGTTTCTATACCTTTGGATTTTACGTTTAAGTATTTAATCCACCTTGAGTCAATTTTTGCATATGGTTTAAGGAAGGGGTCCAGTCTCGATCTTCTGGATATGGCTAGCCAGTTATCCCAGCACCATTTATTAAATAGGTAGTCCTTTCCCCATTGCTTGTTTTTGTCAGCTTTGTTGAAGATCAGATCTTTATAGTAGTGTGGCCTTATTTCTGGGTTCTCTATTCTGGTCTGTGTGTCTGTTTTTTTGTACCAGTACCATGCTGTTTGGTTACTGTAGCCCTGTAGTATAGTTTGATTTTTCTAGTTCTGTGAAGAATGTCATTGGTAGTTTTATAGAAATAGCATTGAATCTATAAATCACTTTGCCCAGTATGGCCATTTTAACAATATTGATATTTCCTATCCATGAGCATGGAATTTTTTTTTATTTGTTTGTGTCATCTCTGATTTTTTTGAGCAGTATTTTGTAGTTCTCCTTGTAGAGATCTTTCACCTCACTGGTAGTTGTATTTTAGGCATTTTTGCTTTTTATGGCAATTGTGAATGGGATTGCATTGCTGATTTGGCTCTTGGCTTGACTGTTGTTGATATATAGGAATGCTAGTGGTTTTTGTGTGTTGATTTTGCACCCTGAGACTTTGCTAAAGTTGTTTCTCAGCTTAAGGAGATATTGGGCCAAGACTGTGGTTTTCTAGATATAGGATTATGTCATCTGCCAACATGGATAATTTGACTTTCTCTCTTCCTATTTGGATGCCCTTGATTGCTTTCTCTTGCCTGATTGTGCTAGCCAGTACTTCCAATATTATGGTGAATAGGAGTGGAGAAAGAGGGTATCCTTGCCTTGTGCCAGTTTTCAAAGGGAATGCTTCCAGCTTTTGCCCATTCAGTATGATATTGACTGTGGATTTGTTATATATGACTGTTATTATTTTGAGGTATGTTCCTTCAATACCTAGTTTCTTGACAGATTTTTAACGTGAATGGATATTTAATTGTATCAAAATCCTTTTCTGCATCTATTGAGATAATCATGTGGTTTTTGCCTTTTATTTATTTGACAAATAACATTTATTGATTTGTGTATGTTGAGCCAAACTTGCATCTCAGAAATAAAGCCTTCTTGATTGTGGTGGATAAGCTTTGTGATGTGATGCTGGATTCTGTTTGCCAGTATTTTGTTGAGGGTTTTTGCAGTAATGTCTATCAAGGATATTGTCCTGAGGTTTCGTTTTTGTTTTTTTTTTTCTTTGTTGTATCTCTGCTAGGTTTTGTTACCAGAATGATGCTAGCCTCATGAGTTAGGGAAGAGCCCCTTTTCCTCAGTTTTTTGGAATAGTTTCAGTAGTAATGGTACCAGCTTCTCTTTGTACATCTGGTAGAATTTGGCTGTGAGTTTGTCTTTTCCTGGACTTCTTTTTTGTTGTTGGTGGCCTATTTATTACTGATGCAGTTTTGGAGCTCATTATTGTTCAGTTCAGGGATTCAATTTCTTCCTGGTTCAGTCTTGGGAGGGTGTACGTGTCCAGGAATTTATCCATTTCTTCTAGATTTTCTAGTTTATGCGCATAGAAGTGTTCATAATATTCTCTGATGTTTATTTTTACTTCTGTAGGGTCAGTGAAAATATCACATTTGTAGTTTCTAATTGTGTTTATTTGGATCTTCTCTTTTTTTCTTCTTTATTAGTGTAGCTAGTGGTGTATTTGATTATCAATTATTATATAGGAGAAATTCCTTCAAAAATTTGTTGAAGTGAAACAGGGCAGATCAAAATGTGCTTATATTCCCTTCTGATTCCTATATTCTTTTTCTCTCTAGAAGTACCACTTTTATATAAATAATATGTCTTTGCAGTATATGTTTCATAGTGTATTACATTTGTATGTATCTATAAACAATATTTACTGTCGTTTTTCATGTCACTAAAACTGTCATTCTGTATATATCGTTCTGGATCTTGCCTATTCATTTCAGCATAACATATTTGATATTCTTTATTTGGTTGAGTTTTTCTGTGGTTTTACACTTTATGAATATACCGTAATATATGACAGATTCTCATGTTGATAGATATATTGATCAGCTTTTTGTTATTGCAAATAACTGAAATTAGATCATAGTTTCCTTGGGCATGTTAAAAGGCTCTATATGTTATAATCTCAGGTCCCATTTATGTTCATCTGAAAATTGATTCAGTATCACAAAGTTATTCTCCGAAGTTTTTGTACCAATTTATACTATCAGCAGTTGCTATGAGTTTTCATTTCTCTGAATCTTTGCCCACTTTTAGATTGGTCTTTAAATTTTTTTCATACCACTTTTAGAATTAGATTGCTAAATTCTAAAAGTGTAGAAACTCTAAAAGTATAGAATTCTGAAAATTCATTGGATTTCTGGATTAATTTGAGGGAAAATGACATTCCTGTAGTATTAAGACTTTGGATCCAAGATTATGCTCATAATTATTTGGATTTTCTTTCATGCCCTTCAAGAGCATTTTGAATATTTCCCCATAAGGTTATTGCATATTTATTTTACATTACATTCTAACTTGCTATAATTTTGAAATTATATATACATACGCTTTTTATTTTAAAATTGCTATTAGGTTTTTTTATGGAAAGTTTTTCAGCCATATTTCTGGACTTTTTTTTTTTTTTCTTGAGACAGAGTCTCTCTCTGTGGCCCAGACTGGAGGTCAGTGGCTCCATCTTGGCTCACTGCAAGCTCTGCCTTCCGGGTTCACGCCATTCTCCTTCCTCAGCCTCCCGAGTAGCTGGGACTACAGGCTCCTGCCACCACGCCTGGCTAATTTTTTGTATTTTTTAGCAGAGACGGGGTTTCACCGTGTTAGCCAGGATGGTCTCGATCTCTTGACCTCGTGATCCACCCACCTCAGCCTCCCATAGTGCTGGGATTACAGGCGTGAGCCACTGTGCCTGGCCTTTCTGGACTTTTTTTAGTTATAATTGTGTGACTATATATTATGTTATACTTTCTATACAAACAATCCTAGTATTTAATTTACAAGTTATAACATTTTATATGTTTTGCAGTTCTAATATTTCTTTTATTTTATCAGTATTGCATAATGAAATCTAAAGTCATAATAATGATATAGAATATTTCTGGTTTTTTCTTTTCTTGTCTTAAAAGGGTACACATCCAGTGTAATCATCAGGTATGATTTGTCCAAAGTGGGATGGTATGTAGGTAACATTTAGTGATTAAAGAAGTTTTCTTCTATTGCTAATTTAATACAAGTTTTTCCTTTTTAAAATTATGAACGGGTTTTGAATCTTACAGATACTAGATCTATTTCTTCCTCCATAAAATTAAGATTTTATACATTAGCATGTTAATATATAAATTATATTTTAGATAATGAGTTTTGAAATTTACTGAGTATTGTTTTCCCCCATCAAATTAGGTTCTTAACAATTAATTTATTAATACAGTTTAATTATATTCTAAAACTTATTGGGCTTTTTTCCTTAATGATGTTAATATAATGATGAATTGCAGTGGTAGGTTCTGGGATAAATCCAATTTATTCTACTTGTTTTTAGTAAAGTAAAATGTAAATTTAGTTTGTAAATAATCTATTTAGAAATTGGTTATCTATGTATTTAAATATGATACTTATACTTTTCTTAGGTTATACATGTGCAATTATCAAGATTATCTAACCTCACGGAATGATTTGGGTACCTCACCGTCTCTTTCTAACCTGAGATCACTTGTATTTGAAAAGAATGTATACTCTTCAAGGTTTGTAAAAACTGACCTACAAATTTATGTAGGCCTCATATATTTTTGGTATACAGAAGTGAATAAGTGAATGACTGCTGCCTTAATTCACTTCATTTTTGTTAGTTTATTCCAGTATTTTCTGTTTATTTCTGCTACTTTTAGTAAGACATTTCTTTGATTAAAACATATTGTCATCCTTGAGACATACGCCTGAGCATTCTACAACCTCTGGAGCCAATCTGGCCTAGACGCTCTGTAGTTCTGCTGCCTGCCTTTCATCACAACACTTCCCTTTATGCTCCTCCAATCCATCTTCCTTCCTTATCTCATGTGTTGAATCTCCAGTTTAATAGATCCCATGTCTTCCTCTTTATTCATTCCTGAATTTTTAGAAGCAATCCTAAAGGAGCTCGAGGCAAGGGAAGTAATATTTTTGTAATGTTCATAATACCAATTTTTTTTAACTCTCTCCCTTGAGTGATAATTTGGATATAAAATTCCTGGTTAAAAATAATTTCTCCTCAAAGTTGCGGAGTAATTTCTGGCCTTTTGCATTTCATTGTTGCTACTAAAAAGTTCAATTTCCCCTTCTTTTATGTCCCATATCTTTTGCCTTTCTTTGAATATTTTTGGAATATCTTTTTACTTTGATGGTCTAAATAATTTCAATGATGTATTTATTGCTAGTCAGTCCCTTTCACTCATTGCAGTGGGCATTTTGTGGGCCCTTCCAGCTTGGACTTTAAGTTCTTTAGTTCTGGAAAATTTTAGGATTATTATTTATTATTTATTTCCTTTATTTTACTGATTTTTATTGGAATGTTTATTGATATGTTGGACCTCCTGATTTGATTTGCCTTCTCTCTTTTATTTTTTTTTTTACTTTTTTCCTCACTTAAAATTCATCTCTTCATTTTTTGTGCTGCTTACTGAAATTTTTCATCAACTTTTTCTTCTCACTATTATATTTACTTTTGTATGTTAGTTCTCTTTATGATTTTCAACAGCTTGTTCTTTTATACAAATCCTCCCTTTTAAATAGCATCATATTCTTTTTCAACAATGAAATATAACTTATGCCTCAGCATATTAAAATATGTGTTAAAGTTTTCTTCTAGTCTCTGAAGTATTTATGTTTTTCAAAGTTTCTGATATTAAGATTTTAAATGTCTCAAATGCCTATTTTTTCTTTCCTACCTCCCTCCTTTGATTCCGTCTTCTCTTTCTTGCTTGCTTGCTTGCTTTTACTTGCTTGCTTGCTTTTTTATTGCTTTATTTGTTTAAGTATATTTAAGAGTTTTTTTTTTAAAGCAAAGACACTGGGTGCTAGATAGTGGCTTTCTGACTGACAAGCTTAAATGCAGAGTGAGCAATGAGATGGGATCCAACCACTTTCTTGGAGGAACACTAAGTCTAAGATGTGTAAGCATTTTCTTTTTTAGTGGACTCTTTTTTATTTTTGTTCACAAATAATAATTGTACTTATATATGGGATGCAGAGTGATATTTTGATACATATGTACAATGTGTAGTGATAAAATCAGAGTAATTAGTATATCCATCACCTTGAACAATTACCATTTCTTTGCATTGGGAAAATTAAAAAATTTTTCTGCTAGCTATTCGAAATATACAATAAATTATTGTTACCTACAGTCATCCATAGTATTATAGAACACTGGATCTTGTTCATCCTAGCTAGCTATAATTTTGTATCTGTTAACCAATCTCTATCTATCCTCCCCACGCCGCTCCCTTCCCAGTGTCTCACAACCACAATTATACTCTCTCCTTCTATGAGATCAACTTTTTTCAGCTCCTACATATGAGTGAGAATGTGTGGTATTTATTGTTTTGTGCCTTACTTATTTCACATAATGTCCTCCAGGCTCATGTATGTTGCCACAAATGACAAGATTTTGTTCTTTTTCATGACTTGATAGTCTTCCATTCCATTTTCTTTATCTGTTTATCTGTCTATGAGTATTTAGATTGTTTCCATATCTTAGCTATCATGACTAGTGCTGCATTAAACATGGGTGTGAAGATATCTCTTCAATATACTAATTTCCTTTCCTTTGGGAAAATACCCAGTAGTGAGATTGCTGGGTCCCATAAAGTAATTCTATTTGTAGTTTTTTGAGAAAACTCAATACTGTTTTTCATAAAGGCTATACTAATTTACATTCTCACAGTGTATAGGGTTCCTTCTCTCTGCATCCCAACAGCATATATTATTTTTTGTTTTTTTTTTTGATGATAATTATTCTAAGTAGGATGAGATGATAGATGATTGTGGTTTTTATTTGCATTTCCCTAATGGTTAGTGATGTTGGGCATTTTTTCATGTACTTCTAGGCCATTCATATGTCTTCTTTTGAAAAATGTTTATTCAGATACTTTGCATACATTTTAATAGAATTATTTGTTTGTTTGCTTGTTTTGCTGTTGTATTGAGTTCTTTGTATGTTCTGGATATTAATCCTGTGAGGATAAATGATTTCCAGACATTCTCACTCTACAGATTGTCTCTTTGCTCTGTTACTTCCTCAGCTGTGCATGAGTTTTACAGTTTGATATAGTCTCATTTGTCTTTTTTTGTTTTGGTTGCCTTTGCTTTTGAAGGCAGACCTATACGAACTTTTTTTCAAACCGATGTTATTAAATTATTCCCCTATGTTTTTTTCCAGTAGTGGTATAGTTTGGAGCCTTACATTTAAATCTTTCATGCATTTGGAGATGATTTTTCTATATGGTAAGAGATAGGGGTCTAGTTTTGTTCTTCTGCATATGAAAATCCAGTTTTCCCAGTACCATTATTTAAGGAGGCTGTCCTTTCCACAACGTATGTTCTTGGCACCTTTATTGAAAATTATTTGGCTATAAATATGTGGATTTATTTCTAGGTTCTCTATTCTGTTCCATTGGTCTTTGTGTCTGTTTTTATAACATTCCCATGCTGTTTTAGTTACTATAGCTTTGTAGAAGGTTTTACTCCTTAAGTCATCTCCTTTTAGTCCTTAAGTCATCTTCCAGACTTTGTCAGTATGTGATGTGCAGGTATGGTTTGCAGGTTTGGTGTGCTGTAAAGTGGGTAATGGTCAGAAGCTTAAATGCTAGCATTCTATAAAATGAATTGAGAAATTTTAGCTTCTATATAATTTTTTCAGTTGATAAGCCCCACATGTAAATGTACCCATTAAAATATTTATATTAGTCTGGAAGATATATCTAGTATTTCAGAAAATTTCATAGAAATTTTTTGAGCAATGCAAGTCACTAAAGTATGTGTTCTTTTGTATGCTATAATTATAACTGCTCAGCGAAGTTACACTAGTCATCACCTATTGGTAGGACATTCTTAATATGATTAATCATTGATCATTTTATTGGTTGTTGCCGGCCAGGTGCAGTGGCTCATGCCTGTAATCCTAGCACTTTGGGAGGCCAAGGTGGGTGGATCACCTGAGGTCAGGAGTTCGAGAGCAGCCTGGCCAACATGGTGAAACCTCATCTCTACTAAAAATACAAAAATTAGCCAGGCATGGTGGCAGGTGCCTGTAGTCCCAGATACTCAGGAGGCTGAGGCAGGAGAATTGCTTGAACCCAGGAGGCAGAAGCTGCAGTGAGCTGAGATCGCACCATTGCACTCAAGCCTGGGCAACAGAGCAAAAACTCCATCTCAAAAAAAAAAAATAGGTTGTATTCGTAATTAAATTACATATTTCGATATGCCCTATCCTTGTGGAAGAAAATAAAATAAATGAGCCTAGATGGCAACATACATTGGCAACATGTGTACTAGGTATTCTCTAAAACAGAGTCTCCTCAATCGTGATACTTTCCATCTCCATGTCTTTTGGGGTACTGTGTAATGATAGGGACCTGGACTAAGTGCCTAGGTAGTTTTTCAGTTTCCTTAATCAGATTATATTTGGTCCATTTTTTATATTTATTATGTGCATGAAGATTGTACTGTACCAAGCTTATCTACCATCACCAGAGATAGAAATAAATCTTTCTTTTTTTCAGTCCTGGACTGTGGGAAGAGGCTGGAGGGAGTAATTTTCACAGTCTGGCTAATTGGCTCTGTTCAATGGCCACAGTCATCCAACCTAACCTGGATAACTCATAGGTATGCCAACATGGGGAACATAGGAGATGATATAATTATACACAGCATGATTGTGCTAAAATACTATACATATTTTTGGTAAATATTTCTGAGTTTGAACATTGAATCTGTAAAAGGGAGAGAACTTGGTATTTTTTAATTTGGTAGCTTTCAATGAAATCACATGTTTAAAAGGTGCTTTCAAAAATAATACATGGTAATGGTACAAAATATGAAAAATAAATTTCAAGGAAAAGATTACAATCCCCCATCAAGAAGATATAATAATCACTGTTAGACTGCTAGCATAATTCCCTCAGGTCCTGTAACCATGAGGGTATTATGTAAGTTAAAAATGAATATCTTTTATTCAACAAATATTTCTTGAGTGCAAATTCTAGGCCATGCTCTGTTCTACATGTTGGGATACAATAAGCAAAACATTCTGCACATGGCCAGCTTACATTGCATTGAGGGAGACAGAAAAGCCACATGAAAACTAAACTTCATAATGAGTTAGAGATAAGGACTAAATAGCAAAGAGTTAAAGGAAAATTTTGGAGGAAGGGTGCCATTTTAGATAGCGTTGTAATTGAATCCTCAATGAGAATATACACTTATAAAGTGCATATTAACAATTTATAACTAATTAGATTTAAAGTAAGTCAAATAATTGATTTCAAGTCCTTTATTATGTTTCCCTGCTAAAAAATGAATTGACTTCTACTTCCGTCATCCAGATAGTATAGGGTCACATTGCCTGAATACATTCCATGACCTGATATGTAGATGGGCTTTAGTTTTTATTAGGGTTCCTTAAGTCATGTTTGCTCTACACCTTACTTGTCATTTGTCTTAGTACATTCAGGTTGCTATGACAAATTACTTTAGACTAGGTAATTTATAAACAATTGCTCATGGAATGTATTGCTCATGGTTCTGTAGGCTGGGAAGTCCAACATCAAGGCACCTACAGATTCAGTTTCTAGTGAAGGCTTCACAGGTAGTGCCCTGTTTCTGAGTCCTCACATGGTGGAAGAAGCAAACACATAGTCTTCAATCTCTTTTATAATTCTATCTCTGCTATCTAGCACATTCTTTTTTATCCCTTTTATAATTCGCTAATCACATTAATGACAGCAGAGCCTTCATGCCTTAATCACTTACCCAAAGGCCTTACCTCTTAATATACCCACAGTGAGGATTAGGTTTCAATGTGAATTATGGAGGGACCCAATCCGACTATAGCATTGTTCTTCAGAGGCTTTCACCTAAAATTCTGGCGTATGTACCAAGGATGATTCTTGGTGGATCCTGATCTCTAAAGCTTGCTCTCAGTCTGTCAATCCCAATGTATGTATCAGCCAATGTTCAAGAGGAAGAACAGTGCTGAATATCAGGCTCACTTTTCTTTGCATCTCTCTCTCTCTCTCTTTTTTTTTTTTTTTTTTTTTTTGCTAGCTAGAAGTTACTTTTATTTATTTATGTAATTCTAAATTTTTTTTAATCTCCATAGGTTTTTAGAGAACAGGTGGTATTTCGTTACATGAGTAAGTTCTTTGGTGACAATTTGTGAGATTTCTGTGCAACTCTTTTTAGGGTATCTCAGCCCCATATGTTTGATTTTTTTTTTTTTTTTTTTTTTTTGAGACGGAGTCTTGCTCTGTCGCCCAGGCTAGAGTACAGTGGCGCAATCTCGGCTCACTGCAAGCTCCGCCTCCCGGGTTCACGCCATTCTCCTGCCTCAGCCTCCCGAGTAGCTGGGACTACAGGCCCCCGCCACCACGCCCGGCTAATTTTTTGTACTTTTAGTAGAGATGAGGTTTCACCGTGTTAGCCAGGATGCTTTCGATCTCCTGACCTTGTGATCCGCCCACCTCGGCCTGCCAAAGTGCTGGGATTACAGGCGTGAGCCACTGCGCCCGGCTCTCAGCCCCATGTGTTCTAAGTGTCTTGTAGCTTTTCAGTTCCTTCAGTCAGATTTCGTTTGGTCCATTTTTTTTTCTATTTATTATTTGCATGAAGATTTTACTGTACCAAGGTTATCTATCATCACCAGAGATAGAAATAAAATATTCTTTCAGTCTGTAACTTTATCCAAGCCTGTAACTGTGCATGTTTTTCCTTTTTCTCAAGCCATGGATGGCCAGTCTTCTCAAGAATTTAAATCTCCATGAGGTTGCAAAACACAATCAGTCTTACTAAATGGGGTATGGGAGTAACAATTTAGATTTAAATTTTTGTTATTCGACTCTGCCCTTCATGTCACTGCTTGCAGCACCTGATATTCTCTAGCTAAATCTTTGCAGATGTTTATAGCTTGAAGTGAAATACTTATTCCTGTTTCCTTCAGAAGAGTTTTGTTTTCTTTTCCTCTCTCAGAGTTGTTATGTCAGGTTCTACTCTCTCTCACCTTTCAATCTCCATAATTTGTAATTCATTATATTTCCTAGTCTTATCTAAAATAAAATATTTGTTCTTTTTTTCTGTTGTTGGTTGAGTTCTGTTTTTGACATTTACTGAAAAAGGGATTTATTATGCTGTTTAACAATGGGATACCTGGAAAATGTTTTGTCTATCCATATATATAAATGAAAGAAGAAGTAGACAGCTTTTCTTATCATGTGAGAAGTCTTATTTTCTTTACTAAATCTTTTGCCTGAATGGGAGACTTAACCATGAACTTTGTCCTTCATGGGTTGAGTCTACCAACTGTCAGGTTTCACATTAGGTTGTGTGAGTGTAAAAAACATAGTTTTGCCCTCTTCACGTCTCCCACTATTCTAAAGACAAAATAAAAAAAGCTTCATTTTGGGACCTGATTTTCTCAGGCAGTTTATTCATTTTCTACAATGAGTGTCTTTACTGTAATAGCCACCACAGTTTGGAGACAACCTTCTGAGACAGGCACTCCTTTAATTGTTACTTGTACTTATTGCCATTATTTGTTCTTATGTCTTAATTTGTGACTCTGTAACTTAAGTCACAGAACATGGCTCCTCATGGCTTTGTCAGTTCTTACATGTATAGCAGCCTTCAGGATCTGGAATGGGTTATGGGGCTCATTCCAATTTGTTTATCGTGATCCAATGTACTTTCTATTTTCCAAAAACTTGTTAAATCTCGAATCTACTGATGTCATCTCTTCTCATTCTTAGCACAGTTATGAATGTATTATCTTTAATTTCTTTTACTTTACTTTCAGATATATTTTTACCATATTTCAGTTTCTTTGAATGTTTTCACTTTGGACATTAACTGCATACGATATTTGAAATTTATGTTACTGTGCTCTAAGAGGTGAAGATCTAAATTTTGGTTTATAAGAATACATAACAAATTGGTTTTCATTTATAAGAATAGGTAACAAATCAGTTACCTATTTGTATTATTTGTTATCTAGTAGTAGTAGTAGGTAACAAATCTGTTTTGGTTTATAAATAGGTAACAAATCGGTCCAAGACCTACATGGAATAACTCAAACTTTCTCATATCAAGTGGATAATTATCTTTTAATATAATTCAGTTAATTTTAGGGGATCATACACCAATTTTTTCTGATTTCATATTGTTTCAATTACTTTAGATTTATAACACATATAAATATTTGGTACAACCACAGTTTAAACTTCTTGTAAATGCACAAGTGTCTTTCTTCTAGGTTTTTTTTTTTTCTAATTGCTCACATATTCTCTTCCACTGTTTGGCATACTGATTTGGGCACTTAAAAAAAGCTGTTTAAAGAAGCAGAGCAAAAGAAGGGATCTTAGTATTCGAATCCAGCTGATGCCTTTCAGTGGGGGAGAAGACTACATTTCAGGGGGAAATGTGATTTAGTAAATATTTGAGTCAGTTACTACAGGAGCCAGTGCTAAGTCCATGAACACCTGACACCACTTCAGGTACTCTGCTTATCACCCCTTGAATGTGACCCATTCGCTGGTCTCTACTAAGCATGTAGTAAAACCTAGAAAGGGATTACCTGGCAAGTATGTCTCTCTGTTTTTTTCCAGGCACTTCAGGAATATACACAGAAAATGAAAGCCCATTGTTTGAACAGATTTCATTAAACGAGAGCTCTACTTTAAGAAGAAGAAAAAAATTGTAGACTACCAGATGTTATGGATCTACAGGTTGGATTCTTTGTGTTATGATTAAGCAAAGATCATTAAAGATCATTAAACAGATAATATATTTCACTCAGTGCTGTGAAGATAATTGACATCTCTTATTATCAACATCATTTAGAAGCCCTTGGGCCTTTTCTCTCTTTTGTACAAACAGCATTTTTATGAGTTAAAAGCCTGGGAATGAGTGGTGGGCACAAGGCAGTGTTCATTTGGAAGCAATAAGAATACAGTCTTAAAAGTGAAGCCACTTCATTATCATTTCATATAAAACATGGCAATCTTGGCTGGACTGTGAAACTCATTTCCAAGTGTGGCCAGGCTCCAAGTGAATGCTTGCTATCACAGAAGCTGTATGTTTTTATTAACCCCAGGACATTGCACTGATGATGACAAAAATTTGCACTTCCTGACTCCAACTTTATTTCTAAACTAATTATAATTATATTATATTTCATTAGATCGAAGACACTATCAACTATTATTTATTGCTAAGAAAGAAAATACCTCTAATAAAACTTTTACATGTCATCAATTTCAAGATACATCTCAATGTCTGATAAATTAAAATCTTTAAATTGACAAGAATTATAAGACAAAGAAATAAAGCACATAAGGCAGAAGGCAAAAATAATTCCTTTACTACTGACCAAACTGTTATTAGCAGAAGTGTGTTATATTTGGGATGATAACATCTTAATACTAAGCCTCAGAAATAGCAGAATTGTACACAGCACAACTTGACTGGTAGGATTCCACATATGGCAGTTGTACATCATGATGGGTGCAACAGAATATACACTTCTTGCAGACAGTTCACTTGCAAAAGTAAGGAGAAAGAAATGAATTGTTTATACACACCTAATATCTTCTTCCACACTCATACAGATAAGACACTTTACCTCCTCCAGGACACAGTAGGTAGAGGGGAAGATGGTTTTCACTGTTTCTTTTCAGGAAAGGTCTCGGAAGTCATGATATGGCAGGAAGGAAACCTCCCCCTTTTAATAAATATGTACATCAAGTAGTAGAAAACATATTTTTCTTCTTTTCTCCCTGCTCAAGTGATAACAGTCTTAATTCACTTCTAGAAATTTGCTTAGAAAGTCAGACATTTAAGACCTGAGGTAGACACCCAGGGTCCTCTCCTACAAGACTTACAGCACTTAAGCTCCCAGTAGTTTTAAAACCAAGAAGAGTAGAAACGAACCTCCTGTCCTGCACATTTTACACTTTCTGGTTATTGTTGATTATAGTCCATAAAAAAACTGGTGCTTCACAGGCACCATAGAGAACCCTGGTGGTGGCAGAAAACTGATCCTGTTCACATGTCTCATTTGCATTATTTTGCATGATTCCTCCCCTGTTTGTATTAGTCCATCACCTTATGCCTTAGATCCCAGGTTGTTCTTGCATCCAAAAATCTTTTGGAGTTTCATGCTTCTTTAGGGCACTCAGTTGCTTACTTACTCTGTGGCTGGCCCCTATGTCACTTTGAGTCCTAAAAAGCAGTATAAATAAATAATACTTTAAATGGATTAGGAACTGTTTTAGGCTTAGGTGTCAATAGATGAGGGTTTTGTTCTGAACCCCAGTCTTATCTGTAAAACAAAGATGTCAGCTACTAGAGACTTCTGAGATTTCTTCTTACTCATTTCTTTGTTTTGTTTTATTCAGTGTTGAATATTATTTCGGTACCTCATGCCCAACACTATATAGGACACAAATAAATAATTATCCCAATTATTTTCATTAAGCTTACACCATAATGACTTAAAATCAATTTGCAAAATTAAAGTAAAAAAAGAAACTTCATAAAAAGTTTATTTAAAATGCTTATAAATAATAAGAGATGTTACATAATAATGTGTAATTGCTCATTAAATAAAGATCATAGAATGATCATACTTCCAACCAGATTTTGGGACTGTGATCTACTGTGGCTGGAAAAGCAAGGAAATTTTTTAGACAGGAGAAAATTTGAGCCAGGCATTGAAATAGGAGTAAGAATTAGAAAGCTAGAGTAGATGAAGAAGGCTGATGAGAAAATTTTATAGACTGAGGACCGAGAGTTTTGTCATTCTCTTCATCTAAGGTCAGCAACCACTTCATGATTTGCTGTTGTGTCCCATTTTTCTCATTTGGTGTGTATGAAAACATGAGCAACTTACTTGTCCTCTGTGTACTTCAGTTTCCTCATCTGTAATAAGCAATAATTATACAATCTTTATAATTTTATTTTAAAGATTAAACAAGTTCTTCCAAGCCAAGTGCTGAAAATGGTGCTTCTTAGTGTGGCAGCACTCAATAAGGCAGTATTATTAAACTTACATTATTTAGCTAGTTAACATCTACTTATCTTCTATATCTGAGCACAAATGTTGATTCTTAAAATAAGTCTAATCCATTTAACAAGCTCTGGTCTTAGCATTTATTATGTTTGGTTTTGCATTTATTTTTACTTTTACTTATATGATTACTTGATCAGCATCTATCTCCTTCGCTTCACTTTAGGACAACAACAAGAATTGGGTCTGCTGTTTTCTCCAACATATCATCCCAACTTACAGAGAAACACAGAATCCCAACAATGACAATAAAGGCACATACATGTGTTTGCCACCTCCTGCCCACCTGTAACATTTCTTTCATCTTCTCCCCACTGTGCTCCATCTAGCTCCCCCCACTCTAGCACAAAGGGTCTTCTTGCTGGTCTTTGAACATACCAGACACACTTAGACCACAGGACATTTCCACTGGATCCTCCCTCAGCCTACAAATGCTCTTGTTCTTGATCTCTAAATTGCTTACTCCTTCACTGCCTCAGAAATTTATTCAAATATGACCTTCTCAGTGGGGTCTACAACTAGCTACCTTAATTTAAAAATGCAACCTACAAAAATTCCTATCTTCCTTCCATGCTCGCTTTCTTTTTTTATATATATCTCTAGGGAATTCAATATACATCTAATTAATTATTATATACCTGTTTAGCATTCCTCAGTAGATTGCATACTGCATGACAGCAGGAAATTTTGTCTGCTTACTGTATCCCCAGGTCCTAAAACTGTGCCTTATATATAGTAGGTGTTTAATAAATATTTAGATAACTATATAAGATAACTATGTAAGATACTGCTGCATGAGTGAGATAGATAGCAAGTTGTATATGGTTTTTGTGATCATCATGGATCTTGCATTGAATTCTCAAAAATATGAAGAATTTGGGTATGTGAAAATATGAGAAGTGGTTTTCTAGGGTGAAAGGAGGATGGAATTGGAGAGAAAAGACCATTTCTGATTGCAACATATTTTCAGTGTGACTCTAGGCAAAGGCATTAACGTCTCCAAGCTTCATATCCTTGGAATATATGTTAAAATTAATGCTGCTTTGCACACATTTGCTCATTCTTATTTCTTCTATGGATATTTCTCCCTAAGCTGATGTAGAAATGTTTAAAGCCTTTCCCTTTCAGAAAAAATAACATCTATTGGTTATCCCAATCCTACAAAGTTCAGCATTGACATCTTCCCTGAATTTCAATCCCTCTCCGTATGGAAAACCTTGAAACTCCAATTAGAACTAGGGATGATGCTACATTGATCTCAATTACAAAACATAAAGTTTTAATCAGACTTTTAAATTAACCAGAAAATGAGGCCTAGTGAACTCAGAAATCACTCAGTTTATCAAGGAAGATAGAGATTTATTACTCATCTACGTATTTCTAATTGTGAGATGATCAGAATGGGTAACAAGGACCTTCATTTGTTCTTAGGTTCTTTACTTTGTCTTGGAGAGCTCTTCCCTTCCACCTGCCTGCCCAGATTCTACAATTTTCAGGGAAACTGGATAAATCTAGGGGGTACACCAGTTCCTCTGGTGGATACTGTCTCTGTGCTAGAGCTATTGAATCCAATTTTTAGATGACTTTCTAGCCACCTGAAATAAAGACTACATTTCCCTGAGTCTTTTGCAGCTAGTTACGGGTGTGGAACTAATTTGGGAGAATGGAAAGTGATTGAGATTCTGCAGGAAAGTGTGTTTTTAAAGACAGATATGACCTTCTTTTGCTCTTCCTTCTTGTGGATGGTTGGATTGAGAATATGATGACTAGAGCTTAAATAGCCATCTAAGACTATGAGTAGAAAGCCCTAGCTAAGGATGACAGGTCAGAAAAATAAATGTAGAATTTAAAAAACATTTTTTCTAAAAGGCCAGACGGTAAGTATTTTTGCCTTTGCAGGCCATATTTTCTTCATGTCAACCACTCAGCGCTACAATGTTGTGTCTAAACTGCTGTAGAGAGTAAGTAAATGAATGGGAATAGCTATGGATCAATAAAACTTAGTTTACAGATACAGGCAGCTGTGCACAACAGTTCATTGATCTTTGAAGTAGAAGAAGGTAGGATTACTAAAATAGAGAGATGTCATGTAACCTCCAATTTACATCTGTACTTTTTATGAGAGAAAAAAATTAATTTCTCTTAGACACTTTAAAAAAGTTTTCTGTTTGGTCACTATGAATCTTAACTGAAAGTGTAAATGATGCAGCTACTGTGAAAAACAGTTTAGTGCTTCCTCAAAAGTAAAACATAGAATGACCTGGATGTTTCACTCCTAGTTATATATCCAAAAGAATTGAAAACTGGTACTAAAACTCACACTTGTATACAGTGTACACATTGATGTTCATCAATGGATAAACAAATTGTGGTATAGGTGCACAATGGAATATTATTCAGCCATAATAAAATGAAGTACCAATATATACTAAAATGTGGATTAACCTTTAAAACTTTATGCTAAATAAAAAGAATGAAACACACAAAAAATCACATATTGTTTTATTCCATTTATATAAAAATGTCAAAAATAAGTAACTCCATAGAAACAGAAAGCAGATTGGTGGGTATCAGGGTCTAGGGAGAGTGTGGAATGGGGAATAACTGCTTATTGGGTACAAGGTTTTCTTTTGGAGTGATGGACGGATTTTAGAACTAGAGAGGGATGGTAGTTGCACAATAATGAGAATGTACTAAATGCCACTGATTTGTTCAATTTAAAATGGTTAATTTAGTTGGGATTCTTAAAAAATAAAAATAATAAGATTAAAATCATTAAGTTTATGTTATGTGAATCTTATCTCAATAAAAAATAAATAATAGCAAAAAGAATGAATTCTAACTAATATATTCCTCTCTCTTTACATGTTCTATAAGTGTATTGGCATCAGAGTTGCTTCAATTATGTTTGATTCATTAACACCAGGCTGTTTCATGTAACCATCCTTTGTTACATATTGTTTTCTATCTCTGCAATCTCTTACTTACCAGATATGCCTGGAACACGTCTATCCTTTACTATCCAGCTCAACAATGTCATATCCTTCTAAACGTCTTGTTAATAACCATAGCCTCATTTCATCAGGTAAAGTTATGTTGTTCCTCCTTGTCACATTGTGCTATCATTACTTTTTTACACGATATTTCTCAAATAACTGGGGACCCACAATAGCAAGGATGATAAATTTATAAGTCTGTATATTGCTAGCATCTGTGGCTGCTGAGTTATAGTAAAAAGTGGATAATATTTAGTGAACTGATGCATGAAGCCATGTACTCATCCATGCACATTTTTTTGTCACTGCTTTGCTAAAGACTAAACTAAATAGAAGGAAATCAGAATGCTATCACCAATGTTGGTATTATCTTGTTTGATGATCTTTGAACCAGTTAAGTGCAAACTTAATTATATAATTCCTTAAAATGAACTGGGTAGGAAATTAGACATGTCAAATTCCAAGCACAGAAAACTTTGAAATATATATATTTTCCAAGCACAAATAACACATATTTCTTTTGTCTCTATTACCTGTGGTTATATTTGAGGCTGAACCATTTAATTTGAAATATCAAGTAAAAATCAAACATATCAGGATTTGTATTTACTTTCTGGATCTCTGACTTCAGAAAAATTACTTAGCACATCTGTTCCTCAGAATTTTCACCTACAAAATATGTAACTATATATTCAAGATATAAAAGAGTGATAAAATAATTACTATATGACCTGATGGCATTTAACAAATATGTTGTTTTCATCATCAGTATTACTGCCATCATCAAATCATTATTTGCTTTTTTAATATTTAATTTATGTGTGTACATAGTATGGGGTACATGAAATGTTTTCATACAGGCATGCAATGTGAAATAAACACATCATGGAGAATGGGGTATCCATCCCCTCATGCATTTATCCCTTCAGTTACAAACAATCCAATTACATTCTTTAAGTGATTTTAATATATGTAATTATTATTGACTATAATCACTCTGTTGTGCTATCAAATAGTAGGTCTTATCATTCTTTTTAAATATTTTTTGTACCTATTAACCATCCCCCAACCACCACCCTTCCACTACCATTCTCAGCCTCTGGTAAGCATCCTTCTACTCTGTGTGTCCATGAGGTCAATTGCTTTTATTTTTAGATCCCACAAATGAGTGAGAACATGTGATGTTTATCTTTCTGTGCCTGACTTATTTCACTTAACATAATGATCTCTAGTTCTATACATGATGCTGCAGATGACTAAATCTCATTCAATTTATGCCTGAATAGTACTTCATTGTGTATATGTATCACTTTTTTATGCATTTGTCTGTTGAGGAACACATAGATTGCTTTCAAATCTTAGCTATTGTAAGCAGTGCTGCAACAAGCATAGAAGTGCAGATATCTCTTCAATATACCTATTTCCTCACTTTTTGCTACATATCCAGAAATGGCATTGCTGGATCATATGGTAGCTCTATTTTTAGTTTTTGAAGGAACCTCCAAACTGTTCTCAATAGTGGTTGTACTAATTTACATTCCCATCAACAGTGTACAAGGATTTCCTTTGCTCCACATCCTTGCCAGCATGTTATTGCCTGTCTTTCAGATATAAGTCATTTTGCTGGGGTGAGATATCTTTTTGTAGTTTTGATTTACGTTTCTCTTATGATCAATGAAGTTGAGCATCTTTTCATATGCCTGTTGGATATTTGTATATATTATTTTGAGAAATGTCTATTCAAATCTTTTGCCCATTTATTGATTGGATTAATTTTTTTCCTATAGAATTGCTTGAGCTCCTCATATATTCTTGTTATTAATCCCTTGTCAGATGGGTAGTTTGCAAATATTTTATCCCATTCTGTGGGTTGTCTCTTCACTTTGTTGATTGTATCCTTTGCTGTGCAGAAACTTTTTAACTTCACGCGATCCCATTTGTCCATTTTTGTTCTGGAAGCCTGTCTTATGGGTTGTTGCTCAAGAAATTTTTGCCCAGACCAGTATTCTGGGGATTTTCCCCTAATGTTTCCTTGTAGTATTTTCAGAAGTTGAGGTCTTAGATTTAGGCTTTTAATCCATTTTGATTTGATTTTGTATATGGCAAGAGATAGGAGTCTAGTTTCATTCTTCTGCATGTGGAAATCCAGCTTTCCCAGCACCATTTATTGAAGAGACCGTCTTTTTCCCCAGTGTGTGTTCTGGGCATCTTTGTCAAAAATGAGTTCACTGTAGGTGTGTGGATTTGTTTCTGGGTTCTCTATTCTGTTCCATTGGTCTATATGTCTGATTTTATGCCATTACTATGCTGTTCTTATTACTATATCTCTGTAGTGTAATTTGAAGACAGGTAATGTGATCCTCCAGTTTTGTTATTTTTGCTTAGCATAGCTTTGGCTATTCTGGGTCTGTCATGCCCCATTTAGTATGTTACTAGCTGTGGGTCTGTTATATATGACTTTTATTATGTTGAGAAATGTTCTTTCTACCCCAGTTTTCTGAGGATTTTTATCATGAAGGGATGTTGTATCAAATGCTTGTTCAGCACCAATTAAAATAATATGTTTTTATCTTTCATTTTGTTGATATGATGTATCACATTGATTGATATGCATGTGTTGAACCATCCTTGCATCCCTGGGATAAATCCCACTTGGTCACGATAAGTGATCTTTCTAATGTAGTGTTGAATTTGATTTGCTAGTATTTTGCTTGAGGAATTTTGCATTAATATTCATCAGAGATATTGGCCTGTGGTTTTCTTTTTTTCATGTGCTTTGTCTGGTTTTGGTATCAGGGTAATAATGCTCCCATAGAATTAGTTTGGAAGTATTTCTTCCTCTTCTATTTTTTGGAATAATTTGAGTAGTTTGGTAATAGCTCTTCTTTCAATGTTTGGCAGAACTCAGCAGTGAAGCCATAAGGTCCCAGACTTTTCTTTACTGGGAGACGTTTTATTACAACTTCAATATCGTTAATTTTTATTGTTCTGTTCAGGTTTTGGATTTCTTTTTGGTTCAATTTTGGTAGGTTTTATGTATCTAGGAATTTACTCATTTCTTCCATATTTTCCAATTTATTGGCATATAGTTGCTCATAGTACTCACTAATGATCCTTTGTATTTCTGCAGGATTAGTTGTGATGTTTCCTTTTTTATTTCTGACTTTATTTGTATCTTATCTCTTTTTTTCTTAGTCTGGCTAAAGGTTTGTTAATTTTGATTAACTTCTCAAAACATCATTTTTTGTTTCATTGGTCTTTGTATTTTTTCCATTTCAATTCCATTTATTTATGCTCAGATCTTTATTATTTCTTTTCTTCTAATTTTAGGTTTGGTTTGGTCTTGCTTTTCTAGTTCTTTAAGATGTATTATTAGATTGCTCATTTGAATTTTTTCCTCTTTTTTTATGTAGGCACTTGTAGCTATAAACTTTCCTCTGAGTACTACTTGTGCTGTATTCCATAGGTTTTGGTATGTTGTGTTTCCATTATCATTTTTTTCAAGAAATTTTTCAATTACCTTCTAAATTTCTTCAGTGACCACTGGTCATTTATGAGCATATTGTTCAATTTTCTTGTATTTGTATAGCTTCCAAAATTCTAGTTTTATTCCATTGTGGTCAGAAAAGGTGCTTGATATTATTTCAATTTTTTGAATGTTTTAATACTTGTTTTGTGACCTAACATATGGTCTATCCTTGAGAATAATCCATGTGCTGAGGAAAAGAATGTATATTCCACAGCTCTTGGATGAAATGTTCTGTAAATATCTATCAGATTCATTTGGCCTAAAGTGTGGGTTAAGTCTGATTTTTCTTTATTTATTTTATGTCTGGAAGAACTCTCCAGTGCTGAAAGCAGGGTGTTAAAGCCTCCAGCTATTACTGTATTATTGTAATTCTTCATGTGCGAAGAAAAGCTCATGGTGAAACAGATCTTAAACACGGGCAGAGGAAACTCACACTAGCTCTCCAAAGGAATCAACTTATTTATTCCTTCTTAAAGAAAATAGCCCATAAAGGATATCTTGATATGAGAGAGAAACCAGCAGTAAGAAAACACACACACACACACACACATACACACACACACACAAAAGAGAAAGAAAGAAAGCTGATGAAAGAACAAAAATGAAGATACTTTAAGGAAAAAAAGAAAATAAAAAGAAGAGAGCTGATAAAAGAACACAATGAAGATATTACAAGGAATAAAAAGAAAAGAAAGAAAAGGAAAGGAAAAGATAAAAAGAAAGATGACAGAGGAAATAAAGCCAAACCTTTAATTAATAGTAGGTCAAATTACCCTGGGAGGTAAACAAAACAAAACTCTGAGCTGGGGACTTTGGCGAAGGTGATTCTTTGATGAATGCTTAAATTGGGTACTCTGGTGTGCCACCCAGACACATGATCAGGACCCAGACACTAATATCCCAGTTGCCTGAAGCATTGCCTGTAGGCAGCTCAAAGCTGAGTCCCTCTCCAAGAATTTTCCATGACCAAAGAATCCTGCCTTTTAAAAATACATACTCTATCTTTGCGGATGCCCTTATCTATGCTCGGCCATAAATGCATGCCCCACCCTTGCCTAAATTCAGGCTATCTCTAAGCTTTGGCAATCTCTAGGAAGTAAGCTATTGCAAGTGCACCACGTTTCAATTTGGGCATAGTTTTCTCTCTGTCCAATACTTTTTCCTTCATTCGCCGACAGGTATTCCTAAGACCACTCCCTTATGGGGATCTTGTATGCAAATCTTTATCACTGAGTCCGCCTGTTGGTGTTAGAAGAGGTCTGAGAAAACAGACCTAAAAGAGGACTCTAGAGCTGGATCACCAGCTGTTCAGTGGACACGGAAAACCTTATCACTAATGGTAAGTTCACCATAAGTCATCTATGGCTAGTGGGAGTTGGTGTAATTTCACAGGTGATTGGAAGGTTCAGGGGAAGTAGTCTATTGCAGCTGCAGCATGCAAAGCGTGAATTGAAGAAAAACAATAAAAAGTTGAAATGGTGATTTATCACAGATAAGGCTAGGTGTGGAGGCCAGAAGGACTCTTAAGCAGCACACAAAGAACCCCATTTTCTGACAACGTAAGTCAGAAAAAACCCGCGTCCTTGAACGGAATTATAAGGGCATTAGAACGCCACTGAAGATTGAATTATTTAACCTGCCAAGTCGGTTATGCCAAGGTCAGGACCATTTTTGGTTAGGAGTAGAACTCTGAGACCAGGGATGGGGATATCTGGGTTGATGCACTCAAGACCATGAGATTCATCAGAACTCTCTGGGGTACTTCCCTTATGTCTCACTTTTCCCTGTCAAAAACTAATGTCACTTTTGCTTGAAAACAAAAAGCATTACATACTGCTCTAGATAAAACCCTACTTCTTCTTCTAGCTTCCGGACTTATAATGTGGGAGTTATGTTCCAAGACTCAGATGGAGAAGTTCTGGGCCTGTTAAGGGAGAAAAGAGACTGTATCCTGAAGGTGCTGCAAGACCTAGTTAGTATGTTCTGGTGGGGGCCAGGAAAGAATGTATGGGACTGGGTCTAGAAAGTGGTAAACCAGGAGTGAAACATAAAGTTGGTTAAATGGGAGATTGTTGATATGGGAACATTATCTCAGGACATAAATTTAGCATCCAGATAAGCTTCTGAGGATTGGCACTA
The DNA here is from genome assembly GCF_000001405.40 of Homo sapiens. Lineage (NCBI taxonomy): Eukaryota > Metazoa > Chordata > Mammalia > Primates > Hominidae > Homo > Homo sapiens. The sequence goes on from NC_000002.12 coordinate 83,730,333, forward strand.
ATGTGCTGCTAATACAGGTCTTGAAAGCCCACTTTCAATGAAGTATTGCAGGATTGCTGTGAGAGAGAAAGGAGAAGATTAAGAGACTCAGAGCATTGGCATGCCTGTGTTGCAACACAACACATGTCCAGAAAATGCACCAGCTCAAGAAGACATAGAGGACACTGCATCTAACAAGGTGGCAGGAATGCGATGCTGAGTGGCACCAGCATCACTAAGAAGCTTAGTAGTAGCTGTGCTCCGTAAGCCAGGGCTGACATTAGAAGATGCAGTTATAGAAATTGGCGTGTTAATGGCAATGAATGAGAGATTTCTATGATAACAGAAGCCAGATCGCAGTCTTAATTATCATTACAAAATATCTGGCAATTAAGGTAATTGCAGTTTGAGAGAAGTCCAAGCTTGGCTCAAAGCAGCTATTGATTTCTCAATCCCCAAGCTGCCAAACTGACACCAACAAAAAGTGGACTACCAAATATTTCAGTCTTTTAAAGAACAATTCCTCCCATTGCCTATGTCACATGTGATCAGGGAGAACAGCAGATTTGGAGATTCCCCACTGAAAGCTGACTTGGATCCTTATAATAGGTTTTGCTTCACCACCAAGCAGAGAATCCTTATTATAGCTTTTTGAGAATATCGTAGATGTCATAGATTGTTAAACTAATCAACTCTTCACCTCTTTTCTAGATGATTTTTTTCCTTTTTAATTATGGTTATTTTTTGTTTCCCATCTGTTCTAGACATAGGAAAATGAACGAGGCACATTAACTCAAAGATTTTGGACTTATATCTGCGCAGAATTATTGTTATCTCCTTGAGAATATAAGGTAGGTACATTTTTAGTGGTAGGTGAAGTACTTTTATCGCATTAAATGGGTTTATTTTTAATGTGTCTTATGGATACAAGGACATATTATCTCTGAGCTACCAAGGCATGGAATACAGTAGACCCTTGTTATCTTCTACCAGGTATGCTTTTTGCCTTCTATAAAAGTGCACCAATTTTCAACTGTGGAATGAACCATTGCTTCACTTTCATTTCTTGTATTTTGGTTGGGGATGATCCTAACCCCACAACCAGAGCTAGATGTGATAAAGACCTGACTATCCATCCTGTGTATTACGTGTAGGTGACCCAAATAGAAATATAGGACCCCAGGCAAGGACTGTTTACTGGAATAATTAGGAAAATACTTTTTAACTGTGGTTGCAGAGGAGCATCATTTGGGGGAATATCTGGATAAAAGAATGAAGACAGCAAAGCAAACATAGAGAAGAAGAGATGAAGAAAGGTACTCTATCTCTAGGGCATAATTTGAGCTTTTAGGCTTAGCTATGACTGCAGTTAGTTTTCTCTAGACTTCAAAGTAGGACTAGCCAATACATTTTCTATTTGGCTCAAGCTGTTTTGTGATGAATTACAATAAATTGCAGCCAAAGATTCTTGACTACCATGTTACCTCTTGTTTCTTATATCACAGACTCCAAATTTATTTTTAAATCATTCTGAATATACACAGAAGATGATTCTAGTTACACTCTTTCTTCTAGAGAATTTTTTAAAAATAGATAATCGTTTTAATTCATTTTTAGAACTCTTTTCTGTGCAGAAATGCAGATTTGTTTTCGTGTGTGTGTGTGTGTGTGTGTGTGTGTGTGTGTGTGTGTGTTTTCTGGTATACTTCTTCCCTTCATCTCTTGCTCTCCTGCCTTTCTACTCTCTCTTAACTCTCTCAAATTATCCTTAATTGGCATAAACCTTTCTTCAGAAAATAAGGTGGCTTCATGCTCTTGGGATGTCCTCCCTTTCCATTTGGTTTTCAAACCAGTGTTTCATTTGGAAACACTGTTTCCACAGTGTTCTTACAGCTCAAATAGTGGGCTGGCTGATAGAAATTTAAATAAGCAGTTCACAGTAACCTAGTAGCCTAAGAGAAGTTAAGAAAGAGCCAAGTCTTTGACAACACCAGAAATAAGACTCTTTCCTTTATAGGTTTTTCTTTTTCTGTCTTTGGTTTTAAAAAGAAGAAGAAACTGCACCAGATGCCAAATCACTGTATCCAACTTTTAATTTGGCCTCTGTATCACATCAGGTACACATGTTGGCAGTGTCATGAAACTCCCACTGCTACTGGCCCAACCAACCTCCACCTGTTCAGTGACTATTTCTAGGCACGTTGACTAATCATTACTTTCACACACCATGAGAAGCCTGGGTTCTTCTCTTGCCACCGCTTTCTAATGCTGCTAAGCTGTTTTCATGTAGATGCCTTCAAGTACTGTGATCTGACTTCACTATTTCCTGCCTATGTCTTCATTTCTTCTCTTTCACTTTTAAATAATGTACCAAAGTGGCATCTCTACCTTCAGTTCCCCGTAATCTTATGTTCTGTGTCCATGTCAACACTTGGCATCTTCTTTCAATAGCATCTGATTAACATTATATTTATTAAGAAATGTTTTAAATATGTTATAAGCGTAAGGTACCTTTCCCTAATTCCCAGCACAGTTTCAGGACACCCCTTTCCCATGTATAAATTTTATTTTTCAATTTGGTAGGTGAGGCCCCTGAGAAGATGTATTTTGTTCACATCATACCTAGAAGTTCCAATTCACAAACAAAACATTATTAAGCACAAGGGAATAATACCAGCATTTTATAACTTCACTCATATTTAAAACCTCTGAATCATTAATTTATTTTATTTAATTGCTGCTCTGATCTGCTATTTAAATTGACTCTCTGATTTAGGCTCTGGCCTTTAATTTTGTTGAAATTATGTTAGTCTTGGTTTTTCTCACCTTCAAATGATTATCACTTCTTCCAAATTGTTTCTGTTATAAAATTTTATCCTAATATCTGCCAGAATAACTCCATTAAATACACCTTTCATCACTATAACAAGTGACTTTCTCAAATATCTCTAATAATGCTTTTTATCTGCAAAACGAAAGCCAGTTAAAGACATTGTACTGACTTCTCTAATGTTTTCTAAGTTTTTGTATCAAATACAATACTTAAAATATTACAAAATGTTATTCTTCTCCAATAATCTTAGAAGAAAAGTAATTGAAATGAAACACAAAGTGGAATTTTGTTGCTTAAAAATTCCACAAAATATATCCAACTTTCTTTGAGTGAGTTGTGTATCTTCTCTGTAATCTATCTCTTATAATCTTGACACTGTGCTTTTGAGAATGACACTGTTTTATTTACTCTTCAATTCCCCAAGCTGAAAAATGGCATAACATTCCCTAATCATCACTTTTCCATCAATACTCAACACTCAGCTAAAACATCTGTTACTTTGTGAAGGCTTTCGTTTTCCCACACCCAGACAGATTGAAGGATCTGTTAATACTCTTCTGTTTCACTATAACATTCTGTCTTTAATTCCATCATACCATATATCACATTGAAGAGTTATTGTTGATTTACTTGTCTGTCTTTGCCTTAAGACTTGAATGCAGGAAACATGTTTTTTATCTCTGTCCATCCTACATATTATATTTACTGATAATAGGTATATGTTGAATGAAGACCAAAAGGAAGGGCTCAAGTGATTGTATTGCATTTGCAGCCTGATAGGTGAGACATGAAGCAAATGAGTAGAAAGTAAAGAGAAAATATCATCCTGAAGTATCTTGGAAAAAATGAAACAGTTTACATCTTGACACATGTCTCTATTGTATCCTTTACTAGTGAACAGTACTGAACAATAGACTCAGGTAAACTGAAAGAAAGAGCAGATGATCATGGTAAGGTTACTGAGTGTGCATGTGGCAGACATTCTCAGGGACAGATATAAATATGCATCAATATGAGGACAGGTAGCTGAGTCAGAAATGGAAATGTGTACAGTGAGTTTTTTCTGAAACAAGGTCTAATGAAGCAGCAATAGATGTAGAAATAATTTGTAAACCCAGAGAACTGGTAAGTTTCAAAGACTGCATAATTAAGGGAGACAAATGTAAGGTAATCAATTATTATCTAATGTATGTTCTTCTCACTTTTGACACACACAAAAACTAGGCATCATTATCTGCAAAATGAATCTAATCAGGTAGAGGTAGGGGTAAACACAGTCATCAAGCAAATATATCTGCAGGAAACTCTAAGGACTCAGATAAGGAAGAAAGGGGGATCAAGGGATTCACTAGGAATATGAACATCATGAGGGGAGATAAGTTAATATGTGCTTTAAAATTTGGCATTCCAAGAACACTGGCCCAGGTATCAGTCAATTAGGGCTTTAATTTTAGTCCTCCCACTACGTTCTCATGTGATTTTGACAAGTCAATAGTCTTCTTTGATCCTCCCTTTTTTGATGTGTAAAAGGAAAATGTTAATTAGACTGCAGCTGAATTTTAACCATATGATAGTTTTCCTTTTTTGGGTGTTCTTCAAGAACATAATACCATGATTTTCCTGATTTATATGGATGCCACACCCTACTGCAATTCCTGGTCCATAGTAAAAGTTGAATAGGGGTTTTCAAGTAGGAAATAAGACAATTACTTTTGGTTTCATTTTTTATGTTTTAAAGTTAATAGCCATAAGGTTACAAGTATGATTTGTTCTTTATTTAATAGTTTAATTTGAAGGAAAATGGGAAATTCCTTCCTTCTCCCAACTAAGAGCTCAGAGAAACTCTTCTTTGAACAGCTCACAGTGGGGAATTTTGGCTGAAAATTTCTGAAGCTAGATACCATAATAAGAAACTTATGTTTACCACACCAGCATACTGTAGTTGGTAAACAAATCTCACTCTGGCTTGTACCATGTTGGATCACAGGTTAAAGTTGGAAAATAATATTGCCTCTTGGTGGGCATGTCTATATGAGCTCAGGAAAGCATTGTAGAAGAGAAAAGAAAAGTCCCTCCATAGGTTTTGCACCTAAGCAGTTTCCTAATCTGCTTATTAAAGAGCCCCAAATTAGTTTTTTACTAAGGACCCCAAAATTAGTTCTTTATCTTTTGTGTAACTATTAATAAAATGGCATCCTGAGTCCTACTTTGCAATTGTTTTATAATTCCCTCAAGGCTATGTCAAGAAAGTTTAACTGTAGTACATCCAAATTTTAGCTTAACCTCCTGTGAACCTTAAGCCTCATTGCCATTTTGAAGTTTGAATGAAATAATAAATACTAGGTATCATGCATAATGCCTAGTACTTAGTAGGCACTCAATATAAGATAACTGTAATTATGAAGAAATATGTAGTTATCATTTTATTTTACAAAAGGAAATGAAATCTCATAGAGACTCAGGGGTACACTTTGTGTGGTTAATGTTCTTCTCACTTCCCTACACATTTTCCATATTTACATAGATGATTTTATTACAAAATATTATGCAAAATGAGAAATGTCCTTTAAGTGTTTTAATAAACTTTATCAGTGTTTTTTTATTATATCAATAATTTGTGACAGTGAAAAGTTATATCAGCCACAAATCCTATATTAATACTCACCTCTTCACTAGCAGACTGCATGGTAAGTTCCAGATGGGATTCCTCTGAAGTCCAGGTAAATGAACTCAAGCGTATCCTTCATCCCAGTTCTGTGATGAAAGCCTGCTGTTCCTTGGGAAGGCAAGAGGAGGAATTTGAATGGCATCTTTGTTGGTGGAAGAGAGGGGATGATAAGAGTGCTTGTACATGATTCTTTGTAAGTTATCTCCCTGCTACCTTTCTTTTTCTAAAACATCCTATATAGAACTACAAGATTAATCTTTGCAAACACAGTTCAGATCATTTTTTTTTTCTGTTCAAAATCTTCAGCAAGTCAGAGCTGGCTGAATAAACTTTTAACTCACAGAATTAAGACAGACTTTGAGTTGATTATCATTAGGGATCTATTCATCCCACCAATTATTTAGCACATGTGTTTATCTAAACTTGTGTTTATCCCATTGTCTGACTTCCTCTGGAACACACAGAGGGGCAGGAAACTTACTACCAATTCCATGTACTGTTCTGTTTCTCATAACGTCCTCACATTTATTAAAAAATCTGTCACCTTGCTGCTGCTGGAGAGCCACACAAAATAAATCATATTCCTGTCTATGTATGAGAGATCAATATCTTGGACATCATAGATCTTCTAAATCTCATCTCTCCTTTAAATTTAGACATTTCTCCAGCCAATTTTTCTCCTGCAGTCCTTACCCAAGCTTCAAGTCTCCCTCTAAGAAAGCTCTCTTCGTAATCCTCGCCCCCAGTCTCTTCTCCTAGAGAGATGTAATTTCTTTCCTGTCCTCACCTAATGAGTATGGTACTCCATTTTAGGGACCTCTTCCTATGCTTATTACTTTCTACCTATATTTATAGAAACATTTTACAAAACATTTCCATGCCACAATATTCTCACAAGTTGTCAATAGCAGTTAGTTGCAGGGAGTGGGGGTGGGGGATAGCCCATAAAACAACATACATTTATTTCCTAACCATAAAATGGATATTGGTTACACAGAATCCTCAGAATACTAGAGGATTTTCAAATTTTGAATTTGCAAGGGTAGATGAAGGGTGTGCTGTGTATTTGTTTCTAAACTAACTTGATCATAGAATCCTGGGTTTCATCTGATTGGATTTCTTGTGGTAAGCTCTTTTGACTAATAGTTACTCTAACAATGTCTCCTCTCTACTATTTGAATAGAAAGTCATTAATGGCCTCAGCACATGTTTCATATAGCTTTGCAACTGCCACAGTGACTTCCCATTGCCAAGTACTTGGTAAATATAAAAAATGTTTGAATAATCAAGTGATTAATGTATTATTGGGCAACAGATGAGTTTTCCATCTTTGTTGAGTTTTCACGGAGGTCAGATTTTCTTTATTGTTACAAATATATTTATGAAAATAAAACTAATCCTTCTCTTTTAACCTTCTCTTGCTGTTTTCTTCTTCCTCATTCTCATTGTACTACCCTTCTAGACACAACAAATATCTGAGTACCTGCTAGATGCCAGATGATGTAGTCAGTATTTCACATGCATTGTGCCCCTTAACACTTTTGATTCTTCTATGACATAGGGATTATTATCCTAATTTACAGATGAGCAAAATTAGATTCAGGGAAATTAAGTGAATTTCCTAAGGTACTACAACTAGTAAATATCATGACCAGAATTCAAACCACAGAATATCTAAATCCAAATTTCAGGCACCTGCTTGCCAAATCATTCCACTAAAGTATGTAACTATTCTCTTTTTGTATGTGAGAGTTGAACATACAGAAAGCATAGGTCCCTAATAAAATGTGAGATGAATGCCTTCACCCACACAAGTGATGGAATTCTCGGCTTTCAAACAGTGATACATGAAATCAAACATTCAGCTAAGATAGCTCATTCCACTTCTCCATAAATTTATTTTTCATTTCCAACTTTCTCCAGGGGCTAGATTAAAGGTCATGTGGAATCATATGGATGAAGAAATTTTCCTGCCAAATTAGCTCCTCCAGGTTGTTCCACACCCTTGGGTAAATGGTAAGCTTATTAGGAAGCTGCATGACATTTGTCATTACATGGGCTTTTCAATTCATTGCAAATTTCTTGTTCTAAGAGGAAGTCTTTAGTTTATGAAATTCTTAAAAGCACTCAAATTGTGATTAACATACTAATCATAATTGTCATTAGCTGAGGAGGCCAGGTGCAGTAGCTCATGCCTATAATCCCAGAACTTTGGGAGGCCAAGGCAGGAGGATCGCTTGAGCTCAGGAGTTTGAGATAAGCCTGGGCAACGCAGTGGGACCTGGTCTACAAAAAATCAAAAAATCGATTAAGAGGGTGTGGTGTCATGAAACTGTAGCCCCAGCTACTTGGGAAGCTGAGGCAAGAGGATTGATTGAGCCAGAGAGTTTGAAGTTGTGAAGTTGCTATGATCTTGCTGCTGTACTCCAGCGTGGGTGGTAGAATGAGACCCTGTCTTAAATATATATATGCTACATTTTCTTTATCCAGTCTATTATTGAGGAATATTTGGGTTGGTTCCAAGTCTTTGCTATTGTGAATAGTGCCACAATAAACATGTGTGTACATGTGTATTTACAGTAGAATGATTTATAATCCTTTGGGTATATACCCAGCAATGGGATTGCTGGGTCAAATGGTAATTCTAGTTCTAGATCTTTGAGGAATTGCCATACTGTCTTCCACAATGGATGAACTAATTTACACTCCCACCAGCAGTGTAGAAGCATCCCTATTTCTCAACATCCTCTCCAGCATGTGTTCTTTACTGACTTTTAATGATCGCCATTCTAACTGGCGTGAAATGATACCTCATTGTGGTTTTGATTTGCATTTGTCTAATGACCAGTGATGATGAGCATTTTTTCATATGTCTGTTGGCTGCATAAATGTCTTCCAAACACACGTTCTCACTCATAAGTGGGAATTGAACAGTGAGAGCTCGTGGACATAAGGAGCTCATGGACATCACACACTGGGGCCTGTTGGGGGGTGGATGGCTAGGGGAGAGATAACATTAGGAAAAATACCTAATGTAGGTGATGGGTTGATGGGTGCAGCAAACCACCGTGGCATGTGTATACCTATGTAACAAAACTGCAAGTTCTGCACATGTACCCCAGAACTTAAATAATAATAATAAAAAATATATATGTAATTAGTTAATGGAGCTATTAAAAATTAGTGAAACTCTTAAAATCATATATTCTTAAATATTATGAATAACCTATTAACCCAAAATTAGGAATATCAAACATATATATTTTGTTTTTACAAAGGCTTTTAATGACAATTTATATTAGCTCTGTTAGAAAACTGCAGCCTAGAGTGAATGGCATGGCAACAGTACTGGAGCTAATAACACAATAAGTGAAATATAGTCAGAGTTTCCAACTCTATAAACTTTCTCTACCTAACACAATGGAAAATATAGGAGTTAGAGAGATGGAAAGAAAGTGATTGGTTTATGCTGTTGGTTGAAGGAAATTTAATATTATCTTTCCTGCCTTATGTGAATAAAATATTCTATGATTATTTCAGACTTATTGATATTTATCAGAACATTACATCAACACCTCAAAATTCAAATCACATATGATAGGAATGGTGTTTGAGATTTGAGGGGAGAAATGGGCATGGCAATGTTATTATACAAGCCAATTATTCTGAGAAAAGTGGTTTGGGGCTATTTCTTCAGCATAAAAGTCTATGTTTTTCTATTAACACCTGGTGACACCATTCCTCTGTCCACACAGAATAGCTCCAGAAATAGCACTTGACCTGTATTGGTCCATTCTCATGCTGTTAATAAAACCATACCAGAGACTAGGTAATTTAAAAAGGAATGAGGTTTAATTGCCCCACAGTTCAGCATGGCTGGGAGGCCTCAGGAAGCTTACAATCATGGCAGAAGGGGAAGCAAACACATCCTTCTTCACGTGGCAGCAGGGAAGGAAAGTGCTGAGCAAAAGGGGGAAAAGCCCCTTATAAAACCATCAGATCTCACAAGAACTCACTCACTATTATGAGAACAGCATCATGGGGTTAACTGCCTCCTTGATTCAATTACCTGCCACAAGGTCCCTCTAATGACACATGGGGATTATGGAAACTATAATTCAAGATGAGATTTGGGTGGAGACACAGCCAAACTATATTATTCCACCCTTGCCCCTCCCAAATATCATGTCCTCACATTTCAAAACACAATCATGGCTTCCCAACAGTCCTTCAAAGTCTTATCTCATTCCAGCATTAACCCAAAGGTCCAAATCCAAGGTCACATCTGAAACAAGGCAATTCCCTTCCACCTATGAGCCTGTAAAATCATAAGCAAGTTAGTTACTTCCTAAATACAATGGGGTACAGGCATTGGGTAAATACCCCCATTCCAAATGAGAGAAATTGGTCAAAATGAAGGCACTACAGGAGCCATGAAATTCCAAAATCCAATAGAGCAGTCATTAAACCTTAAAGTTCCAAAATGATCTTCTTTGTCTCCATGTCTCACATCCAGGTCACATTGATGCAAGAGGTAGGCTCCCATGGCCTTGAGCATCTCCACCCCTGTGGCTTTGCAGGGAATAGCCCCCCTCTAGGCTGCTTTCACGGGCAGATGTTGAGTGTCTTCAGCTTTTCCAGGTGCAGAGTGTAAGCTTTCAGTGGATCTATCATTCTGGGGTCTGAAGGATGGTGGCCTTCTTCTCACAGTTTCACTAGGTGGTGTCCCAGTGGGGACTCTGTGTCAGGGCTCCAAAATCACATTTTCCTTTCACACTGCTCTAGCAGAGGTTCTCCATGAGGGCTTCTCCCCTGCAGCAAACTTCTGCATGGACATCTAGGTGTTTCCATACATCCTTTGAAATCTAGGTGGAGGTTCTCAAACCTCAATTCTTGTCTCCTGTGCACCCGCAGGCCCAACACCATATGTAATCCACCAAGGGGCTTGTATCCTCTGAGGCAATGGCCTGAGCTCCAGCTACAGCTGGAGCTGAAGCAGCTAGGATGCAGGGCATCATGTCCTGAGGCTGCATAGAGCAGGAAGTCCCTGGGGCCAGCTCAGGAAACCATTTTTCTCTCCTAGGCCTGCAGGCCCGCAATGGGAGGGTCCACTGTGAAGGTCTCTGACATGCCTTGCAGACATTTTCCTTGTCTTGGTAATTAACATTTGGCTCCTCATTACTTATGCAAATTTATTCAGTGAGCTTGAATTTCTCCCCAGAAAATGGAGTTTTCTTTTCTATCACATTATCCGGCTGCAAATTTTCCAAACTTTTATGCTTTGCTTCCTCTTGAACACTTTGCTGCTTAGAAATTTATTCCACCAGGTATCCTAAATCATCTCTCTCAAGTTCAAAGTTCCACAGATCTCTAGGGCAGGGGCAAAATGCCACCACTTTACACAGCAAAAGTGACCTTTACTCCAGTTCCCAAAAAGTTCCTCATCTCCTTCTGAGACCACCTCAGCCTGGACCTTATTGTCCATATCACTATCAGCATTTTGGTCAAAGCCATTCAACAAGTCTCTATGAAGTACGAAACTTTCCCACATGTTCCTGTCCTCAGAACCCTCCAAATCTTTAGGAAGTTCCAAATTTTCCCACATTTTCGTATCTTCTCCTGAGCCTTTCCAAACTGTTCCAACCTCTGCCTGTTACCCAGTTCCAAAGTTGCCTCCCCATTTTCAGGTATCTTTACAGCAGCTCTCCACTACCCAGTACCAATTTACTGCATTAGTTTGTTCTCATATTGCTAATGAAGACATACCTGAGACTAGGTAATTTATAAAGGAAGGAGGCTTAATTGACTCACAGTTCAGCATGGCTGGGAGGCCTTATGTCACTTACAATCATGGTGGAAGGGGAAGCAAACACGTCCTTCTTCACATGGTGGCAGGAAGAAGTGCTGAGCAAAAGGGGGAAAAGCCCCTTATAAAACCATCACATCTTGTGAGAACTCACTCACTATTATGAGAACAGCATCATGGGGGTAATCACCCCCATAATTCAATTGCCTCCCACCAGGTTCACCCCAGGACACATGGGGATTATGGGAGCCACAATTCATGATGAGATTTGGGTGGGTACACAGCCAAACCATATCATGACCCAAAAATTAGCAGTTGATAGCAGGACCTTTAAAATATAAGGTTGTTTTAATGGAGAATTTTCCCTAATAGGCAAGATACTGGCTAAAAAGTCTATTTCTCTTCAAGTGTTTAAATATGGGTTGCCATATCAGGTATATATCACCTCAATAATATTTCATAACACTGATATGTAAGATTGAAGAATTTATTTGATGGTGGGACACTGAACACTGATACCCACATGCAGTTAGCTAGGTTCTCAAGCTCTTTGTGGATTGGCTAATTTGAGTTATTTCTATTGACTCTGTATGTTGTCTGCTGCCTGGCCCCAGGGTGATATGGTAGGTGCATGTGAGAGTCAAATACTTAATTAGCTGCTCAAGATGGGGAACTCACTTGTCCCTAGCCAGGGCCTCAAAACTGGGTCAAGACAACATTTTAAAAGAGAGAAAAACTATTGTGTAACAACTAATTCCAAAATTTCACTGGCTTAAAATAATGAGCTGCTCATGCAGCTTTGGATTGGCTCCAGTAGTTCTGCTGATCTTGGCTGAGCTCTTCTGGGCTTGGCTCCATGCCACCTGTTTACTTCAGGTCTGTTTCACATGCATCTCATTCTTTGGGGATCTGAAAGACACTTGGGATATGAGCTCACGGCTACAGCAGAAACACAAAAGGGCAGGTCCAGTCATGTAAGTATTTTTAAAGCCACTCCTTGCATTGTGTCTGCCAACATCCCATTTACCAAAAGACGGCATACAGCAGAGTCCAAAGGCAAAGGGCAGAAATATGTACACCCTGCCTCTAGTGGGAAGAATTTAAATGTCATATGGCAAAGGATATAGATACAGGGAGAGTGAGGAACTGGGAACCATAATTCAATCTATCACAGATGAAAAAGAGAGAAGAGGAAGAGAGAGATTGAAGACAGAGTTGGTGATTGTTAGAAAGGATAAGGGCAAGAGTAGGAAGATGCAGAGCTTCACCAGGTGATGTTCATGAAGAGGCACCAATGAAAGAATTTCAGAGTCTCTTAATGAGATGAAAAGGTAACATACTCCCCAGTCATTGTGTATTCTGCATGACCTTTTAAACCCAAGCTTCCTGCGGTTCTTCCATACTTAAGTCTTGGCATTATTATCTTCCTTGGTTATCTTGAGGAACAGTATCCAGCATCAGTTTTCTGTTTCCATGTTTCTTAGTGCATCTTTTCTCATTAAAGACCATGGTTGATACAACCCTCAGATTCTATATTTGAGCTTGAATTTCTAGTCCCTTTTGTCAGTGAAGAAGATAAGAGAAAATAGAAAAGAATTGCATTTGTTGGCATTTTTGGGGAGTCCCTTCATTTGTATTCTCTCTTCATTTATCACTGTACTTCCTGTCAGTCAACTCTGTTAGACTTCCCCAGTTTTCCTTTCTGTCAATGACTTCTTTCCTCTCATCCCTTCTTACTCCCTCTCATGTTTTCTATCTTTCTGTTCTTCCAGGTCATTTTTACCCCAATTCCTATTATTTTAATGCCTTTGTCCCTTCATGCACTCCATTGTAGCTTACTTCCTACTATTCTCCAACTCCATTTATTTTATCTTACCTTTTCCCCTTCCTCCTTCTAAAAGGGCCTCCTAAAAAGTTAGGTTGATTAAATAAAATCATTAGAGTTACTTTTAATACTACCATTTTTCATCATTATAAATGTTTTAAGGGTTTCTTGCAGTGGAGTGATAGTTTCTTGTTCCCCTAAAGTACAGAAGGACTATCAGGTCTCTGCTTAACTCTGGCCACTTATCATTAGAGAAACGAATGTCCCTGCAGTTGCTGCCTAACCAGATTGCAGTTCTGCTGGGCTGCAGCTACTGGAGGGAACATTTTAAATCACAGCAAACTTTGAAGTATGAGGCTGGGGAGATAGGGTCAAAACAATCCTAATTTCCCAGGTGAGTGTGGCATCACAAAAAAAAAAAAAAAAAAAAAGGGATTATGACCTGAATTGGTCTTCAGGGCTAGATTACAGAGAATCACCATAACTTCAGCAAAGCTTTAACCCTCACCACCCCCGTGTATTCTCCAGGGAGAAAGTGTCTTCCTGTTACTGGCTGTCCTTACAGAAAAACATGCTTTTATTATTCCCTTGGACGAGGGACCTTTCATATTCAATCTCACAGGCAAGCTACAGCTCTTTCTGCTATAACAGAGCTCTGTAATTACAGTTATTAATCTTAAAATCATGGGCTCTAATTTAAAAGGTTTCTTGTAACCTGAAAGTCTTTCAAAATATAATGGTGCAAAAAATAAATCACTCTCTGCAAGTGGCATCTATGCTTGGTAAATGCCGGCAGTAAGAAGGATATAAACGTATTCCCCAAACAGGTACCATAAACTGAGAAATAACACAGTGTCAACCATAAACATGTCTTTGCCATAGCCTTGCCTAAAAATCTTCTCACTCACAAACCTGAGAGAAGCCTTTCAAATGCTATTTCAAAAAGAAAATCAATAAACCTGCAGAAAGTCTAGCTGCCCTGAAAAGTTTCCACCATATCTCCATGTCTGCTGCATTTTCCAGCATCATTTCCTCTCCTCCTTTATCACTCCCTTTCTCTCCAGTCACTGCTCCATCACTGGGATGAGACAAGCACCCCTCGGTACCAATCAACACAGTGCAGGTCTTCTCTGAAGAAAAGCAAACTCTTTTTCCTAAAGTATTTCACAAGCTGCCTGCCTGCCTACTCTATTCTATGTAATGAAGGCATTTAGTTCTCTATATGTGTATAGATGGAAAGAGTAGAATAGGGACTCCGTGGGGGATGAGTGCAAAGTGACCTGGTCTCATATGCTTTTCTCTCATCTTGGCTCCTTGACTAGTCATCCTGCTTACCTAGTCAGTCCTATCATTTTACTAAGTGCTTATCTGCCTGAGCTAACTGTCTTGAATGTGATTCCTTGCTGGGATACATTCCATTCCAAATTGGGCACATTATTTTTCAGAATCTTCTCCTTTCTATATTTTGGGTATGCTCATTCTTCAACTTTTACCCCACAACAATATTCAGGCTTCTCCTATAGCTAATAGTTGTTCACACCGTGTTGTGACAGTATGCATTCGCATCTCGATTAGACAATTCATGATGAGGAGGCAGTGGGACATTGTCATTATAAATGACAGAGTAGAGCTTTCAGAATCTTCAAAGCCAACATGCTGTGCACATACTGACTTTGTTATACTGCCTACCTCCTAACACTTGCTGAGGAATGATAAAATGCAGAAACATTGAATTCACTGCATGTATATTTGGAGGTGGCGGGGAAGAGAGGAAACTGGAAAATCAGTAAGATCAGCTGTTTTGGAAGTGTGGGGCTATGATAAGATCTTAAAATCTTTGTCTAAAATAACTAAGAAACAAGACTCTTGAGTTCATATTTGTAATGAGTTAAAATTGATGAAGCCTTGTATCACTGCCTGGCCTTTATGTGAGGGTTTGCTTAATAAATAAATAAATAAGTGTCTCTTTTCCTGGAGCAGATACAAACACTGGCACTAATATAAAGGAGAGACCATGCCATGAATGAAGAAAGGAGTTTTTAATTTGATAACACATGATAGCTAATTATTAAATGCTAAAGTTTAATTTCGGTGTATTTCAGTGGATAATACATTGACAGTAAAAATATGGAATGATTATGGTATTTCATTGGGGAGCATTTTTCTCATAGAATGCATAAAAACAAAATATGATAAACAGTTTTGCAGATGGAAGAAGTTTAATGATATTTTGGAGTCATTTTGTTTGTACCCTAGATAATAAGCATGAGATTTAGTATGGATTTGTTTGATTTCCTTTTCCATCTGCAACAAACCTTAGCTAACTAGATATGTTGATTTTAGTCTTTTCATTTATATTGTAATTCAGGTTTATATTAAAGTTCTCATTTATAATCTCATACATTGAATATATCTACCTCATTTTAATTCATTTTTCTTTCTTCTCATTTTCTGCACTCAATTTTTTTGAGACTCTTTTTTTTAACCCCTTAGCTGAGAGTAACAATTTTTTTGACATTTATTTGTTCTAATGAACAATGCAATATTTCCTCAACACTAGCAATTTGACGTTTTATTTTTTTTTTTCTCTTACAATTTAACTACCTTTCCTTTTTGGTAAAGATTTCCTCTAAATTTTTCAAGGACTTAAATAATAATATTTGTTCAAAATATTTTTTTTTTTTAGTTACTCCCTCTAAAGAACAAGCATAGTATCACAGATAAAACACAAGGTTTAACCTCTGATTAACTCTGAATCTTAGTTCTGCTGCTTACCAAATGCATGGTCTTAGATATTTCAACATCATTTTTTTTAACTTATCTGTCAAACTGAGCAGATGTAATGCTTGCCTTAATCTCACAAGATTTGTGACAAAGCAATAAATTAAAGAAGTTAAAATTATGTTACAATTACAAATTAGTATGTGCCTGTCCATTATAAATGTATTATAGGACATAAACTTATTAAATACCAGCTGTTTCAATTAATATATCTGTATATATAAATGATTTTTATTGACTCAGAAGGCATTTATGGATCTCACTTTTTATTGTGATTATTATGATCATCAACTATCAACATGTTGAATAAGTTCAAAATTCAAACTTTTCCAACAATGGGTTTTTTTTTTTCACCATACAATGAGATAGATATTCAGTATAGTCATAGAACCTCAGGATACTCAGAGAGGTAAGACACCAAGCACTCAGCTTTTTTTTTTTTTTTTTTTTTGAGACGGAGTCTCGCTCTGTCGCCCAGGCTGGGGTGCAGTGGCGCGATCTTGGCTCACTGCAAGCTCCGCCTCCCGGGTTCACGCCATTCTCCTGCCTCAGCCTCCTGAGTAGCTGGGACTACAGGTGCCCGCCACCACGCCTGGCTAATTTTTTTGTATTTTTTTTTAGTAAAGACAGGGTTTCACCATGTTAGCCAGGATGGTCTCGATCTCCTGACCTCGTGATCTGCCTGCCTCGGCCTCCCAAAGTGCTGGGATTACAGGCGTGAGCCACCGGGCCCGGCCAGAACTCAGCTTTTTAGGTGAGGAAAAAAATAAACCCATTGAAGTCAAAAAATTTACCAAAGGTAATTGTTACAAGCCCGAATGTTTCTTCCTCAAATTTATGTGTTGAAGTCCTAACCCTCAGCACCTTATAATATGACTGTATTTGGACGCTTGCTATTTATTTATTTAGAGACAGAGGTCTCACTGTGTTACTCAGGCTAATCTTGAACCCCCAACCTTAAGCGATCCTCCTGCTGTGGCCTCCCAAAGTGCTGGGACTACAGGCACGAGCCAGCACGCCTGGCTGAGATAGGCTCTTTAAAAAGGAAATTGAGTTAATATGAGGATATTAGGGTGGTGACTAACCCACTGTGACTATTACACTTACAGGAAGAGGAAATTAGGACAGTGTAGCAACAGTGTAAAATCAGATGAAGAAGTTAGTCATCTACAAACCAAGGAGAAAGCCCCCAGAAGAAACCAAGCCTGCTGACGCCTTCAACTCCAACGGCAGCCTCTAGAATTGCCAGATACATTTCTGCTGTTTAAACTACTCGTTCTCTGTGGTACTTCATTATGGCAAACTTAGCAAACTGGTACACTGATTTAAAGCAGAGGCAGACTAAATCTCAGGTATCTACAATCCTTGCTCAAATTTTATTTTTAAAAATATTCTCTAATTAAGGAAATAAGTTACAAAACAAATAGGAAAGCAGTTAGCAATTACAGAGTGAAGAAAATACTCTGAAGGAAATATTATTTTAGGATGACATCAAGTCAGATGCTACAGTTTAGCCAATGTAGATGTTAACTAATAAATGTAAATGTTCATAGTTGATCCAGGTCATGAAACTTGCCTAGCAAAAACAAAATATTATTTGAATTCTGGACTATCTGAGTAGAATTGCATTGCAAAAAAATTGTATGCTGTCAATAGGGACAGCAGTGTGAAAGAAAGCAAAACCTAGAAGTTATCAGAGAGCCAATCATGAGTCCTATGAAATGGCTAATCCTAAATTGTCACATCAGGATCATGAGTTTGGTGTTCAGTGAGTTTCTTATAAAATTGTAATAATAAAACTTGAGCCAATGTGTGCTTCTGCATTCAAAGCTACAATTAGAGTTCTACTCTCCAAATGCACTTCTGCAAATAACCTCTCATTCATAAGCCTTCCATGACCTTTATGTTTGAAATTAAGTCTTTTTATAGCTTTTTTCTTGCTTTAAGTGCCATTCAGCTTAAATAAAGTCAAACATTTAAAAATAATGGATTTCATCTCACAAGCTGCTGTAGTCACTTAATTCACTCACTAATTCAGTGACATTCTCATAAAAATAACTTATTTTGATATTTTAGTGTATATAAATACTGCAGCTGACTAATGCCTACTAAAAACACATTTTCTGGGATACCAAAAAAATATGTATCATTATTTTAGGCTTTAAATGGCATATAAATGACACAAATAAATGGTTTTATTTAGATATAGTGACATAGCTATATTAGATAAAGTGACATAGCTCACAAACAAAAGTTTGTGAGTTTGCGTAACCTATGTAATTTGTGCAGTATCGATTTCTAAAATTCAGCTGTAGAACTTGGTACTATACTTAGATTTGCTTTCTGTATTGATAAATATTGAAATTGCAATTCTCACTTAGCATTTGAAATAAAAATGATCCCGAAGGTTCTATAATGGTTGCTTGAGCTCCTCCCTCTCAAATCTGTGTGCACTGTGCTGGGAATTCACACTTAGATATTATGGAGAATCAATTTGTAAGGGAGTAGTCTTTATTTCACTTCAATGAACTAATTTTATTTTAAATGAATGTATTAGAAAATTTGCTCAGAAAGTACTGATATATATTACATTATGAAAAAGAATATATTAAATCAGCACTCTGTGTCTAGCTCAGGGTTTGTAAATACACCAATCGACACTCTGTATCTAGCTAATCTAGTGGGGACGTGGAGAACTTTTGTGTCTAGCTCAGGGATTGTAAATGCACCAATCAGCACCCTGTCAAAACAGACCAATCAGTTCTCTATAAAACAGACCAATTGGCTCTCTGTAAAATGGACCAATCAGCAGGATGTGGATGGGGCCAGATAAGAGAATAAAAGCAGGCTGCCTGAGCCAGCAGTGGCACCCTGCTCTCAGGTCCCCTTCCACAGCGTGGAAGCTTTGTTCTTTCGCTCTTTGCAATAAATCTTGCTGCTGCTCACTGCTTGGGTCCACACTGCCTTTATGAGTTGTAACACTCACCACGAAGGTCTGCAGCTCCACTCCTGAAGACAGCAAGACCACGAACCTACCGGGAGGAAAGAACAACTCCAGATGCGCCACGTTAAGAGCTGTAACACTCACTGCGAAGGTCTGCAGCTTCACTCCTGAGCCAGTGAGACCATGAACCCACCAGAAGGAAGAAACTCCGAACACATCCGAACATCAGAAGGAACAAACTCAGAACACGCCGCCTTTAAGAACTGTAACACTCACCGCGAGGGTCCCCGGCTTCATTCTTGAAGTCAGTGAGGCCAAGAACCCACCAATTCTGGACACATTATGGTGACGTGTAATATGAGATCTTCGATGTTACTATTGCGATTGTTTTGGGGTACCATGAATCATGCCTAAATAAGACAGCAAACTTAATAAATGTGTGTGTTTTGACTGCTCCACCAATTGGCTGTTCCAACTCTCTCCTTCTCTGTCACTGTAGATCAAAAGCTAGATGTGACTAAGCTTTTCTCAGGAAGGCATGTCTACAGCTGAGATAGATTGAAAGCTAGGCCTCTTGCACCAAATAATTAGCCAAGTTGTCAGTACAAAAGATAAGTTCTTGAAGAAAACTACAAGTGCTACTGCAAGGAACATACAAATGATAAGAAAGTAAACAGGCTTACTGCAGATATGGAGAAGTGTTAGTGGTTTTCATAGAAGATCAAGCCAGCCACAGCATTCCCTTAACTAAAGCTTAACTGAGAGCAACGCCCTAGTTCTCTTCAATTCTGTGAAGGCTGAGAAAGATGAAGAAGCTGCAGAAGAAAAGTCCAAAGCCAACAAAGGTTGGTTTGTGAGGTTTAAGGAAAGAAGCTATCTCTGTAACACAAGGTGAAGCCGAAAGAATTGATGCAGAAGCTACAGGAAGTTATCCAGGAGATCTAGCTAAGATCATCGATGAAGGTAACTTTACTAAACGAGATGTTTTCAGTGTAGATGAAACAGCCTTATATTAGAAGAAGGTGCTATCTAGGACTTTCCTGGCTTCAAAAAACAGGTTGCTCTCTTGTTGGAGGCTACTGCAGCTGGTGACTTTAGGTTGAAGCCAATGCTCATTTAACACTCAGGAAATCCTAGGGCCCTTAACAATTATGCTAAAACTGCTCTGCCTGTGCTCTATAATTGAAAAAACAAAGCCTAGTTGACTGCACATGTATTTACTGCATGGTTTACTGAATATTTTAACCCCTCTGCTGAGATCTATTCTTCAGAGATTCCTTTGAAAATATTGCTGCTTATTGGCAACGCACCTGGTCACCCAAAAGTGCTGATAGAGTTGTATAAGGAGATTAATGGTTGTGTGTATGCATATTGATGCCTGCTACCATAACATCCATTCTGCAGCCCATGGTTCAAGGAGGAATTTTGACTTTCAAGTCTTATTATTTAACAAATACATTTTATAAGGTAATGCTGCCATAGATAGTCATTCCTCTAATGAATCTGGGCAAAGTAAATTGAAAACTTTGTGGAAATGATTCACCATTCTAGATTTCATTACAAACATTTGTGATTCACTATAGGATGTCAAAATATCAATATCCACAGGAGTTTGGAAAAAGTTGATGCCAACGTTTATGGATGACTTTAAAGGATTTAAGACTTCTGTGGAGGAAATAACAGCAGATGTGATGGAAATAACAAGAGAATGAGAATTAGAAGTGGAGCCTGAAGATGTAATTATATTGTTGCTATCTTACGAAAAAACTTACATGAATAACAATATGCTTCTTACGGACAAGCAATGAAAGTGGTTTCTTGAGATGGAATCTACTCCTGGTAAAGATACTGTGAACACTGTGGAAATAACAACAAAAGATTTAGAATATTACATAAACTTAGTTGATAAAGCAGTGGCAGGGTTTGAGAAGACTGTCTCCATATTTGAAAGAAGTTCTATTGCGGGTAAAATGCTGTCAAGCAGCACCACATTTTTACAGAAAAATATTTTGTGAAAAAAAGTACCAATCAATGCAACAAACTTCATTTCTCTCTCATTTTAATAAATTTCCACAGCCACCCTTATCCTGATCAGCAACCACGATCGTGATCAGTCAGCAGTCATCAACATAGAGGCAAAACCCTCCACCAGCAAAAAGACTGTGACTAGCTGAAGGCTCAGATGATCATTAGCAATAAAGTATTTTGAGCAATAAAGTATTTTAATTAAGATACATATATTATTTTTATACATACTATTGCACACTTAATAGACTACAGTATAGTGTAAACATAACTTTTATATACACTAGGAAACCAAAAAATTCATGTGACTCACTCATTTTATTGCAATATTCACTTTATTGTGATGGTCTGGAACTGAACTCACAATATCTCTGAGGATGCCTGTACTATGAAATCAAGAAATAAAAGATCCTCTGTTTCTGTTTATTATTTTAGGTGCAAAGGACTTTAAGTTTAATTTATTTTTGTTATTGTATACATGTTCATCCTAAATCCTCAGTTTTGTTGTTGTTGTTGTTGTTTTTTTTGGTTTTTTTTTTTTTTGCTTTTCAACCATTACATAAGCAAATATGCAGCAGTGCCAAGGCTCACAGTGGGACCTCCACTTTCTTAATTCTTCCTGTCTAAAACTGCACTAAGCAAATAAATATAAATTATTTTTAGTGAACAATTTTTCACCAGAACTTAGATTTCACTAAGTAGAAGTAAATTCATACCTTATTTGTGATGTTTTGAGCACAACTCACATTAAACGCCACTATAATACATATTCTACTACTCCTGGCCATTAAAGATGAGTACATAGAATAGGGACCAAGTGTTTGCAGCTAAGAGAAATTCAACTATGACCAGCAGGCCATACTAGAAGAAATATGGAAGAAGGTTGAGAAATTTTTTTTTTTTACAGTAGACATTGGAACAAGTTGTTTTTTCTTTAATTTTTATTTAACTAAAAATGCAATTTATTGGAGCCCAATTGTTCTGGAAATATTCCTAAAGTAGGTTTATCCTAATGAAGCCTCTTTCTCTCTCTTTCTCCTACTGTCTTTCTTTTAAAAATGTGTTTGATCCTTGGGATACAGCAGCGAATGAGATAGAACATAACTGTTAACCTCAAGGGACTCACGGCATTGTGTACCTAGTTTTAAAAACTGAATCCAATCAATATACAAAGATCTGAGGGTAGCAGAAAGTAAATTCTGGAGGCTACTTTTTCTTTTTATTCAATCACTTTTATTACACCTTTTTAAAGGCCTTGAGATATCTCCTAAATGACAAATGGTTTAGACTGTCTAGATTGGATGAAAGAGGAAGCCAGAAAGGAAGGAAGGAAACAACAGACCAAGGAGGATGTATATGTTTGCTGTGGTGTTTGGATTTAATTCTGTGGGCTACTGAGAGATTTTGAATGAGGAAAATGATATGATCAATATTCAGCATTAGAAGTATCATTTGGGTAGAGCATAAAAAAGGGTTGAAGGAGAATGTGGGTATCTTGAAGCAAGATTAGATACGAGGACATTTCAGTAATCCAGTTCACAAAAAAGAGGGACTGATAATGAGGATAGAAGGAAAGATGCAGATGTTTGTGCTCTGGGCACAATGTCTTGGCTCTCCAGGACCAAGCAGATCATTCCCCCCTGGTATGTGTGTTTGTGCATCTAGTGTTTTATATTTCATAGACCCCAGGAGGGCATGTTTGGGTAAGCAATGATTTACCTCCTGTCCCCGAGCCATGTATAATAAACCATATCTATCACCATCAATTTTCTCTGAAAAGTAGTAGGTGGATAACAGGAATGGACAGGGTTGTCCACAGATGTATTTACGGTCATATCCTATAATAACGATATTACTCTCTAAGTCACAAACACAATCTTCATCTGACAAATAGAAAGCCAAGTGCTGTGTAATAATAATAACATACCGAACTTGCTTTGATAATAAAGTCATCTCTCTTCTTCCCACCTGGAGCAGAAATACAGATGTGTGAAAAATGTGTTCTTTCCTGCTTATTTTTCCCACTCTTCCTTACCATCCCCACATGTTTAAGAAGGGTTCTGATCCTTCCAGGGTAGAGTCAAAACCCATCATTTCTGGGAAAATACATTTTGTAATTGCTGAAAGTGTTGTATAATTTATCCATGGAATCATCTCCATTAAAAACAAACAGTGTACTGGAATAGTGTTAATTTTGATTTAGGATGAAGAAAGGAGTGGAGTTGAGATTAAAAAAATAAAACCAAGAAAAGACTGTCATCACTATTTCATGAAAAGACCAGGAATAATCAGATCATGTAACCCATGGTTCTGGCCGCTTCATCACTTATTGTAAACACTTTATGGTATGGTCTACTTCTAGCTTTAAATAGGCATAAAGATGGCAAAATAACTGTGCTGAGTAGCCAATCATGAAAGTAGCTTGTCACTAGCCCTTGGACAGATGAGACATACTCTGTACTACTATAATGACATTCCCATGAGAGAATTAGCAAGCTGCTTTTCTCATATCTGTAATTCTTTCTCATATCACATCAGTTTCCTAAGCAAATAGGGACTCAAACTTAGTCACACCATTGACCTGAACTATCTGTGGTGGGTTCACATATCAAAA
This sequence comes from Homo sapiens, assembly GCF_000001405.40. Lineage (NCBI taxonomy): Eukaryota > Metazoa > Chordata > Mammalia > Primates > Hominidae > Homo > Homo sapiens. The sequence continues at coordinate 83,753,808 of NC_000002.12, forward strand.
GTGTGAACTGTGTAGTTTGGTCTTTTCTAGCTCTACTCATTTCCTTCATCATTTTTCTGGCCTTGTGGTTTTGCTCTCAGAGGATAAGCCCAGACCATAATTCCCTTTGTACCTTCTTGTCAAAACTTATCTAAGTTTCCATCCTTCAACTGGTTTTGTCTTGGTATATCTGATACACTAGTTCATGTAGCTGATATTGGTTTAATGTATTACTCATTACTCATATCCCACATACCATATTAATACTTTAACAGGAGCCAGCCATGGCTTAACCCTAGCTTTAAAAACTGAATCCAATCAATATACAAAGGTCTGAGAGTAGCAGAAAGTGAATTTTGGAGGCTATTTTTTCTTTGTATTCAATCACTTTTATTACACCGTTTTTAAGGCCTTCAGATATCTCCTAAATGACAAATAGTTTAGATTGTCTGAAATAAACTTCCTGAATAAACCTTAGACTTCCTGAAATAAACAAGGAAATGTCAGGTACTCTAGGAGGCAGATTCTGGAAACATGTTGAGGCAGGGAGTTCACTGTCTCTGTTCCTACTTAGGTCAAGTGTGTTTAAAATGCATTTTTCTGAACTGTAGCTGAGGGAAATATCTTCATATTTTTCCAAATATAATTTTGAACACATTGTCCACAGTGACATCTTCCTGTATATCTTCTTTAACATTTCATTTTAAAAAGTGCTTTCTATAAGCCAGACACTACGTAGCTTAAAGCCATGCAAAGAAAATTATCTGGACCCTAGGAATTTACAGTTTAAGATGAAAAAATGGCAAATCTATCAGCCCAATACAGGTTGTTATACAGGATTTTGAGATTAAGAGCCTCCTGTTCCCTGTCTGACCAGGATTTTCAAAACAAGATTGTTCGGTTCTATAGATTTATGACATGGAATGAATAAAGAACAAATAGATTTTCTCAGCCCACAAGTTCTAAATTCATGTTGAAAGAAGGAAGCCTATTCGATTATTTCTTTTCTGTCAGATTGTCAATTTTTGTACTTTTGGGTTGATTAAATTCAATACTTGAAAACTAAACATATATATATTTGAATGAAAGGGGCCAAATACACAGATTACTGTGATTTAAATTAAAATGGATTTGTTTTGCTTATTGTGTTGCATTTTCACATAAGGTTAAATTAGAATCTCTGTGAATGTTGTTTGGAATTCTCACACAAATATCTCCTATTAACCTTGACTTTCTTATTGGTTTTCAGATGGACTTTGTCAGTACGTTTTTCATGAATGCATCCTAAGAGACAAACATCTACCCTGTTATTTTCTCAGATGACTTTTGAAATGTTCACCACAACCTCTAGACATGCAGCCTCTTAGAAAAAAAATAATAATAAGGCTGTCTTCCCTAAGCTTTCTCTTTGATCAGCTCCAGACCAAGCGCTCTATCCATCAAAAGCCTTTGTCTTTTAACTGCTCTCTACTCTTCAGTATCTTCTAAATCAATGTCAGCAAGTTGTTACTCTCACATTGAAGATGCCTAGCAGGCATAGGCTCTGAAAATAAATGGAAAAAAAAAAGACTTTCAGAATCTCTTTTAAAAATATCTCATAGAAAAAAAAAAAAAAAACACAGGCCTGTGAAATATAACGTACTTTTATGAAAAGAAAGAATGAATGTAATCAAATGTTGACTGTGCGATTCTAACAGCAAATGTATGAAAAGATGGAACAAAGGAGAAATAACTGTCTTGGAGAGTTTTAAGTTGGATTGGGAAAAATGAGCAGAAGTTACACAGGCTGACAAAAGAGAGAGATAATCTGCCCAATTACCAGATAAAATAGCATAGGAACAGGGTCCATAAGTTCAGAGAAATATAACTTTCTTATCTGAAATAAGTGTATGAATTAGAAAACAAGTAATAAGTGCTTTCTATGTGCCAGATACTCTGCAGAGCACTGAGCATAGACCAAGTAAACAATATAGATGTGGAATTGCCAGCACAGAACTTATGCTCTAGCTGATATTGTCAGAAGTCAGATATTAAATAATCACTAGTAACTAACAATAAAACTACTAGTGTGCGAAGTATCATAAAGGAGTACAAGATGATAGAAGACTTTATGTTTGAGGGACTGAATAAAGGCCAGTGAAAGGAGGGAGAGCTGTGGAGAAGGACAGATCTGAGCCTAAGATATTTGCCAGGGACCAGGGCATGCTAATCTTTCTTACATATTTTGGAATGTATTCTAATTATAACAGGTAACCTTTCTGAGGATTAAACACAGCAAGAACCTGATTAGATATGTGTAAGGTTGGAGATAAAGTTAGAAAACTGAATTTTGATAAGCAGGCTTCAGTTCTGCCCCACCTCCCTTGACATTAATAGTCTATTACTTGGGCCTTGGTCTCATAATGCTTAAAATGGGATAATGCTGTGTAGGTCATAAGAGATCATGCAAGTAAAAGTTGCATTCAGTGTGTACATATGTGTCAGGGACATAAGCCACAAAAGGACCCATGACCTAGGCATCAAACCTAGACCTGTCTAATCCCACAATGCAGGGGTTGAACTATTATGCAATACAGTCTTTTAAGAATAAATTAGCTTTCTTTTTTAAAATTAATCTTGAATTTTAAACTTAATCTTTAAACTTAAAATTTAAACTCAACCATATAGACCTTCCTACTACTTTGATTTTATCTTTCATCAAAATGTAATTTTTTACTTCCAGTATTCCCATTAGAGTAATTTTTTTTCAGTTTATGAGGTCTTCCGCTTCTTTTAGGGCTTTATAAAGGTTGCAGCTCTATGTATGATAAACATTTGTTCAATTTGACAAAACAATTCTGGCAAGCAACTGTTTTCATGGTCTAGTTAGTAGTACCTATTTTGAAACCTTCTTAAGGGGCAAACATAATTCCTCCATCTAAGAATTGTCTTCTCAGCTCTTTTAGTGTCTCCATTTTTCCTATATCTAAAACAGTTTCTTAGACATCGAAATCTGTAAAATGCAATAGAGATTTCCTTCACTGAGGGATGACAAATCTGCCTTATGACACTTATTCCTCAGCTAGAAAGAGTAATGGCATCCTTTCATTTATTTCAAATGACTCCTGTTGTTGCAGGGGTGAGGATGCACATTGCTGCTGGTGAGGGTACTGATTTTGTGACATAGCATCAGTGGTAAGGGATTAGCCTGTTCAATATCAGAGTCTTAAGAGACAGACTGTTGTGTATATTTCCCACCATAGGCGATGAATTGTCCCTGTTGCTTTGCTATTGAAAGGGAACAATTCTTTCACTGTTCATTCTACCTTTAATGTTATTGGTTTATCTGGGTTAATGAGATGTTAATGAAGTTATAGGCAAGGTCCTCGAGATTTCATTCATAACTTAAAAGGCTAATAATAGGTAGTTTTTCTTTATAATTTTTATTGAGACATAACTAATATACAAAAGATCACACGCACTAAATATAGACATTTTGTTAAGTTTAGATACATGCATACACCCATGATACCATCACCACAACTAAGGTACAGAACATATTTATCACCTGCAGAAAATTTCCTTGTGTTCTTCTGTGTGTCTTTTTTTTCTGTTTTTTTTTTTTTTTTTTTTTTTGTAATTGGTAAGAACACTTAACATGAGATCTATCCTAGTTAAATATTTAAAGTGCACAAAACCCTGTTGTTATCTGTAGGTACTATACTGAAGAACAGGTAGCTCTCTAGAATGCATTCAGCTTGCGTAACTGAAACTTTATACATATTGAGCAACAACTGCCCTTTAATGCCTTTCCCAGGGCCTGATAATCACCATTCTATTATTGGCTTCTGTAAATTTGACTATTTAAAATACCTGACATAGTGGAAAAATGCAGTATTTGCCTTCTTGTGACTGATCACTCAGCACAATGTCCTCTGCGTTTATCCATGTTGTTGCAAATGGTATGATTTCCTTCTTTCCTAAGGCTGAATAATATTCTATTGTATGTATATGCTACATTTTCTTTATTCATTCTTTGATGCACATTTGCATTGTTTCCATATTTTGGCTATTGCAAATCACACTGCAGTGAACATATGAACACAGATATGGCTTTGAGATTCTGGTTTCAATGGTTTGCAATTTAATCCAGAGGTAAGATTGCCAGATCACATAGTAGTGCTATAATTAGTTTTTTGATGAACCTCTATACTGTTTTTCATGATGGTGTACCATTTTACATTTCCAACAAAAGTGTGTAAGAATTCCAAAAACTACATATCGTCACCAACAGTTATTGGTGCTTTTCTTGTTGTCGTTTCTTTAAATAATACTAATCTTAATATTGTTAGGTTATATTTCATTGTAGCTTTGATCTGCATTTCCCTGATGAGTAGTGATATTGAGCATCCATTAATATACCTGGTTTCCATTCATATGTCTTCTTTGGAGAAATGTCTATTCAAGTTTCTTGCCCATTTTTAATTGGGTTATTTGGTTTTGTTTTTTTCGTCTTGACTTGTAGGAGATTCTTATATATTTTGGAATATTGACCCCTTATCAGATACGTGGTTTGCAAATATTTTATGTCATTCTGTAGGTTGTTTTTACTCTGATGATTTCCTTTGCTGTAAAGGAGCTTTTGATTTTTATGTAGTCTCACATGTCTATTTTTGGTTTTGTTGCCTGTACTTCTTTTGTCCTTTTATTCTTAGTTGACACACAATAATTGTATGTATTTATGAGATACATAGAGATATTTTGATATATGCCTAAAATGAGTAATAATCAAATTAGGGTAGTTAGCAAATCCATATACTCAGAAATTTGTCACTTATTTCCATTGTGAATATTCAGAACCCTCTCTTCCAGCTTTCTGAAGATATACCATAAATTGTTGTTAACTATATTCACTCTATAGTGCTGTCTAAAACACTCGAACTTATTTCTCCTATCTGGCTATAATTTTGTATCCTTTAACTAGCTTCTCTCTATCATCCCTTTCCCCATTCATTCCCACTGTCTAATAAGCTCTATTCTACTGTTTACTTTTATGACCTTAGTTTTGATTTTTTGTTTTGTTTTATTTTATTCTGTTTCTGGAGACAGAGTCTCACTCTGTTAACCAGGCTGGAGTGTAGTAGTGCAATCACAGCTCACTGTAGCCTTAACCTCCCAGACTCAAATGATCCTCCCACCTAAGCATCCAAAGTAGCTGGGACTACAGGCGTGCACAACTACACATGACTAATTTTTTTTTAATTTTTTTGTAGAGACATAGTCCCACTCTGTTACTTAGGCTGGTCTTGAACTCCTGGGCTCAAGTGATCCTGCCACCTTGGCCTCCCAAAGTGTTGGAATGACAGGTTTGAGGCACTGCACCCAGCCTGCAAGCTTAGTTTTTTTAGCTCCCATGTATTAAGTGAGAATATGCAGTACTTATCTTTCTGTGCCTGACATTTCAAATAACATAATGTTTTCCAGGCTTATTCGTGTTTCCACAAATGACAGTATTTCATTTTTTATGGCTGAATAGTATTCCATTGTGTGTATATACCATGTTTCTTTACCCATTTATTAGTTGATTGACATTTGATTCCACATGGCTGATTCCATATATTGGCCATTGTTAATAGAGCTTCAGTAAACATGAGAATGCAGATATCGCTTTAATATACTGGTGTCCTTTCACATGGATAAATACCTAGTAGTGAGACTGCAGGGTTGTACATATATCTATTTGTAGTTTTTTGAAACACTTTCCTACTCTACTCCAATAATGAGCTACTAATTTACATTACCATCAATGGTTTATAAAATTCCCTTTTCTCAACATTTGTTATTTTTTGTGTTTTTTAAGGTAGCCATTTTAATTGGGGTAAGATATCTCATTGTGGTTTTGATTTACATTTTCTTGATGATCAGCAATGTTTAGCATATTTAAAATATATTTGTTGGTCATTTGTATGTCTTATTTTGAGAAATGTCTATTCAGATCCTTTGCCCATTTTTGAATCATATGATTTGCTTCTTTTCTGTCAAGTTTTTGAACTCCTTATATATGCTTGATATTAGTCCCTTGTCAAATAAATAGTATGCAAATATTTTCTTCCATTCTACAAGATGTCTCCACTATGTCAATTGTTTCCTTTACTGTGCAAAAATGTTTTAGTTTGATATAGTTTCATTTATCTATTTCTGTTTTTGTTACCTGTGCTTTTAAAGTCTTACTCATAAAATCTTTGCCTAGACCAATATCCTGAAATGTTTTCCCTATGTGTTATTTTATGAGTTTTATGGCTTCAGGTCTTATATTTAAATCTTGAAGCCATTTTGAGATGATTTTTTATATGGTGAAAGATAAGGGTCTAGCTTCATTCTCCTGTATATGGATATCTAGTTTTCCTAGCACTATTTATGGAAGAGACTGTGCTTTCCCTGTTCTATGTTCTTTGCATTTTTGTTAAAGATGAGTTGTCGGTAAGTGCATAGATTTATATCTGGGTTCTTTACTCTGTTCCATTGACCTATGTGTCTGTTTTTATACCAATATCAAACAGTTTTGGTTACTATAGCTTTGTAGTATATTTGAAGTTCAGTAGTGTGTGACTCCACCTTTCTTCTTTCTGAGGAGAATGGCTTTAGCTATTCGAGGTAACTTGAACTCCACGTAGATTTTAAGATTGTGTTTTTTCTATTTCTATGAAGAATGCAATTGGTATTTTAATATGAAATGCATTGAAGCTGTAGAGTACTTTGGATAGTATGGTCATTTTGCCAATATTGATGATTCCAATCCATTAACATGGGACACTTTTCCATATTTTGTGTTCTTTTAAGTTTCCTTAATCAGTGTTTTGTAAATTTCATTGTAGAGATTTTTCATCTCTTTGGTTAGATACATTCCTAGATATTTTATTTTCTTGTAGCTATTTTAAATGGCATTATTTCTTGATTTCTTTCTCAGCTAGTTTTCCTTGGAACTCTCCAAATTTGAATATTTATTTATTTTATTGTGTTTCATATGTTATATAAGCTTTTTTTCTTTCTTTTTTCATTTTGTTCAAGTTCATTACAAGTTCAGAAATTCTTTCATCTGTTTGACCTAGACTGATATTGAGGCTCTTAATTGTATTTTTTATCTTATTCATTGAGTTCTTCAGTTCCAGGATTTCTGTTTGGTTCTTTTTTATATCTCTTTGTTGAATTTCTCATCAAAATCATGAATATTTTTTCTGATTTTATTGAATTATCTTTCTTCTCTTGTATCTTGCTGAGTTTCTTTAAAGTCATCATCTTGAATTTATTTTCAGATGTTTCATAGATTTCCTTTTCTTTGCTATCTGTTACTAGAGAATTATTGTGTTCCTTTGGAGGTGTCATATTTTCTTACCTTTTTATTTTTCTTGTGACCCTACATTTGTATCTGCTCATTTGGTTGAATAGTCCTAATAATGTCATGAAGTAGATCTTTTAGGAAAAGACTTTTCCCTGTAGATGTGTCCTATACTGTCAGATGGGTAGGATACTTTGGCTTTGATTCTAGATGGTCAATACAGTGTAGTTTCTATGTGATTTCTCCAGCTATAATCAGCTTCAGCAGTGTCTGAAAATTCTTCAGTGGCCTAGGCTGTGGTTGGTTGTGAAGACTATGAAGCTTTGCTTAGGATGGGAGCACTGAGTGGGCTGGTCCTCAGGCTCCCATGCAGGTCACATATGCACTGAGTGATGGTGGCCAACCAGTCCCCAGGCCCCCAGGCTGGTGCCTGTGCTTTTCTTTCCTTTTTTTTTTTTGACATAATCTCGCTTTGTCACCCAGGCTGGAGTGCAGTGGCATGATCTCAGCTCACTGCAACCTCCACCTCCAGGGTTCAAGTGATTCTCCTGCCTCAGCCTCCTGAGTAGCTAGGACTACAGGCATGTGCCACCACGCCTGGTTAATTTTTGTATTTTTAGTAGAGACAGGGGTTCATCATGTTGGCCAGGCTGGCCTTGAACTCCTGACCTCAGGCAATCTGCCCCTGTCAGCCTCCCAAAGTGCTGGGATTACAGGTGAGAGCCACCATGCTGTGCTTTTGTTATAAAATTTGATTAATGCCCAGAAACTTTTCCTCTATTTTTTCTTCAAAGAGTAAGTTTTAGATCTCATGTTTAAGTCTTTCATCCATTTTGAGTCTATTTTCTGCGTATTGAGTAAAATAAGGGCTTTTCTCAAGGAAGTTCTACTAGTCATTTTTTTCAATTGTCATAAAACCTAATCTTTTAATTTTAATATACAAACTAGAAATTGAAACAGTTTAAACATATTTCAGACAAATATTTGAAGATAGAGCCAGTATTACCTACAAGAAAAACAAAAGTATTTAGGGAACAAATATTTGAAGGCTTGAATTAGACACCTTGAGAAATACTTATAACCTTTCATAAATTCTATTGAATCAATGAGCTTTCAGTTCTGCCCATTTTCTCTATCTTCCAGATTCATGATATTCTGAATCCCTTAACAGATTCTTCAAACTTATTCTGTTCATGAGATTTTCCCTTTCCTCAGCCTCAAGAAAATTACATTTCTATCTGTATTAAATTACTTTTAATATCTTCTTATAAGATTAATATCTGCTTACTCTGAATTCTGTTACTGAAATATCAGGGGTTCAGTCTAGATCCTGCTGCTTGCCACACAGAAAGCCAATCACTGGGACAATTCATGTTGCCAAGAAAGAATCCTTTAATCAGGTGCTGCAACCAAGGAGATGGGAGAACACTGAAATTTATCTCTCTTTTAATGGTTAATACTGAATGTCAATTTGATTGGATTGAAGGATGTAAAGTATTACTATTGAGTGTGTCTGTGAGGGTATTACCAAAGGAGATTAACATTTGAGTCACTGGGCTGGGAAAGGTAGACCCACCCTTAATCTGGGTGGGCACCATCTAATCAGCTGCCAGCCCAACCAGAATATAAAGCAGGCAGAAAAAACATGAAAAGGCTAGATAGGTTACTCTCCCATCCTACATCTTTCCCCCATGCTGGATGCTTCCTGCTCTTGTACATTGGACTCCAAGTTCTTCAGCTTTGGAACTTGAACTGGCTTTCTTGCTCCTCAGCTTGCAGATGGCCTATTGTGGGGCCTTGTGATCATGTGAGTTAATAGTACTTAATAAACTCCTCTTTATATATATATATATATATAATCTATCTTATTAGTTATGTCCCTCTAGAGAATCCTGACTGACACACTCCCTGACTGAGTAAAATTAGGGGTTTATATAGCAGGGAAGAAATGTAACCATGTGTGGGAAAACAGAAATTAGGGAAGGATAAGGAAGAGGAGCTGGTCAACAGGAAGCAGGTGGTCAGTTAAGCAATCATGAAAGGTGAAGGGTCTGGTGTCTCATGGTCCAGATGCAGAGATCTGGTAAGTTTCAGTTCTTTGATACCATCTTAGAGGCCTAACAGGTGATTTCCTGAGAAAGGAACTCAAATAAGATAAACATAACTCTTCCAAGTTTCAAGATTGGGAGGGTCCATTTCTATGTTTATTCAAAAGAAACCATAAACATCAGTTCTATGGGACAATTGGACCAGTTTCAATTCCAGTAAGTTCTTCTGTAATAACTTACAAATCAACAATATTTGGTTTTGCAGAGCAGGAAGGGAATTTGAGATAGCTGTTCCTTTCCTATTTCTCTCTTCCAGAAATACAAAAGGTAGAAATGGCTACCAAGATAATCAGGCGCCATCTCCACAATCTGGAATGGGATCCAAACATATACATTTAATAATTTTTTATTGGACTATACGTGTTTTAAATCCCCCAAATCTCATGGGTATATCAGAATAAATTATTAAAATGGAACATAATTTTGTAACCCCAACAAACATAGAGACAGAATATAACCAGTACACAAAGAAATTACTTCTCCCACACACTCTTAATCACTACTTCCTCTGACTTTCTAAAGTCAGAATCCTGACTATTCTGAATTCTAACATCGAAAATTTTTGCCTATTTTTAAATTTTAAATTAATAAAATTAGACATTTATTCAAATTATATGTATGCATAATTCATCCTTTTTTGGTGTACCTGTAGTTTGTTCATTTAAATTTGTTAGAATAATTGCATTAAATAAATATCCTACATTCTACTTATCCATTGTACTACTGATGACCCTTTGGGGATGGTTCCAATTTAAGGCTAATCTAGGTAATGCTGCTATGACCTTTATGTATTTGTCTTTGGTGCATACTGGAAAGCATTTCTACTGCTAACTACCTAGTAATGAAATTACTGGGTATTATGTTCACATTTATTTTACTTTAGGTACTGCCAGAAATATTTCCAAAGGGGCTATACTAATATTCACTCCATCTAGCAGTGTTTGAGACTCCTAGTTTTTCTGCAACACTATCAATATTAAGTATTATCAGCCTTTTATATTATAATAATTCAAGGAGGTATTTAATGGTATCTTTTACTGTTTCTAATTTGCATTTTACTCAATTCTCATAATTTTGAGCAGCTTTGCATGTTTCTTTTTTAGAACATCTTATTCAATCTAGAGTGCCTGTTCAAGTCTTTTGCTCATTTTATTTTTCTTAGAAATTTTCTCTTTTTATTGCTCATTTGTAGTTTTTAAAATGAGCTCTGTATAAACATATTGTTATATCTGTTGCAAATGTCTTTTTTCATTCAGAGGCTAATATTCTCAGTGGGGCATTTTAAGAAATACAAGGTTTTAACTTTAGCTCCAATATATCAATATTGTATTTCCTTGTTGGTGCTTTCTATGTCCTATTTATTATTTCCCTATCCAAAGTTCATAAAGATAGCTACCTACATTATCCTTTATAACCTTCATTGGCGTTTATGTTCACATTTAGAACTACAATCCACCACCTGAGGTTCTCTTTTTTTTTTTTTTTTTTAAGTTCCAAAGTACATGCAGGATGTGCAGGTTTGTTACACAGGTAAATGTGTGCCATGGTGGTTTGCTGCACCTATGAACCCGTCACCTAGGTATTAAGCCGAGCATGCATTAGCTCTTTTCCCTAGTGTTCTCCCCACACCGCCCTCTGCTGAGAGGCCCCAGTGTGTGTTGTTCCCCTGCCTGTGTCCATATGTTCTCATTGTTCAACTCCCACTTATAAATGAGAATATGCGGTGTTTGGTTTTCTGTTCCTGCCTTAGCTTGCTGAGGATAAGGGCTCCTAGCTTCATCCATGTCCCTCCAAATGAGTGATCTTGTTTCCTTATATGTCTTCATAGTATTCCATGGTGTATATCTACCACATTTTCTTTATCCTATCTATCATTGATGGTCACTTCTTTTGATTCCATGTCTTTCCTATTGGGACTAGTGCTGCAATGAATGTACATGTGTATGTATCTTTATAATAGAATGATTTATATTCCTTTGGGTATATACCCAGTAATGGGACTGCTGGGTCAAATGGTATTTCTCATTCTAAATCTTTGAGGAATTACCACATTGTCTTCCACAATGGTTGAACTAATTTACATTCCCACCAACAGTGTAAAAGTGTTCCTATTTCTCCACAACTTCACCAGCAACTTTTGTTTCTTGACCTTATAATAATTACTATTCTGAATGGTATGAGACAGTATCTCATTGTGGTTTTGATTTGTATTTCTCTAATGATCAGTGATGTTGAGTATTTTTCATATGTTTGTTGGTCCCATGTATGTCTTTTTTTGAGAAGTGTCTGTTCATGTCCTTTGCCTGCTTTTTAATGGAATTTTTTCTTTTAACTTTGCTTAAGTTCCTTATAGATTCTGAATATTAGATCTTTGTCAGATGGATAGATTGCAAAACTTTTCTCCCATTCTGTAGGTTGTCTGTTCTCTCTGATGATAGTTTATTTTGCTGTGTGGAAGCTATTTAATTTAATTAATCCCATTTGTCAATTTTTGCTCTTGTTGCAATTACTTTTGGTGATTATATCATAAAATCTTTGCCCTATGTCCTGAATGGTATTACTTAGATTTCTTTTAACGTTTTTATAGTTTTGTGTTTTACATTTAAGTCTTTAATCCATGTTGAGTTAATTTCTGTATAAGGTGTAAGGAAGGGGTCCAGTTTCAATTTTGTGCATATGCCTCATCACCATTTATTAAATAGGAATCCTTTCCCCATTGTTTGTTTTTGTCAGGTTTGTAAAAGATCAGATTGTTGTAGGTGTGTGGTTTTATTTCTGAGTTTTCTATTTGGTTTCATTGGCCTATGTGTCTGTTTTTGTACCAGTACCATGCTGTTTTAGTTACTGTCGCCTTGTAGTGTAGTTTGAAGTTGGGTAGTGTGATGCTTCCAGCTTTGTTTTTTTTTGCTTAGGATTGTCCTGGCTATATGAGCTCCTTTTTGGTTCCATAGAAAATTTAAAATAGTTTTTTTCTAATTCTGTGAAGAATGTCAGTGGTAGTTTAATGGGAATAGCATTGAATCTATAAATTGCTTTGGGAAGTACCGTCATTTTCATGATATTGATTCTTCCTATCCATGAGCATGGAATGTTTTTCCATCTGCTTGTGTACTCTCTTATTACCTTGAGCAGTGGTTTGTAGTTCTCCTTGAAGTGGTCGTTCACTTCCCTTGTTAGCTGTATTCTTAGGTTTTTTATTCTCTTTGTGGCAATTGTGAATGGGAGTTCATTCATTACTTGGCATTCTGTTTATCTGTTGTAGGTGTATAGCAATGCTTGTGATTTCTGCACATGGATTTTTGTATCCTGAGACTTTGCTGAAGTTACTTATCACCCAGATTTATAAAACTAGATCTTAAAGACCTACAAAGAGACTTAGACTCCCACACAATAATACTGGGAGACTTTAATACCCCACTGTCCATATTAGACAGATCATTGAGACAGAAAATTAACAAAGATATTCAGGACTTGAACTCAGCTCTGGACCAAGTGGACCTGATAGAGATCTACAGAACTCTCCACCCAAAAATAACAGAATATACATTTTTTCCTCAGTGCTGCATGACACTTAGTCTAAAATTCATCACATAACTGGAAGTAAATCACTCCTCTGCAAATGCAAAAGAACTGAAATCATAACAGTCTCTCAGACCACAGTGCAATCAAATTAGAACTCAGCCTTAAGAAACTCACTCAAAACCACACAACTACATGGAAATTGAACAGCCTGCTCCTGAAGGAATTCTGGGTAATAATAAAATTAAGGTAGAAATCAATAAGTTCTTTGAAACCAATGAGAACAAAAAGACAATGTACCAGAATCTCTGGAATGCAGCTAACGCAGTGTTAAGAGGGAAATTTACAGCACTAAATGCCCACATAAGAAAGCTAGAAAGATCTCAAATCAACACCCTAACATCACAGTTAAAAGAACTGGAGAAGCAAAAGCAAATAAACCCCAGAGCTAGCAGAAGAGAAGAAATAACCAAGCTCAGAGCAGAACTGAAGGAGATAGAAAAACAAAACACTCTTTAAAAAATCAACAAATCCAGGAGCTGTTTCTTTGAAAAAATCAATAAAATAGATAGACCGCTAACTAGACTAATAAGGAAGAAAAGAGAGAAGATTCAAATAAACACAATCAGAAATGATAAAGGGGATAACACCACAGAAATACAAACTACCATCAGAGAATACTATAAACACCTCTACACAAATAAACTGGAAAATCTAGAAGAAATGGATACATTCCTGGACACATACACCCTCCCAAGACTGAAGCAGGAAGAAGTTAATTCCCTGAATAGACCAATAACAAGTTCTGAAATTGAGGAGGTAATAAATAGCCTACCAACCAAAAAAAGCCCAGTTCCAGGTGATTTCCTGCAGAATTATTCTGGAAATACAAAGAGGAGCTGGTACCATCTCTTCTGAAACTATTTCAAACAATTGAAGAGGACAGATTCCTTCCTAACTCATTCTATGAGGCCAGCATCATCCTGATACCAAAACTTGGCAGGGATAACAACAAAAAAAGAAAACTTCAGGCGAATATCCCTGAGGAACATTGATGCAAAAATCTTTAATAAAACACTGGCAAACCGAATCCAGCAGCACATCAAAAAGCTTATCCACCATGATCAAGTCAGCTTCATCCCCAGGATGCAAGCCTAGTTCAACATACACAAATCAATAAATGTAATTCATCACATAACCATAACTAAAGACAAAAACCACATGATTATCTCAATAGATGCAGAAAAGGCCTTCAATAAATTTCAATCTCCCTTCATGTTGAGAACTCTCAATAAACTAGGTATGGAAGGAACATACAACAAAATAATGAGCCATTTATGACAAACCCCCAGCCAAAATACTGAATAAGCAAAAGCTAGAAGCATTCCCCTTGAAAACTGGCACAAGACAAGGATGCCCTCTCTCATCACTCTTATTCAACATAGTATTGGAAGTTCTGGCCAGGGCAATCAGGCAAAAGAAAGAAATAAAGGTATTCAAATAGGAAGAGAGAAAGTCAAATTGTCTTTGTTTGCAGATGACATGATCCTATATTTAGAAAACCCCATCATGGGGGGGGAGGAGCCAAGACGGCCGAATAGGAAGAGCTCCGGTCTACAGCTCCCAGCGTGAGCAACGCAGAAGACGGGTGATTTCTGCATTTCCATCTGAGGTACTGGGTTCATCTCACTAGGGAGTGCCAGACAGTGGGCGCAGGCCAGTGGGTGCACGCACCGTGCGCGAGCCGAAGCAGGGCGAGGCATTGCCTCACCTGGGAAGCGCAAGGGGTCAGGGAGTTCCCTTTCCGAGTCAAAGAAAGGGGTGACGGACGCACCTGGAAAATCGGGTCACTCCCACCCGAATATTGCGCTTTTCAGACCGGCTTAAAAAACGGCGCACCACGGGACTATATCCCACACCTGGCTCGGAGGGTCCTACGCCCACGGAGTCTCGCTGATTGCTAGCACAGCAGTCTGAGATCAAACTGCAAGGCGGCAGCGAGGCTGGGGGAGGGGCGCCCGCCATTGCCCAGGCTTGCTTAGGTAAACGAAGCAGCCGGGAAGCTCGAACTGGGTGGAGCCCACCACAGCTCAAGGAGGCCTGCCTGCCTCTGTAGGCTCTACCTCTGGGGGCAGGGCACAGACAAACAAAAAGACAGCAGTAACCTCTGCAGACTTAAATGTCCCTGTCTGACAGCTTTGAAGAGAGCAGTGGTTCTCCCAGCATGCAGCTGGAGATCTGAGAACGGGCAGACTGCCTCCTCAAGTGGGTCCCTGACCCCTGACCCCCAAGCAGCCTAACTCGGAGGCACCCCCCAGCAGGGGCACACTGACACCTCACACTGCAGGGTATTCCAACAGACCTGCAGCTGAGGGTCCTGTCTGTTAGAAGGAAAACTAACAAACAGAAAGGACATCCACACCGAAAACCCATCTGTACATCACCATCATCAAAGACCAAAAGTAGATAAAACCACAAAGATGGGGAAAAAACAGAACAGAAAAACTGGAAACTCTAAAATGCAGAGCGCCTCTCCTCCTCCAAAGGAACACAGTTCCTCACCAGCAACGGAACAAAGCTGGATGGAGAATGATTTTGACGAGCTGAGAGAAGAAGGCTTCAGACGATCAAATTACTCTGAGCTACGGGAGGACATTCAAACCGAAGGCAAAGAAGTTGAAAACTTTGAAAAAAATTTAGAAGAATGTATAACTAGAATAACCAATACAGAGAAGTGCTTAAAGGAGCTGATGGAGCTGAAAACCAAGGCTCGAGAACTACGTGAAGAATGCAGAAGCCTCAGGAACCGATGCGATCAACTGGAAGAAAGGGTATCAGCAATGGAAGATGAAATGAATGAAATGAAGCGAGAAGGGAAGTTTAGAGAAAAAAGAATAAAAAGAAATGAGCAAAGCCTCCAAGAAATATGGGACTATGTGAAAAGACCAAATCTACGTATGATTGATGTACCTGAAAGTGATGCGGAGAATGGAATCAAGTTGGAAAACACTCTGCAGGATATTATCCAGGAGAACTTCCCCAATCTAGCAAGGCAGGCCAACGTTCAGAATCAGGAAATACAGAGGACGCCACAAAGATACTCCTCGAGAAGAGCAACTCCAAGACACATAATTGTCAGATTCACCAAAGTTGAAATGAAGGAAAAAATGTTAAGGGCAGCCAGAGAGAAAGGTTGGGTTACCCTCAAAGGGAAGCCCATCAGACTAACAGCGGATCTCTCGGCAGAAACCCTACAAGCCAGAAGAGAATGGGGGCCAATATTCAACATTCTTAAAGAAAAGAATTTTCAACCGAGAATTTCATATCCAGCCAAACTAAGCTTCATAAGTGAAGGAGAAATAAAATACTTTACAGACAAGCAAATGCTGAGAGATTTTGTCACCACCAAGCCTGCCCTGAAAGAGCTCCTGAAGGAAGCGCTAAACATGGAAAGGAACAACCGGTACCAGCCGCTGCAAAATCATGCCAAAATGTAAAGACCATCGAGACTAGGAAGAAACTGCATCAACTAACGAGCAAAATCACCAGCTAACATCATAATGACAGGATCAAATTCACACATAACAATATTAACTTTAAATGTAAATGGACTAAATTCTCCAATTAAAAGACACAGACTGGCAAGTTGGATAAAGAGTCAAGACCCATCAGTGTGCTGTATTCAGGAAACCCATCTCACGTGCAGAGACACACATATGCTCAAAATAAAAGGATGGAGGAAGATCTACCAAGCAAATGGAAAACTAAAAAAGGCAGGGGTTGCAATCCTAGTCTCTGATAAAACAGACTTTAAACCAACAAAGATCAAAAGAGACAAAGAAGGCCATTACATAATGGTAAAGGGATCAATTCAACAAGAGGAGCTAACTATCCTAAATATATATGCACCCAATACAGGAGCACCCAGATTCATAAAGCAAGTCCTGAGTGACCTACAAAGAGACTTAGACTCCCAGACATTAATAATGGGAGACTTTAACACCCCACTGTCAACATTAGACAGATCAACGAGACAGAAAGTCAACAAGGATACCCAGGAATTGAACTCAGCTCTGCACCAAGCGGACCTAATAGACATCTACAGAACTCTCCACCCCAAATCAACAGAATATACATTTTTTTCAGCACCACACCACACCTATTCCAAAATTGACCACATACTTGGAAGTAAAGCTCTCCTCAGCAAATGTAAAAGAACAGAAATTATAACAAACTATCTCTCAGACCACAGTGCAATCAAACTAGAACTCAGGATTAAGAATCTCACTCAAAGCCGCTCAACTACATGGAAACTGAACAACCTGCTCCTGAATGACTACGGGGTACATAACAAAATGAAGGCAGAAATAAAGATGTTCTTTGAAACCAACGAGAACAAAGACACGACATACCAGAATCTCTGGGACGCATTCAAAGCAGTGTGTAGAGGGAAATTTATAGCACTAAATGCCCACAAGAGAAAGCAGGAAAGATCCAAAATTGACACCCTAACATCACAATTAAAAGAACTAGAAAAGCAAGAGCAAACACATTCAAAAGCTAGCAGAAGGCAAGAAATAACTAAAATCAGAGCAGAACTGAAGGAAATAGAGACACAAAAAACCCTTCAAAAAATCAATGAATCCAGGAGCTGGTTTTTTGAAAGGATCAACAAAATTGATAAACCGCTAGCAAGACTAATAAAGAAAAAAAGAGAGAAGAATCAAATAGACACAATAAAAAATGATAAAGGGGATATCACCACTGATCCCACAGAAATACAAACTACCATCAGAGAATACTACAAACACCTCTACGCAAATAAACTAGAAAATCTAGAAGAAATGGATACATTCCTCGACACATACACTCTCCCAAGACTAAACCAGGAAGAAGTTGAATCTCTGAATAGACCAATAACAGGAGCTGAAATTGTGGCAATAATCAATAGTTTACCAACCAAAAAGAGTCCAGGACCAGATGGATTCACAGCCGAATTCTACCAGAGGTACAAGGAGGAACTGGTACCATTCCTTCTGAAACTATTCCAATCAATAGAAAAAGAGGGAATCCTCCCTAACTCATTTTATGAGGCCAGCATCATTCTGATACCAAAGCCGGGCAGAGACACAACCAAAAAAGAGAATTTTAGACCAATATCCTTGATGAACATTGATGCAAAAATCCTCAATAAAATACTGGCAAACCGAATCCAGCAGCACATCAAAAAGCTTATCCACCATGATCAAGTGGGCTTCATCCCTGGGATGCAAGGCTGGTTCAATATATGCAAATCAATAAATGTAATCCAGCATATAAACAGAGCCAAAGACAAAAACCACATGATTATCTCAATAGATGCAGAAAAAGCCTTTGACAAAATTCAACAACCCTTCATGCTAAAAACTCTCAATAAATTAGGTATTGATGGGACGTATTTCAAAATAATAACAGCTATCTATGACAAACCCACAGCCAATATCATACTGAATGGGCAAAAACTGGAAGCATTCCCTTTGAAAACTGGCACAAGACAGGGATGCCCTCTCTCACCACTCCTATTCAACATAGTGTTGGAAGTTCTGGCCAGGGCAATCAGGAAGGAGAAGGAAATAAAGGGTATTCAATTAGGAAAAGAGGAAGTCAAATTGTCCCTGTTTGCAGACGACATGATTGTTTATCTAGAAAACCCCATTGTCTCAGCCCAAAATCTCCTTAAGCTGATAAGCAACTTCAGCAAAGTCTCAGGATACAAAATCAATGTACAAAAATCACAAGCATTCTTATACACCAACAACAGACAAACAGAGAGCCAAATCATGAGTGAACTCCCATTCACAATTGCTTCAAAGAGAATAAAATACCTAGGAATCCAACTTACAAGGGATGTGAAGGACCTCTTCAAGGAGAACTACAAACCACTGCTCAAGGAAATAAAAGAGGATACAAACAAATGGAAGAACATTCCATGCTCATGGGTAGGAAGAATCAATATCGTGAAAATGGCCATACTGCCCAAGGTAATTTACAGATTCAATGCCATCCCCATCAAGCTACCAATGACTTTCTTCACAGAATTGGAAAAAACTACTTTAAAGTTCATATGGAACCAAAAAAGAGCCCGCATCGCCAAGTCAATCCTAAGCCAAAAGAACAAAGCTGGAGGCATCACACTACCTGACTTCAAACTATACTACAAGGCTACAGTAACCAAAACAGCATGGTACTGGTATCAAAACAGAGATATAGATCAATGGAACAGAACAGAGCCCTCAGAAATAACGCCGCATACCTACAACTATCTGATCTTTGACAAACCTGAGAAAAACAAGCAATGGGGAAAGGATTCCCTATTTAATAAATGGTGCTGGGAAAACTGGCTAGCCATATGTAGAAAGCTGAAACTGGATCCCTTCCTTACACCTTATACAAAAATCAATTCAAGATGGATTAAAGATTTAAACGTTAGACCTAAAACCATAAAAACCCTAGAAGAAAACCTAGGCATTACCATTCAGGACATAGGCGTGGGCAAGGACTTCATGTCCAAAACACCAAAAGCAATGGCAACAAAAGCCAAAATTGACAAATGGGATCTAATTAAACTAAAGAGCTTCTGCACAGCAAAAGAAACTACCATCAGAGTGAACAGGCAACCTACAACATGGGAGAAAATTTTCACAACCTACTCATCTGACAAAGGGCTAATATCCAGAATCTACAATGAACTCAAACAAATTTACAAGAAAAAAACAAACAACCCCATCAAAAAGTGGGCGAAGGACATGAACAGACACTTCTCAAAAGAAGACATTTATGCAGCCAAAAAACACATGAAAAAATGCTCATCATCACTGGTCATCAGAGAAATGCAAATCAAAACCACTATGAGATATCATCTCACACCAGTTTGAATGGCAATCATTAAAAAGTCAGGAAACAACAGGTGCTGGAGAGGATGTGGAGAAATAGGAACACTTTTACACTGTTGGTGGGACTGTAAACTAGTTCAACCATAGTGGAAGTCAGTGTGGCGATTCCTCAGGGATCTAGAACTAGAAATACCATTTGACCCAGCCATCCCATTACTGGGTATATACCCAAAGGACTATAAATCATGCTGCTATAAAGACACATGCACACGTATGTTTATTGCGCCATTATTCACAATAGCAAAGACTTGGAACCAACCCAAATGTCCAACAATGATAGACTGGATTAAGAAAATGTGGCACATATACACCATGGAATACTATGCAGCCATAAAAAATGATGAGTTCATATCCTTTGTAGGGACATGGATGAAATTGGAAATCATCATTCTCAGTAAACTATCGCAAGAACAAAAAACCAAACACCATATATTCTCACTCATAGGTGGGAATTGAACAATGAGATCACCTGGACACATGAAGGGGAATACCACACTCTGGGGACTGTGGTGGGGTGGGGGGAGGGGGGAGGGATAGCATTGGGAGATATACCTAAGGCTAGATGACGAGTTAGTGGGTGCAGCGCACCAGCATGGCACATGTATACCTATGTAACTAACCTGCACAATGTGCACGTGTACCCTAAAACTTAAAGTACAAAACAAAACAAAACAATAATGTGTCAGACATGATACAAGATGATTTAAATAAAAGACCTCTTTAAATATCAAAAAAAAAAAAAAAAAAAAAAAAGAAAACCCCATCATCTCAGCCCAAAAGCTTCTTAAGCTTTTTTTTTAATATGGTCTGAGGTAGCATTCAGATTTATTTTTGTCTATATGGATATCCAACTGATTAGCGGTAATTGTTGGAAAGACTATCTCTTTCCCCAATGATCTGCCTTGATATCTGCATTATATTTCAAGTGTCTGTATATGGATTTATTGATTTATGCAGTATGGATTTATACTAATGATATTAAAAAAATGATTGGACCTATAACATTCTTACTCTTGAGGCTGCTATAAATGGCATCTTTTTCCTCTCTTTCTCTTTTCTTGAGACATGGTTTTGCTCTGTCACAGAGGCTGGAGTGTAGTGGTGTGATCATAGCTCACTGCAGCTTCCAACTCCTGGACTCAAGCAATCCTCCTGCCTCAGCCTCCCTTATAGCTAGAACTACAGGTGCACCTCTATGCCTGGATAATTTTTTTTTTTTTAATTTAGAGATGGCATCTTGCTATGTTGGCCAAGCTGGTCTCTAACTCCTAGCCTCAAGGAATCCTCCGGCCTCAACCTCCCAAATTGCTGAGATTACATGTGTGAGCTACCACATCCAGCCTAAATGGTATCATTTAAAATTTTTCTTTTTTTAATTATTTATTTCTAGTATACAAATATTATTGATTTTTATATTTTAATTTTGTATAAAGTGACTTTTTAATTTCATATATTAATTCTAACAGTTTATTTTATGTTTTTCTGTTTTTATGCATACAGTGTAATCTGTAATTATCATTTTATGTCTTCTTATTTAATCCTTTTATCATGCGTTATATTTTCTTGCCTTATTGATTTGCTTAAGTCTTCCAGAAACTATGAATATAATTGATAAAAGCAGGCATCCTGTCACTTTCTTGATCACAGGAAGAAAGCTTTTACATTTTACCATTGAATATAATAATAGCTGTAGTTTTTATGTTATTTAATATAGCTCGCAGCCAATTCAGGAGTTCATTGTTGTTACTACTTTTTAAAAATATTTTAATCATGAAGGATTGTTGGATTTTATTAGCTATAAGACTTACATAAATAGTTTATTTTTTTCTATTAAATTGTCAAATATATTAATTGACAAACTATCCTAGGAATCCCAAGATAAACTCAGTGAGATCATGTTATATTACTCATTTTGCGTATTCCTGGATAATAATGTTTGAATTTTTTTAAAAAGTTCTAAACTCTGTTTATTGTGTTTATTAACCTAAAGCCTTCTTTAAATGTTCTCATCAAGTATTGGTACGAAACTCTTGAGGAGGGTTTCATTTTTTAATTTTCTGTGGAAAAGTTTCTATTAGAGACTATTTTTCTCAGTTTTAAAACTCTTTTTTTTAGTTTTTTTGAGGTATAATTGACAAAATTGAATGAATTTAAACTGTACAACATTATGATTTGATTTATATATTGTGTAATGATTACCATGATCAAACTAATTAGCACATCTATTACCTCACCTACTTGCTATTTTGTTGTTATTTGGTGAGACCATTTAAGATTTACTTTCTTACCGACTTTCAAGTATACAATATAGTGTTATTAACCATAGTCACAATACTTTGCCTTAGATCCCCTGAACTTATTCATCTTATAACCAAAAGTTTCTACCTTTGATGAACATTTCACCATTTTCCCCGGCCCAGCTACTAGCAACCACCATTCAACTACGTTTCGACGAGTTCCACTTCTTTTAGACATAAATGAGATAATACGGTATTTGTCTTTCTCTAACTTACTTCACTTAGTATAATGGCCTCAAGTTTTATCCATGTATTCACAAGTGGCAAAATTCCCTGCTGTTTTTAAGACATAATATTCCATTGTATACACTAACCCGACCCCCCCCACACACATTTATTTATTTATTTTTTTCTTTATTCACCTATGAATGGACGTTAAGGTTGATTCCACATCTTGGCTATTGTGAATAATGCTGCAATGAACCTGGGAATACAGCTATCTCTTCAGCATAATGATTTTTTTTTCTAATATATACCCAGAAGCGAGATTACTAAATCATATGGTAGTTCTATTTTTAATTTTTTTGAATAACTTCTATACAGTTTTCCACAACGGCTATAGTAATTTACATTCCATTCCCTCCAACAGTGCACAAAGTTTCCTTTAATCTCCATCTTCACAACACTTGTTATCTCCCATCTTTTTTATAATAGTCATCCAAAAATGTGTAAGTGGTATCTTACTGTGGTTTTGAATTATATTTTCCTGACGATTCGTGACCTTGAGCCTTTTTTCTTGTACCTGTTGGACATTTGTATTTCTTCTTTGGAAAAATGTCTATTCAAGTCCTTTGCCAATTTTTTAATCAGATTATTTGTTTTTTTGTTTTTGTTGTTTTGGTTGCTGTTGTTCCTTTTGCTATTGAGTTTTATGAGTCCTTATATGTTCTGGATATTAATTCTTTATTAGGTATATGGTTTTAAAATACTTTCTTCCATGCCGTGGGTTGTGTTTTTACTTTGTTGGTTGTTTCTTTTGCTATGCAGACTCTTTTTACTTTGATGCTAGCCCACATATTTATTTTTGTTTTTGTTGACTGTACTTTTGGTATCATTCCCAAAAAGTAATTACCAATACCAATGTCGAAGAGGTTTTTATTCTATAATTTTTAAGAAGTTTTAAGGTTCAGATCTTACATTTACATCTTTGATTCATTTTAAGGTAATTTTTGTGAATAATGCAAGATAGGAGTTTAATTATATTCTTTTGCATGTGGATATCCAGGTTTTCTACCACCATTTATTTAAGAGCTTTTTCTTTCTCTTTTGTATATTCTTAGTACCCTTATCAAATATTAGTGTACTGCATATGTATGGGTTTTTTTATAGACACTTCATTCTGTTTCATTGGCCTATGTGTCTGCTTTATGCTAGTATCATACCATTTTGACTACACTACCTTTGTAATACATTTTGAAAGCAGGAAGTGCAATGCCTCCAGCTTTGTTCTTTTTTCTCAAGACTGCTTTGGCTATTTGGGAACTGTTGTGGATCCTAATAAATGTAAGCTTTTTTGTTTCTATAAAAATACCATTTAAATTGTAATAAGGATTACATTGAATCTATAGATTACTTGGTAATCTACAGATTACTTTAATTTTATAGACATTTTAACAATATTAATTCTTCCAAGCAGTAAACACATTATGTTATTACATTTGTGTCTTCTTTTGTTTTGTTAATCAATGTCTTATAGTTTTCAATGTGCAGATCTTTTACTTCCTTAGATTTGTTTCTAACTATTTTATGTATTTTTGATGCTCTGGCAAATGAATTGATTCTGTTCTATTTTTCAGAGAGTTCATTGTTAGTGTAGACAAACACAACTAATTGCTGTGTGTTAATTTTGTATCCTGCAATTTTATTGCATTTGTTTATTAGTTCTAACAGTTTTTGATGGAGTCTTCAAAGTTTTCTATTTATATGGTCATGTCATCTACAAATAAAGAAAATTTCACTTCTTCATTTACTATAGGGATGTTTCTACCTTTTTCTATTGCCTAATTGCTTTGGATAGGACATCCAGAACTGTGTTGAAGAGGAGTGGTGAGAGTGGGCATCACTGTATTATTCCAGATAAAAGAGGAAAAGCGTTAATATTTTTACCATTGAATATGATTTTAGCTGTAGGCTTGTCATATATGGTTTTATTATACATGTTGAGGTACATTCCTTCTATATCCAATTTGTTGAGAAAGTTTATCATGACAAGATTTTAAATTCTGTCAAATGCTTTTTCTTCATCTATTGAAATGATCATATGATTTTTATCCTTCATTTTCTTAATATGGTGTATCATATTTATTGACTTGCATATTTTGAACTAGGCTTCCATACCAGAGACAAATCTCATTTGATCTGGTGTGTGATCATTTGAATGTGCTGTTAAATTCAAATTGCTAGTATTTTGTTCAGAATTTTTGTAATTAAATTCATCAGGGATATTGGTCTGCAGTTTTCTCATGGTGTCCTTATCTGGGTTTCGTATAAGGGTAAATCATGGCCTTGTATAATTATTTTAGATATCTTCCCTTCTCTTCAATTTTTTGGGAGAGTTTGAGAATGATTGGCATGAGTTCTTCTTTAAATGTTTGGTAGAATTCACCAAAAAAGCTATTTGGTCCTGGGCTTTTCTCTTTGGGAAGTTTTTGATTACTGATACAGTATCATTACTCAGAATTGGTCTGGTCAGATTTTATTTCTTCATGATTCAGTCCTTGTAGGTTGCATATTACTAGATATTTATCCTTTTTCCTAGATTATACAATTTCTTGGCATATAATTGTTAATAGTAGTCTTTTTATGATTCTTTGTATATCTGTGGTGTACACTGTAATGTTTATTCTTTCATTTATAATTTTATTGATTGGAGTCCTCTCTTTTTGGTTAGTATAGCTAAAGACTTGTCAACTCTATTTATCTTTTCACAAAACCAACTCTTTATTTCATTTTTTTTCTATTTTTCTCCTGCAGAAGTATTTTTAAATAATGTCCCCTTAAACTTGTTCTATATCATATGGAAACAGAGTATTAAAATATTTCAATGTGATCACAGATTTGACCATTTCCCCACTTATTTTGGATGAGTTTTACTTTCCATATGCTATTGGGAATATACACATTTAGAATGTTATATATTTCTGGTATATTGGCCTTTTTATCAGTATGGAGTATACTTCCTACACAGAAGTTTATTTTTTGACGTTATAATAGCTAAAACTTTTTTATTTTTATTAGTCTTTGTATGGTACAGGTAAAAAACAAACAAACAAACAAACACACACTAACAACCACTCTGATTTCTTACCCCAGACCCATAGACACTTTGTAATATTATCATGAAATTAATTTTTTGTAACACTGTTCTTAGAATGAAGTCAGATAAGATAAATGTTTGAATTTAACTATGTGACATATCAAGTCAATTTCCTTGGCTATCAGATTTATTTATGGTAAGTAGTTTCATTGATTAGTTCTAGGTACACTGGAAGGCCCGTGATTTAGCTCTTGCTTCTAATAGTTTGGTTGATAAACACATATAGAAGTTAGGTGAGAAATGGAAGAGGTGCTTTCTCTGAGCTGAAATTGTGTGCACCTGTTTCACTCTCATCTTTTGTATTTGAAGGTATCTTGTTTGATGAATGGGCTGCAAATTGTGTCTGAGATGGCAAGTTTTCTCAGTGCAACTGCTGTTGGGCTGTGCTTATCTCCTGCTTTTTTGTGTTTTTGATTTGTTTTTCACTTAAAATTCAGTAAATAGGTATTGAAAACATTTTCACTTATGAATGATTCTGTCAATTCTGTACATAGAATCAGCTATGTCATTCTACATCATATGTCAATTGTCATGTAGTTTTGTCCTATCATTTTTCTTCCTTCCAAATTCTGAATACCTATATTTTTATTAAATATGTGTTTCTTATAATCAACAAAAAGTATTTTTAAACAAATCTAAGAATAACTGTCATTTAATTGGGGAATTTTGTTTATTTGTATTTAGTATAATTACTGTTACATTTGTAACCTACCATATCGTTATGTGTTTTCTATCTAGACGTATTGTTCTATGTTCCTTTTTTCTCTCTTTTTATCTATTTCAAGTTTAAGGTGTTTTACTGGTAGCTTTTACTTATACAAACTTTTACCAAATGTTGTTTGTTGTTTTTATGCCAGAAATTATAACATGCATTCTTGGCTGGTTGACATCTACTGTGAATAAATATTTTAACTGCGACCAAGACCAGTGTAAGGATTTGAGAAGAATTTAACTTCTTGTGCCCATCTCCAATATTTTATGCTATTGCTGTCTTTAATTCAATCATCTATCTATCTATCTATCTCCCATCTATCTTTACTCTGTCTCCATCTTTTATCATTTTCAATAGTCTCTGTACATATTTCCCATATTTGTCCCTTTTTACTTATCTCTGATTCTTTCTTCCTTCACCTAAGATTATATATTTCCTGCCTCGAGTTTATTATTTCACATATTTTATATATGTTGCTGCAAAATATTCTTAGCTTTGCTTTTGCTGAATGTGTCTTTATTTTGCTTTCAGAATGAATGATACTTTCATTTTATATAGAATTCTAGAGTGAAAGATTTTAAGTTTTTTGAAAATCAACCTCCATTCATTTATTTCTGCTTCAGACTGGACACTTTTTTTCTGACCCACCTTCTATCTCCCTAATTCTTTCTCTAGTCATGTCTAATCAGCTAGTAAGTACATTGCATCAGTCTATATCTAATCAGAGACAAAAACCACATACTAATTTAAATAGGTGGTGTTTAATAAAGAATTATTGAGAGGATTCCGGGAAGATAGCAGACTAGGAAGCACTAGAAATCTATCTTTTCACCTAGACAATAATTGAACTGGCAGAGTGTGTCTGATGTAGCTATTTCAGAACTCTAGACTATTAAAGGTTTGCAACTTCCAAGGGAAATCTTGAACAGTAGATTCTGGTTATTTTACTCAATTTCAGCCTGAAGCACAATAGTAGCTACCATTTCCCACCACCAATCCCATAGCAGGCAGCTAAACAGGCATTCTTGGAACAACCTCCACATAGCTTGTGGGAGCCAGAGAGGGCAAAAATAGCCCTGTCCTCCAAACATCAGGGATCTGTGCTCTAATTACTAATGCCTACTTTTGATTATAGAGATACAGAAAAATAGGTGGATGGCCATTGTAGGTGCACTCCCCTCATTGTTGCAACATTGCCCCCACAAGTGACTTCCAGGAAATTTAAAGGACCAGCATCCTTTCCCCTACATCATTTTTTCTCTTTTGTCTTTTTTTCCCCTTTGTTTGTGAGCCAGGCATTTAATACTAAGACACTCAAACTGCATGTATGGAGAAAATCAGAAAGTGACTATGCATGCCCAGGGACAGATACAGGCTCAGAACACACCAGAGAAGATATTTGTTTACATCTAAGGCTGATCCTTGGCACAGAGACAGCTGACAACAACACAAAATAATAATTTCTCAAAAACCCTAGGGAAAGTAGACAATATGATTTTTAGAATTACTACATTATTAGATTCAAATGCCCAGAGTCAAAAAACCACACACAAGAAATAAAAAATAGATAGAAACAGGAATGTGTGGTCCATTCAAAGGAAAAAAAATAAATCAACAAAACTTCCCCTGAAAAAGACTTTATGGCTGATCAACTAGACAAAGATGCTAAAACAACTATTTTTAAAATGCTCAAAGAATCAAAGGAAGATATGGAGAAAGTCAAGAAAACAATGTTTAAACAAAATGGAAATATCAATAAAGAGATAAATCTCAAAAGTTTGGAACTGAAAAGTACAGTAACTGAAATGAAAAATTAACTAGAGGAATTCAGGGCAGATTTGGGCAGGTAGAAGAAAGAAGTAGCAAACTGGAAGACAGAATAATAGAAAATATCGTGTTTGAGGTGCAAGAAGAAAAAAGATTGAAGAAAGTGAACAGACCCTAAGGAAGCTGTGGGACAACATATGCATTGTGGGAGTCTCAGAAAGAGAGGGAAAAAAAACAATGGGTCAGAGAGAATTTTTGAAGAAATGAAGGATGAAAGCTTTCAAAGTTGATGAAAGCCATGACCACCCAGGAAGCTCAGTGAACTCCAAGTAAGATGAACACAAAGGGACCCATACCAAACCACTCTATAATCAAACTTTCAAAAGACAAAGAGAGAATCTTCAAAGCAGCAAGAGAGAAGCAATTTGTCACACAGAAGGGATCCACAATAATATAATCAGTCGATTTCTCATCAGAAACGTGGGAGATACTCCCACATAAACAAAAGAGGAGTAAATGTATTACCACTAGATCTACCCTGCAAGAAATGCTTAAGGGAACGATGCAGGGTAAAATGAAAGAACACTAGATGGCACCTTGAAGCTGTATGAAAAAGATAAAGATATCGGTAAAGGCAAATACATGGCAATTGTAAAAGTTAGCATTATTAGCATTATTATACCAATAGATTGAATCTTCACTTTCTGTATGCTACATGATTTAAGAAACTAATAGATTTTTACAAAGCAATTATTAAAGACTAGTATTATGGTAACTTTGGTTTGTAACTCCACATTTTGTTTTTATATACTTTGGAGACTAATTAATGCATTTAAAAGAATCATTAGTTTATGCCTTAGGGCACACATTGTATAACACTGTAATTTTGTGTTAACAAAAATTACCCAACGACCACAGGTGAGGTGGCAACAGAGTTATTAAATAAGCAGAGCTTTTGTATGTTATTGAAGTTAAGCTGATATAAAATAAAATTAGAGCGTTATAACTTTAGGATATTAAATGCAATTTCCATGGTAACCACAAAGAAAGTAGCTATGGAATATGAACAGAAGGAAATGAGAATAGAATTTAAATGTTTCATTATAAAAATAATAAACACAAAGAAATATAGTAATGCAGAAAATGAGGGACACAAAAGCTGTAAGGCATAAAGAAAACCAATATCAGGCAGGGCACAGTGGCTCACACCTGTGGCTCCCAGCACTTTGGGAGGCCGAGGCGGGCAGATCACTTGAGGTCAAGAGTTTGGGATCAGCCTGGTGAAAATGGTGAAGCCCCGTCTCTACTAAAAATACAAAAATTAGCTAGGCTGGTTGCAGGTGCCCTGTAATCACAGCTACTCGGAAAGCTGAGGGATGAGAATCGCTTGAACTCGGGAGGCGGAGGTTTCAGTGAGCAGACATCGCGCCGCTGCACTCCAGCCTGGGAAATAGAGTGAGTGAGATTCCTTCTCAAAAAATAAAAAAGAAAAGAAATATCAAAATGACAGCAATAAATACCTATTTATCAGTAATTATTTTGAAATTAAATGGATTAAAAAGAAAGATTGGCAGAATGAATGATACAACCATACAAGATACTTTAGATCCAAAGATACAAATAGGTTGAAAGTAAAAGGATGAAAAAAGATATTCCATTATTCCATGTAAATATAACTGAAGGAGAACAGGAATGGCTATACTAATATCAGACAAAATAGACTTTAAATCAAAAAAGTTTACAAGAGACAAAGAAAGGTATTATATATTAATGAAAGTTTCAACACAGCAAGAATATATAAAAATTATAAATATTTACACACCTAATAACAGATCATCAAAACATAAGAAACAAAACCTGACAGATTTACAGAG
This sequence comes from Homo sapiens, assembly GCF_000001405.40. NCBI lineage: Eukaryota > Metazoa > Chordata > Mammalia > Primates > Hominidae > Homo > Homo sapiens. The sequence continues at coordinate 83,783,627 of NC_000002.12, forward strand.
AGAAACATACAGTTCTACAATTGTAGTTAGAGACTTCAATACCGCATTCTCAATGGAGAAAAAAACCAGATAGAAGAGAAGAAGTACAGAACACAAAAGGCAAAATAAGCCAAATGTACCCAACAACAACAGCCTGGATTTGGGGACCAGACTGCTCACAATCAAATCCTCGCTCTACCTAAGGCTGTCTACATAACACTAAATATGCATCAAAATGAGAAGTAAAATGCTAATTTATTAAAATGTATAAAATGTTTGGATCCACTTTGGCACATAGTAATAACTATATGATCTTTAGCAATTTATTATTTTTCTAATATATGGAAAAGAAAAATGATGAATTAAGTTCCCTGAAGCTCTTTCAAAAAGTCTTTTTCTTATTCAGCACAATAAACTTTATTATTTCTCTAAACAGGTCTAAAATTCTAATTGTAAAATGAAAACCTATCCAATTATATAATATTTCCTCATTTCCAGATATTTGGTACCGGGGTCCTAGTGAAATTCTGCAAATACCCAAAGGATATGGTCAATAAAATAAAAAGCCAGGTTCTCCTGAAAATGCTGGACCAATTGACTATTATCTTCCCAGTTCATTAACCATTTCTAAGAGAAATACTAGCTATTGTTTGGAACATTAGCTAGGCTCTAGTGTTCAACCTCAAGTCCTTGATTTCAACGAGAACTTACTTTCCAGGTTGAAAGTAACTTTCCAGGTATCTTCTTGTTTTCCTTTCATTCATTTATTTGCTTATTCATTCATATAACATTGAGATATATTATTCAATGAGCAAGCTGTTCCCCGCCTGAAGAATCTGTGGTAACCAAGAACTCCTAGACCCATGGGTTATCCTAAACTTGACTTGGCGTGGAGTCCTCATGCCAAACCCTCAAGATAAATAAATAAATATAATAAATATTATATTTATTTTATATTTAATATATTATATTTAATATATTCATTATATTATATTTAATAATCTATTATATTTATTATATTTATTTTATAACCAGGATAAATATATGTATATTTTATATATTTATGCATATAAATTTTATTTACATATATTTTATATTATATATTTGTTTATTCTAAATAACAAAGATAAATACATATGTATTTATATGTATATTTATAAATATATATGTATCTTGGTTATTCTAAACTGTATATATAAAAATATAAATATATATTCCAATAAAATATATATATTTATTTATCTTGGTTATTCTAAACTTCTCCTTCAGATATTTTAACTCCAATTTTGCCTTAATTCTTTGGCTTGTAAAAATAATGCCCTGGGATGCATTCTCCCTATTCTACAGGAGAAAAGTTTGTGTGCTCATGGGCTTGTGGAGGGAGTGGGGCTGTATGTAGCAAGGAGGGAGATAATGTATTGCTAGAGACAGCCAAAAAAAAGAAAAGACAATTACCTGCTGTTAGAGTTCAGCTCATTCAAGGAAAAGCCAACTGACATGTGAAATAAAGAGCATTTCCTGGGGTTTTATAACATGTGTTGCCGACAGCTATGGTGCACAGTTTATCTACAATCAGCTGAGAATTTCTGCTCAGAAGTATAAGAAATGGATTTTTCTCTCTAAATTGGGGCTTAGCAAGGGAACATGGGGAAATGAAGATGTCTGAGAGATTAGAGTCTACAGATTGCAGCATGAATAGTTTGAGCTAGTGACACCTCCCTGCCTTTACTTGTAAGCAACTCTTTCACAGGGAAGTTTCTAGGTTGTAGCAGAGTATTGGTGCCTTTCACAGATATTATTGTTATCATGGGTGGAGCTAGAATGCTTCACTCCCATTGGAGAAGAGATTATAATAAAAATGCAGACACAGGATTGTGGAAGGAGCATTTTTCTAATAAACCCCCAGTTAAAACAGAAATACTTCTATAGAGGAAGTTGAGGTACTACTCATTTAGTTTCATAGATGTTGTTACTATTCAGAAAGCCTTTAACTGAAAATTAATGTGTTAAAACACATTACCACTATCTTCAGCGTATTAAGTTCTTCTGGATCAAAAATTGAAATCAAATAGTATTCAGTATTTTTTCGTCAGTTATTTACATATATAAAATACATATACAAATGTTTCAATATTTTTATATTTTCATCAGTCATTTACATTGTACAAGGTGCTGTTACGTACTGGAGACAAAAATCTATGGCATGCCCACTTTCAAGATAATTTTCGTACTCAATTGTGTTTAGATACTGAGAACTGAATCCAATATACATTCTTTTTTTTTTTTTTTTTTTTTTTGAGATGGAGTCCCGCACTGTGCCCAGGTTGGAGTGCAGTGGTGCAATCTCAGCTCACTGTAAGCTCTGCCTCCTGGATTCACACCATTCTCCATTCTCCTGCCTCAGCCTCCTGAGTAGCTGGGATTACAGGCATATGCCACCACACCCAGCTAACTTTTTGTGTTTTTAATAGAGATGGGGTTTCAATGTTGGCCAGGCTAGTCTTGAACTCCTGACCTCATGATCTGCCCGCCTCAGCCTCCCAAAGTCCTGGGATTACAGACGTGAGCCACCATGCCCAGCCTGACATCCATTCTTGTGTCTATCCTATGCTACCAATTCTCGAACAAAGTATGTTTCTCTGTTTTTGCTGAAGAATGCTTGAATTGGGAAAAAATTACTTAGCCATTTGCTTCAGGAAATAACTGTTCTTGGAAAATGAAACTGAACAAACTAAACAGATAACTTATCAAGAATAACAGCTTGTTTGTCAGTAATCACTTTAAATCCACACTTCGTTGCACCTACCATTCCAAAGCTGTTTTCTTATAAATTTTGCCTAATTCAAACAGTTTCATCCCTTGCAAAGCCTACTTTTTTGTCTTTTGAATAAAAATGACCCTACGCAAGCCTTTATACTATAAGTATTGTGTTCTGAATGCATCCTTTCTAAGACATGTTAAAATTCTGCCAAAGTGATAGTCTCCTTTACTGTGTTATGTTTAATAAATTTAACTTTGTTTTCATGTCTTCAGCAGGTTTTTCTGGTAGCCAGTTTTGGGAGTTTAGCACAGGAGTTGATGGCTTGTTTTTGCCCAATCTAATAGCTAAAAATTGTTTTTACATTTTGAAGGGTAATATATGAAATAATAATATGCAACAGAGACTATCTAATCCTTTTCAGAAAAACATTGCCGATCCTTGCACTAGACTGAGACTTGAGGAATGACATCAACTCTACTACTACTAACTGGATCTGCTACATGGGGCTGCAGGAATTTGAATATTTTGCTGAATCTTTTTGCAATTTACATTATCACCAGTCTTAAGTGTCCATGGTCCTTCCCAGGCCTCTGTCTGCAGTTTTATTGTGATCTGTTTTCTAAAAATGTCTCCTTTTAGTTATTAGAAACAACGTATTTCTTGTTCCAACAAAGTTCCAAGCTACATTTGTTTTAGGTTAGCATGTGAATGTGAATTGAGCAATTGTATATTTTCCTTAATTCTAATTATCATAGTTTATAAATAGAATTATGTTCTGATCTCCCTTCCTTATTACCCACCAAATCACACACAGCTGAAAGAAAATTTGAACTGAATATGTTGAAAAGTTTACAGACTGTTTTGTCTTTGTCAAATATAGTATTAATATCATCGTGGCACATGTTTGGCAGATTTAAAATTATATGGACATATATGATAAATTCAATATACAGCTGGACAATGGTCAGGCCATAAATGACAATAAAATCTGCCCCATAATCCCTGTGGCAACCAGCCCAGGAAGCCAACTATAACCTCTGCAAGCAATCAACCCAGAATGCTCAGCACTTGTCAGTGATTGCCCAGCTTCCACAATGTTTGCCCTTGATTCCAACTCAGGATCAATCAGAGAAAGCCACATATGCTTTGAAACCAGTCACATAGGATGCTCTACTTTTAGGTAGCCCCATGCCAAAAGCCTGCAATCAGGGTAAACTGAAGCTTTTCCTTTTGTCCCCTATAAAGCTTCCCACTCTGCTGACTGCCTCTGAGTCTCTGCCCATTTCAAGTAATGGTGACTGATTCTCTTGCCGCAGTGAGCTCTGCAGAAATACTCTGTGCTTGATCTCATGTAGTGGTCTTTATTTATTTATGCTGTATTTTCAAAGGCAAAAACAAATATATCTTATTTACATACATTCCCCTTTGCTTTTGGTTTTTTTGTGATGGGTTAATCAGCCTGGCATCTGCCACTCTGGAAACAGCCATTTCTCTTCTCCTCCCCCAGTGCTAGGTGTGAACTGTGTGAATGCTTTTGAATATCACTAAGTTACATTTAGTATTAACTTAAAAATTGAGAGTAGAAAGTAAGATACTGCCTGAGCCTGTGAAAGCAGGCACTACCATATGAGAAAATTCTTTAGGTCCATGATATTAAACGTTTTATCTACCTTGCCTTTTATTTGTTTTTTCACTTGAACATTTAGTTGTGTATTTTGCTTTTCTAATTTATTACGACTTTTCCTGGAAAGTGTTTAGTAGTACAGGAACAACATATTGGAATCCTGAAAAATGGATGCTAACCACATATAGAGAATTATAGTTTAAAAGAAAATGTACTAATTAAAACAAGTCTCAACTATTGAGTTCTGAATCTATTTTATTGCAAGTCTAGCTCTATAAAGAGTTTGTGGGTACCTGTGTATTGCACAAGTTAAATGTGAAACACTGAAACTAGTGAAAGATGATTTTATGGAAGGAATGTGTATGTTTCATGAAAAATGATGCAGTAGCAAAAGCCATACAGCAAGCATGTAGCTATCAAAGACAAGCTGAGTATCTCACCCTCTTGACTGCAGTGAGTCCTGCTCCATTAATGACTATCAGAGACTTGCCATTATGTCTTATTGAAAATGTTCATCCATGTTATGGTTAAGGCATTGTGTGCTTGAATATAATAATAAACACTTTACATGTACATACATATAATTTCTTGATTTTAAAACATTCATCATTCCATGTTTTGACTATTCCCAAACCAGGATGTGACTTCGAATTCCTGCCAAAATAATCCTTCCAACCCTAGAAAAAAGAGTTAAGTGCTAATGTAGGCATTACTGCTGCGCGTGCATGAATTCTGCCCTGTGAAAATGATCTCTATTGACAGTATTGCCTCAGTTCAGTTATTTGCACAACTATCACTATATGCAATTGAATTATAACTTACATTTGCACATCATCATGACTGAAAATATTTTACCAAAATTAAACTGAGAAGCAACACTAATAGTAGACTATATATGAGATACTGTAAGTACAAAAAAAGTATAGAATTAAAGTAGAGAAAGATAGTTTTACTTTTCATGCGCTTCTGTGTGAAGAGACCACCAAACAGGCTTTGTGTGAGCAACATGGCTGTTTATCTCACCTTGGTGCAGGCAGGCTGAGTCCAAAAAGAGAGTCAGCGAAGGGAGATAGGGGTGGGGCCGTTTTATAGGATTTGGGTAGATAAAGGAAAATTACAGTTGAAGGGGGTTGTTCTCTGGCGGGCAGCAGTGGGGGGTCACAAGGTACTCAGTAGGGGAGGTTTTGAGCCAGGATGAGCCAGGAGAAGGAATTTCACAAGACAATGTCATCAGTTAAGGCAGGAACAGGCCATTTTCACTTCTTTTGTGGTGGAATGTCATCAGTTAAGGCAGGAACCAGCCATCTGGATGTGTACGTGCAGGTCACAGGGGTATGATGGCTTAGCTTGGGCTCAGAGGCCTGACATTCCCGTCTTCTTATATTAATAAGAAAAATAAAACAAAATAGTGGTAAACTGTTGGGACAGTGAAAATTTTGGGGGGTAATATGGAGAGATAATGGGCGATGTTTCTCAGGGCTGCTTCGAGTGGGATTAGGGGTGGCGTGGGAACCTAGAGTGGGAGAGATTAAGCTGAAGGAAGATTTTGTGGTAAGGGGTGATATTGTGGGGTTATTAGAAGAAACATTTGTCGTGAAGAATTATTGGTGATGGCCTGGATACAGTTTTGTAGGAATTGAAAAACTAAATGGAATAAGAGAAGGAGAAAAACAGGTATAAAAGGTCTAAGAATTGGGAGGACCCAGGACATCTGATTAGAGAGTGCCTAAGGAAATTCAGCATAGTCCTGCCAGCAAAGATTATTTATTTACTTCAAGAGTTAAGAGTGGCAGTTTGGGGATAGCACCAGGAGATATCAGCTGTGATGGCTTGGAGAAACAGTGTAAACCGGCAGTGTAAACAAGAGCAGGGCATGTATGAGTAGTTGAGAATGGTGAATAGGAGTATGACTAGACAGAAGATAGTAGGGATGACAAGTTTTTTAGCGGCACAGTCTAAGTTGGTCTGGTGTCAGGAATGAGACTGGGGCCTAATAAAAAGGAGCTCAAATGGATTGTACCCTGTAGCATTCTGAGGACAGGTCTGACTTCTGAGAAGGGAAAGTGGTGAAAGTATTGTCTAGTCCTTTTTAAGTTGGTGGCTGAGCTTGGTGAGGTGTGTTTTTAAAAGACCATTAGTCTGTTCTACTTTTCCTGAAGATGGAGGATCGTAAGGGATATAAAGGTTTCACTGAATACTAAGAGCCTGAAAAACTGCTTGGCTGATTTGACTAATAAACGCTGGTCTGTTATCAGACTGTATAGAGGTGGGAAGACTAAACTGAGGAATTATGTCTGACAGAAGGGAAGAAATGACTGTGGTGGCCTTCTCAGACCCTGTAGGAAAGGCCTGTACCTATCCAGTGAAAGTATCTACCTAGACTAAGAGGTATTTTAGTTTTCTGACTCAGGGCATGTTGAGTAAAGCTAATTTGCCAGTCCTGGGTGGGGGCAAATCCTCGAGCTTGATGTGTAGAGAAGGGAGGGGGCCTGAATAATCCCTGAGGAGTAGTAGAATAGCAGATGGAACACTGAGAAGTTATTTCTTTGAGGATAGATTTCCACGATGGAAAGGAAATGAGAGGTTCTAAGAGGCGGGCTAATGGCTTGTACTATAGCATAGCCTGCCTTTGCTGGTGTGTGGCGATTAGACCTGGTGGAACTGCCATCAATAAATCAAGCATCAGAGTGAGGAACAGGAAAGAAGGAAATATGGTGAAATGGGGTGAATGTCAGGTGGATCAGAGAGATACAGTCACGGAGATCAGGTGTGGTATCAGGAATAATGTGGGAGGCTGGATTGAAGTCCGGACCAGGAACAATGGTAATTGTGGGACTTAACAAAGAGTGAGTACAGCTGAAGGAGCCGAGGAGCAGAAAGTATATGCATCAGGTATGAGGAAGAAAATAGATTTTGGAAGTTAGGAGAAATGTAGAGAGTGAGTTGAGCATAGTTTGTGATTTTGAGGGCCTCTAAAAGTATTAGGGCGGCAGCAGCCACTGCACGGAGACACGATGGCTAGGCTAAAACAGTAAGGTCAAGTTGTTCAGACAGAAAGGCTACCGGGAGCGGTCCTGGCTCTCATATAAGAATTTTGACCGCACTAACCATGCCTAGGAAGGAAAGGAGTTGTTGTTTTGTAAGGGATTGAGAGTTGGGAGATTAATCGGACATGATCAGCAGGGAGAGCACATGTGTTTTTATGAGAATTATGCCGAGATAGGTAACAGATGAGGATGAAATTTGGGCTTGATGAAGTAATGGGGGCTGCCTGTGAAGCCTTGCGGCAGTACAGCCCAAGTAATTTGCTGAGCCTAATGGGTGTCAGGGTCAGTCTAAGTGAAAGCAAAGAGAGGCTGGGATGAAAGGTGCAAAGGAATAGTAAAGAAAGCATGTTTGAGATCCAGAACAGAATAATGGGTTGTAGAGGGAGGTATTGAGGATAGGAGAGTATATGGGTTTGGCACCACAGGGTGGATAGACAAAACAATTTGGTCGATAAGGCGCAGATTCTGAACTAACCTGTAAGCCTTGTCTGGTTTTAGGACAGGTAAAATGGGGGAATGGTAAGAAGAGTTTATAGGCTTTAAAAGGCCATGCTGTAGCAGGTGAGTGATAACAGGCTTTAATCCTTTCAAAGCATGCTGTGGGATGGGAGATTGGCATTGAGTGGGGTAAGAGTGATTAGGTTTTAATGGGATGGTAAAGGGTGCATGATCGGTCGCTAAGGAGGGAGTAGAGGTGTCTTATACTTGTGAGTTAAGGTGGGGAGATACAAGGGGAGGATGTGAAGGAGGCTTTGAACTGGGGGAAAAGGCAGCAGTGAGGTGTGGCTGTAGCCCAGGAATAGTCAGGGAAGCAGATAATTTAGTTAAAGTGTCTCGGCCTAATACGGGAACTAGGCAGGTGGGGATAATTAAAAAGGAGTGCTTAAAAGAGTATTGTCTAAGTTAGCACCAGAGTTGGGGAGTTTTAAGAGGTTTAGAAGCCTGGCTGTCAATACCCACAACAGTTATGGAGGCAAGGGAAACAGGCCCTTGAAAAGAAGGTAATGTGGAGTGGGTAGCCTCCGTATTGATTAAGAAGAGGACATACTTACCCTCCACTGTGAGAGTTACCTAAAGCTCGGCGTCCGTGATGGTCTACGGGGCTTCCAGGGCAATCGGGCAGCATTAGTCTTCAGCTGCTAAGCCAAGAAGATCTGGGAAGGAGTCAGTCAGAGAGCCTTGGGCCAGAGTTCCAGGGGCTCTGGGAGTGGCTGCCAGGTGAGTTGAACGTCCGATTTCCAGTGGGGTCCCGCACAGATGGGACACGGCTTAGGAGGAATCCTGGGCTGTGGGCATTCCTTGGCCTGGTGGCCAGATTTCTGGCACTTGTAGCAAGCTCCTGGGGGAGGAGCTTCTGGAGGAACGCCTGGCCACGGCAGTTCAGGCGTTTGGAAGTTCTTGTGTGCTGGAGATGTGGCTGGGGTTTGTCTCACAGTGGAGGCAAGGAATTGCAACTTTTTTCTATTATTGTACACCTTGAAGGAGAGGTTAATTAAGTCCTGTTGTGGGGTTTGAGGGCCGGAATTTAATTTTTGGAGTTTTATTTAATGTCGGGAGCAGATTGGGTGATAAAATGTATATTGAGACTAAGACAGCCTTTTGACCTTTTAGGGTCTAGGGCTGTAAAGCGTATCAGGTTTGCTGCCGAATGAGCCATGAACTGGGCTGGGTTTTTCATATTTGATGAAAGAGCCTACATGCTCACTGATTTGGGAGAGGTCTGATAAAGAAAAAGGAGCATGAACCTTGACTATGCCTTTAGCTTCAGCCACCTTTTTAAGAGGAAATTGCTGGGCAGGTGGGGGAGGGCTACTCACGGAATGAAACTGTAAACCAGACTGGGTGTGAGGAGGGGAGGTGATAAAAAGATTATAGGGTGGAGGAGCAGGCCGAGGAAGAATTGGGACCTAGCTCGGCCTGGCGAGGAGCAGCCTGGGGAGGAGGGGAGAGGTCAGATGGGTCTGTAGAAAAGGAAGATTAGAAAGACTCAGCGACGCTTGGGGTTGGGACTGAGGGGACAGGTGGGAGGGAAAGAAGGAAGATTTGGGATGAGTTGCATTGGGAACAGAGACTAGAGAGGGACCGATGTGTGAAAGAATGCCTGGACGTCAGGCACCTCAGACCATTTGCCCATTTTACGACAAGAATTTTTTAGATCTTGTAGGACAGAAAAATTGAAAGTGCTATTTTCCAGCTATTTGGAACTGTCGGGTTTGTATTGGGGTCAAGCGGCATTGCAGAAGAAAATAAGATGCTTAGATTTTAGGTCAGGTGAAAGTTGAAGAGGTTTTAAGTTCTTAAGAACACAGGCTAAGGGAGAAGGAGGAATGGAAGGTGGAAGCTTGCCCATAGTGAAGGAGGCAAGCCCAGAGAAGAGTAGATACACGGAGAAGGGGTGGGGGGGTTCTTGCCCTCCAGAAAAGCAGAGAAGGGGTCAGGGCACAGAGATACGAGGTCAGGGCACGGAAATAAGGGATCAGGGTGCAGAGATATAAGAGGTTGGGGCGTGGAAATAAGGGATCGGGGCACAGAGATACGAAGTTGGGGTACTTGCCTCTCCCCCAGAAAAGCGGGACTTGCTGCTAAGGGTGAAGGACCAAGGCAGGTGTCCCTGCGTGGTCTGACACCTCTGAAACCTGGGTGAATAATCAGAGAGGTGTCCCTGCAATGATTAAACACCAAAGGAAGGCTGCCTTCCCTAGTCCCTGACTGGCACCAGAGTTTTGGTTCCACGGATAAAACGTGTCCCCTTTGTCTCTACCAGAAAATGAAAGGAATTGAAATTAAGAGAAGGGAGAGATTGAAGTGTGGCACCAAGATTGAAAGGAGAAAGAGGTTGAGGGATAGTGAGGGAGGTTGGAGAAGAGAGTAAAAAGAGGCTGCTTACTGGATTTGAAATTGGTGAGATGTTTCTTGGGCTGGTTGGTCTGAGGACCTGAGGTCATAGGTGGATCTTTCTCACAGAGCAAAGAACAGGAGGATGGGGGATTGATCTCCCAAGGGAGGTCCTCCGATCCGAGTCACGGCACCAAATTTCATGTGCGTCCATGTGAAGAGACCACCAAACAGGCTTTGTGTGAGCAACATGGCTGTTTATTTCACCTCGGTGCAGGCGAGCTGAGTCCAAAAAGAGAGTCAGCGAAGGGAAATGGGGTGGGGCCGTTTTATAGAATTTGGGTGGTAAAGGAAAATTACAGTCAAAGGGGGTTGTTCTCTGGCGGGCAGCAGTGGGGGTCACAAGGTACTCACTGGGGGAGCTTTTGAGCCAGGATGAGCCAGGAGAAGGAATTTCACAAGACAATATCATCAGTTAAGGCAGGAACAGGCCATTTTCACTTCTTTTGTGGTGGAATGTCATCAGTTAAGGCAGGAACTAGCCATCTCGATGCGTACGTGCAGGTCACAGGGGTATGATGGCTTAGCTTGAGCTCAGAGGCCTGACATTACTTTTAGAAGGTAAGTAAATTTGTATCACTGGAAGAATAACCAACTTAAAAAATATAAAACAACAACCAAATACTTTATAGGACTTTAGAAGAAAAATACCCAAAACTGTAACTGAAATTCTTGTCATCAAGACATCAGGAAAACTATAGAAGAGTTTCCTGACATGTCAGGCACTGCAATTAAAGGCTCTTGTAACTATCAAACCTTTTTGAGTAGATCAAGCATTTGCAAAACTGGAGAGAGAGCATGGCTGATTCTAACATAGTGAAGGAACATTAGCAAGGCACTAAAAATCAACCTGGCAAAAGTTGTCAGTGGCCTCTGGCTAGGCATGGTGGCTCATTCCTGTAATCCCAGCACTTTGGGAGGCCAAGACAGGAGAATCACTTGAGTCCAGGAGTCTGAGACCATCTGGGCAACATACCGTGACCTTGTCTCTACAAAAAAATTAACAAAATTAGCTGAGAGTGGTAGTTGCACCTGTAGTCCCAGCTACTTGGGAGGCTGAGGTGGGAGGATCACCTGAACCCAAGAGGTGAATGCTGCAGTGAGCCAAGACCATACCACAGCACTCCAGCCTGGGTGATGGGGAAGACCCTGTCTCAACAAAACAAAGCAAAACAAACAAGCAACAATGAAAAGTTGTTTAATTTTACATGATAGACAAATTCAGAGAAAAAATGTACTATTATTTTATTCAAATCAGAAATGTAGATAAAACCTCAATCTTTTTTTCTTACCACAAAATTATTCTGTTAATTTTATTGGTATTAAATGGGTCTCAATCACAAATCTACTAAAGAAGTAGTACGTCTCCATGTTGCCATACAAAACAGTCAAAAATCAATAGTAATTATGTTTTTAGAGCCTGAATGTGAAGAAATGTTCAATTCTTCGAAATTTTAGATTCTAAGATGTATTAAAATTTTAAATAATATTTAATTATATAAATACATGATGCTGTTGGCTAATTGGACAGTATTTTTGTTTATTTAAGGGAGCATAATTGTTTCCTGGAAAAGCTGTTATCAAAATAATGATGTTTGTTAATGTCACAGCCATCTTAGAAATAGGAAAATGTAATGACATTTAAAAAATCATTATCTTAAATTCTCCTCCTCGTCACTGGGAATATAATTGAAATAGTATTAACAATGTAAGTTAATATGAGGATATCAATGCAGTATCATGTCTCAGAATACAAAATCTGCAATTGATCAGGGGTATCATATTATATACATCCATATTTTACAGGCTAAAAACATAAAAACCTAAGTGTGCCAAAATAACTCCCCAAGGCTGGACATACATGGCCTTAAATCCCAAGATTAGCATCACGCGTGATGGTAAGGCATCAGATGTTAACTCGACTCAGACCTCATATTACCCAGGGAGGCAATGACAGAGCCATTATTCAGACTTGGTATGACTCCCAGGCCAAAGTTCTTTCTCCCATGCACACTAGGTCATCATTCCTTCATCAAGCTGTCACTGCAGTAGAATAATGATGGTGTCAGTAGAGCTGGATAAGAGCCTACACTTAATACAGTTTTGAAAATGGCAAAGCTTATTTAGCAAAACACAGTCAATGTCATTTTCCACTATGATGTGTCATATCTCAGCACCTTTCTGGAGCACAGTTACTTGGAGGAATTTTTTCACCAGGAACCTGTGTTGATCAGATGACCACAGGGTACCACAACCATATAGCCTCACCACTATTGGTGGCAATACAGCATATACTCAGTTTTCAAAGAGTTGCTCTAAGTTTAGACCAGGTTGAAGTGAGAAAGGGCATGGAGGAAGAGGAGAGGAGAGGAGGAGAGGAGAGGAGGAGAGAAGAGGGGAAGAGAAGAGAGAAGGCATTCTGGGTTGCACAGCTTTGTGTACCAGATTAATAAGAAAAAATTTCAGGGCACAGTACCCAATTTTAAAATAATTGCCATTTTGTGAGATTTTATTTGTCTCAGTTGACAGAATGTTATGAGTTCTATAATCAGAGGCTGGGCAGATAGAAAGGATCAGCTATAAGCCAGAAGTCTCAGGTATTCCAATTACAGGCTGTATTCCTTTGAGCAATATCTTCTCTCGGTTACAATGTCAACATCAGTAAAATATGGATAAGAAAAGCAAACTTTTTTGGCTCCCAAGGTTGCTGTATGGTACAAGTAAAATTAGACACAAACAATAGTAGCAACAATTGTGATGGCCATTTCTATCCATTAAATCACAGAACTGTGTATCTCCATTCTACAGATGATAAAAGTAGGGCCAGATGAGTGTTCAGTGAGTTCAAATTAAAGGTCCAAATACATCATTCTTCCTATTCTATCTCTTTGCATATGTAGATATGTAGTCAACTACAAAGCTCTGTATGAACAAATAAGCTTTTAGTTTTATAAACTAACAGAAAAATCCTGATTATTTGATCATTTTTTTCTCTCCATAAAATCTTTTAAGGTCATTAGTAGAAGCTAATTTCAAATTTAGAGTTGTTAATTTTGGTGTATATTTCACTGATGCTTTTTACATTATTGAGAAAAAAATGTGATACCGCCAGTTGGAGGACCATTTGGCCAGCCGTGGTCATGCATTCCTGCCACATCACTCTTCATAAAATTCAAAATAGCAGACATCTTTTTAAACTGAGGTAAATTCACATATTCACCATTTTAACAATTTTAAACTGTACAATTCAGTAGTGTTTAGGACAGGGTGGTGCCGGCATCACCACAATCTTAATTTCAGAAAATATTTATCACCCCAAAAAGAAACTCCGTAGCCATTAAACAGTCATTTATTGCCATTCTCCTTCCCCATTCACTACTGGAAACCACTAATATTATTGTCTTTATGAATTTACCTATTCTGAACATTTCATAGATATGGAATCATAATATGTGTTTTTTTGTGACTGGCTTCTTTTACTTAGCCTAATGTTCTCAAAATTCACTGATATTGCAGCATGCCTCAGGACTACATTTTATATCTAAATAATATTCCACTGTATAGATATAGCACATTTTTTTTTATCCATTCACCAACTGATGCATATACAGGCTTTTCCACTTTGGGGTATTAATAATAATACTGTTTTGAGTGCTTATGTACAACTGCTTAACATCTGTTTTTAATTCACTTGAGTACATACTTAGGAGAGGAATTAGTCATATGGTAATTCCATGCTTAATTTATAAAGATTCTCACCAACACTTGTAATTTCCCATGTTTTTAATTATAATCATTCTAATGGATATAAACTGGTATTTCATTTTGATTTTCATTTAAATATTCTTAATGACTAATGGTATTGAGCATCTTTGCTGTGCTTATTAGCCATTTGTACATCTTTGGGAAACATATCTATTCAAGTCTTTGTCCATTATTTTTCCGTTGGGTTTTTTGTACTTTTGTAAATTGAGTTGTAATAGTTTTTATAGATTCTAAATACTACTCCCTTGTCAGATATATAATTTGCAAATATCCCCTCTGTGGGCTGTCTTTTTGTTTTCCTGATAATGCCCTTTGATGCACAAAAGTTGTTAATTTTGATGAAGTCCTATTTGTCTTTTTTGTTTTGTTTTTGTGTTTCTGTCTTATCTAAGATTTAACTGACAAAACCAAGTTTATGAAGATTTGCCCCTAGGTTTTCCCCAAAGAGTTCTGTTGTTTTGGCCCTTATGTTTAGGTATTTAATTAATTTTGAGTGTATTTTGTATATGGCATGAGGTAAGGCTTCAACTTCATTCTTTTGCATGTGGTTTTCCAGTTGTGTTAGCACCTTTTGTGGAAGAGATTATTCTCTCTATCAAATGGTCTTGGTACCCTTGTTGAAGATCAACTGACTGTAGATGTATAGGTTTATTTCTGGATGTTCAACTCCATTTATCTATATGAATATTTTTATGCCAGAACCATGCTGCCTTAATTACTGTCCTTTGGTCATAATTTTTAATTTGGTCAGTGCGAGTCCTCAAAATTTGATCTTCGTTTTAAGACTGTTTCTATTATTTGGGGTCCCCTGTAATTTCATATAAACTTTAGTATTAACTTGCTCATTCCTGGAAAAAAAATGAAATTTTTATAGGGATTGCATTGAATCTGTAGATCTATTTGGGGAGTATTACCATCTTAAGTCTTAATCGTCATATTAGATCTTCCAACCCATGAACACACAATGTTTTTCCTTTTATTTAGGTCTTTTCAAATTTCAAAATAACACTGTTTTGTACTTTTTAATGTTTAAGACCTGTATCTCCTTGGTTAAATTTATTCCTAATGTTTTATTATTTTTGATGCAATTTTAAATGGAATGGTTTTCTTAATTTTACTTTTGAATTGTTCATTGCTAGAGTGTAATACAACTAATTTATGTGCATTATAAATCTTGTGTCTTGCAACTGGATTGAATTGGTTTCTTAGCTCTAAAGTTTTGTGGATTATTTAGAATTTTCTACATATAAAATTATGCCTTCTGCAAATAGATGGTTTAATTCTAACTTTCAAATTTGTATGTTTTTTATTTCTTATTCTTATTTCCTGACTGATACTTGTAGTGTGATTCTTAAATACCAATGGCAAAACAAAGCACTCTTACTTTGTGCATAATCATTGCAGGAGAGGTTTCAGTCTTTCATCATTGAGTTTGATGTTAGCTGTGGGTATTTAAAAATAAATGCCCTTTATCTGGTTGAGGAAGTTTCCTCCTATTTCTATTTTGTTGAGAATTTTCATGATTATCATTTTGTCAAAGGCTGTACCTATTTACCTATTGAGATAATCATGTGTTTCTTTCTGATTATATTAATATGGTGTATTACACTGGTTAGTTTTCATATGTTGAACCACCTTTCTTTTATCAGATAAATTTCATTTGGTCATGGTATACAATCCTTTTATGAGCTATTGGATTAGGTGTGCTAGAATTTTGTTGAGAATTTCTGCATCTTTATTTGTAAGTCATATTTTATAATGATCTATTCTTGTCACGTCTTTGGCTTTGGTATCATGGTAATATCAGCTTCATAGAATGAGTTTGGATTTATTCTTCAGTTTTTGTGGAAGAGTTTAAGAAGATTTGATATTAACTTTTCATTGCAAGTTTGATCTGTTCAGACATGTTCCCTTTTGGTTTAACTTTCTCTCTTTTTCTAGTTCCTTGAGGCAGAAAGTTATGTCATTGATTGGCTATTTTTATTCTTTTTTAATGTAGGAGCTCATAAGTATACATTTCCCTCTAAATGCTGCTTTCTTTTCATCTCATAAGTTCTCATGTGTGGTGGTTTTATTTTCATTTATATGAAAGTATCTTCAAATTTCACTTGTGAGAAAAATTGTTTTCTTTTTTATTTGACCCATTAACTTCTTAACAATGTTTTCCTTTATTCTCCACGTATTTGTGAATTTTTCAAATTTCTTTCTGGATATTAATTTCTAATTTCATTCTCTTGTGATCTGTGATCTAAGACTTTTAGGATTTTAATCTTTTAATAACTTACCAAAACTTGTTTTTTGGTCTAACATATGATTTATACTGGAGAATGCATCTGGGCACTTAAAAACAACGTATATTCTGCCACTGTTGGGTGTAGCATTCTATAGATGTCTGCTAAGTTTAGTGAGTTTATATTTTCTACTCTTCTAATTCCTTGCTGATCTCCTATTTTTTCCATCCATTATTGAAATTTGGGTATTAAAGTCTCTATTATTTCTGAACTATTTGTCCCTTCAATTCTATAAATTGTTGCTTCATATATTTTGGGCTCTGTTGTTAGGTGTTGGAAGGCATTGTCATTATCTCTTAGGTAGAACTGTAGAGTAATGAGGTCTCCTCATCCTCAAACATGAAAATGTGGCTAAGACACTGGAGAGGCACCAAGTATCAATATACTTTCCTAAATTAATTGACAGCCAGTATTTTCACACTTTCTTTACTCATCTCTAACTTTATACAATGGATTTCTGTGCAGCAAATGAAAAGAACACAACATGACTACAAGCAACAATAGGAAAGACCCTCACAAATATAATTTGAAATAAAAAAAGATAAAAAAAGTGTATAACATGTGATTCCATTTATATAAAGTCCAAAAACAGCCAAGCTAATCTATGATATTAGAATTCAAAATAGCTGTTACTTTTGAGGTATAAACATGATGAGGAATGGAATAAAGAAGGCTTCTGGGTGCTGGTAATGTTCTTATTTTTTTATCTGAGTGCAGGTTATATAGGTAGAGTCACTGTTTTGAAAACTCCTTGAGGTATAAACTTATGTGGACTTTTCCTTGTATATTATGCTTGGAGAAAAGAAAAATAGTAAAAGCAACACTTTAAAAAACTATATAAAACTTTAAGAAACTATATAAAAAATTCACATGTGTATAATTGTTGAAAAATATTTGGACCCTGTTCAAAGGGTACAGCTTCAAATTAATCAAATGAGATTCAAGGCATAGAATTACCGATATCAGCTGGCAGGTTAAAAGAATATTGTTATGAGGAGAATTTTAATTATATATATCATTTTAACTATTCAAATGAAGTGTAGAAACCATACCTTCTTTTACATCTCTTTACTCTCCCCTATTCATAATTTGGTTGTGTTACATATTTTCTCTAAATAAATATATTTAGAACCACATCAAGCAGTGTCATATTTTTCTTCAATCATTAAACATAAATTAGAAAACTCAAACAAAGAAGAAAAGACTATTTTATATATTGATATATTTATTAACCTGGTTTCTTATTCCTCGATGATATTCCAAAATTACATTTTTGTTGTTTCTGTTCTGCTTAGATAGCTTATTTTAGCCATGCTTTTAGAGTAATTCTGCCGGCAACCAGTTACCTTAATTTTCCCTTATCTCAGAATGTCATGATTTTCCCTCCTTCCTGAAAAATACTGTTACTGGATATAGGATTCTGGTTGATAAATTGTTTTGTTTTGTTTTGTTTCTTTCAGCACTTTAAAAATATTGTGCCACTTTCTCTTGTCATGTTTTCTAAGGAAAACTCCAGTCATTTGGGTTTTTCTTTTTTTTCTAGTAGATAAGGTGCTATTTTTATCTCACTGATTTAAAGATTCTGCTTTGTTTCCTCTTAAGTTTTCAAAAGTTTGACTGTAATATATCTTGGTATTAATTTTCGGGGGTTTCTCTAATTTGAGATTCTTTCACCATTTTGAGTCTGTACATTTATGCCTTGGCAAATATGAGAAGGTGTTCTTTGAACACTTTTCAAACTCACTCTTCTTCTTTCTGGGGTTTCAATAACACAGATTTTAGATGTTTTGTGACAGTCCCACAGGTCCCTGAAGTTCTGTTTTTGTTTTTTGTTTGTTTGTTTTTTTCTTTTCTCCCTTCAGTCTCTTTTCACTGTGTTGCTCTCAAATTAGGTAATTTCCACTGTTGTATCTTTTTGTTCACTGATTTTTTTCATATGCTTTCTTTATTCCTCTGTTGAGACATCCATTGGAATTTTTATTTCAGTTACTGAATTTTTACTTTTAAAATTTGCACCTGGTTATTCTTTATATTTTCTATTTATTTGCTGGGATTTTTGTATTTTGTCGCTTTTCTTTCTTTTTTTTTTTTGGAGAGGGAGTCTCGCTCTGTCACCCAGGCTGGAGTGCAGTGGCGCGATCTCGGCTCACTGCAAGCTCCGCCTCCCGGGTTCACGCCATTCTCCTGCCTCAGCCTCTCCAAGCAGCTGGGACTGCAGGCGCCCGCCACCACGCCCGGCTAATTTTTTGTATTTTTACTAGAGACGGGGTTTCACCGTGGTCTCCATCTCCTGACCTCGTGATCCGCCCGCCTCGGCCTCCCAAAGTGCTGGGATTACAGGCGTGAGCCACCGCGCCCGGCCCGCTTTTCTAAAGCATGCTGTTAATTGCTTGTTAAAACATTTTTTAAAATCATGGCTGCTTTCAAATCTTTGTCAAATAATTCCAAAATCTCTGTCATCTCCATGTCAGAATTTATTATTTTTAGTGAAGTTTGAGATCTCCCTGGTCTTTGTTATGAGTGATTTTCAGTTGAAACCAAGACATTTTAGGTATTATGTTATGAGACTCTGTATCTTACTTAAATCAGTTTAACTGGCTGCTTTGGATACTACTGTGGTGGGAAAAAGGAAGACCTTTTTACTGCCATGGGGGTAAAAATCCATATTCTCTACTCAGCCACCCTTAACACCCAAGGAGGAGGATCCTCAATCCTTCTGGGCCAGTGGAAAAGTCACAGTCCTCCACTGCTGGCGTGGAAGCCTCCCAGCTGGGAAGAGTGGGCAGGACCATTACCGCTGCCCACGTGGCCTCCACCAGCACCACAGTGTGGGCGGCTTCATCGCTGCTGAGCCTGACCCTCCACTAGGCCTCTCTTAACACCGCCCCTGCACAGGGAGAGGGTCGCATCGTTACTTCCAGGTAGATGTGGAAGTCAAAACTCATGACTTGGCTCCCAGGATCACGTCAGGGTAAGGGGCTTATTATTGCCCCGTGGGGGTGAAAGTCCTGGCTTCCCACTTGACTTTTTTGATACGACTTTAGTCAAGGGTTTGGGGAACCTAATCACAGCCTCATGAGGGGAGAAGTTGAGACCCCTCACTCCTTCACTCAGTCTTTTCTGGTGGGGTTGGCATTTGGGCCACAGTTTTTTTTCTGTGATGTTTGGCCAGCCGCAGTGGAACAGTTATATCCTTTAACTTTCCTGTCTTGCTAGGCTACCCTTTTCATGATTCTTCAGCTAGAGGGAACAGGGTTTTATTTAGGCCTTTTTTTCCTTTTTTTTTTTTTTTTTTTTGTCTGTGCCTGATGATGTTCCTGGTTGCTGGCTTCTTCAGCACTCAGACTGGGATATATGAGGCAAAAGGAAAATTCAGGCAACTTACTATTATATCATTTTGGGGGACTCAAGGTCTTTAGTAATTCTGTCATCTTTTATTAACCTTTCAGAATCTTATTACATTTGTTTTATATATAATGTCCAGCATTTTCAGGTGTTCTCAGGGAAGAGTGAGGAAAAAGCACGTCTACTTCATCATCTGAAAAATGAAAGTTCCCCTTACATTTTAAAATACCTTAAAAATAGATACATTTTTCAAATTTTGGAGAAAATATGTGTTTAATTGAAAGAAATTCCTTGAGATATACCCAATAAATATGATATCCCAATTAAAACAAGATAATAAGACTCTGCATGTCCATTACAGATTGACATACAAATACTACTTAAACTAATCTCTAAAGAGAGCGTATTTTCCAGGTGAAGTCAAGGTTTGGCATCAACTGAAGAGAGATTTGGAAAAAATGATAATATATCAGTATTCATAGGTTTCTTTCTAATATTCTAGCATTGAAATTCCAAAAGAGAATAAGGTAAATACTGTATGGATTTAAATAAAAGATAAAAATTGTGACATAAGTAATGAAAATGTATAGATAAAAATTTTATCAATTTGCAACAATTATATTTCTTCATATTAACATCATTTCAATGAATTTCTAGCTCACTTTAAAAAGCCATTGTCTTAAAATTTTATTGACAACTCCAGTTGCTTCTGTTTTTACAGAATTGTTCTCCAAATCGAAATTTTAATGACTCAAAAAAGTTGTGTAATTTGGCATTTTTGTCAGCAGTATTCAAAGTGGTGTGGAAATACTGATTATAACAACATAATGACTGATTGTGAGACTGAAAGTAAAGATAAATTTAATAGTTTCAGTATAAATGTACAGTAAGTCATGTATGTCTTCTTTGTGTAAAGTATCACTATATTAGCCAACTAGATACATGAAATAATAGATTTAGTATTTATATTTTGATGACTTTCAGCCATAAAAATTTAATCTTTTGCACATTTAAAAACATTTTAAACATTTGCCAAGATAGAAGGATGGCAATTGGGCTCATATTATTTAACAGATGTTTATGTTGACAATAGCTTAAATATTTAGACATATGGAATTAGGCCTCCATATTTATATTCTTCCTCCAGACCCACAAATGTTAGAGATGGGCCTGGTCCCAGCAACAGCTGTAGAACTTTCTTGTGACTTGTATGGGTTTTTATCACTAACAAATAAGACCAGCCTTTTGGTTACTAGTATGCATTCTGGGTACGCAGGTTATATGTGGAGAGTAAATTCTGACCCCCATTGCCATGCAAGCCAAAGCTGTACAACTGAGCTTTTGTGCATTATGTTGCTTAGATGCCTACACTCCCTTGAAGACTAAAGTCCTAGCCTAAATTACATATAAAGGGTGGAGTTCTGCCATCTTATTTCCCATAATCCTCTACTTGCCTCAATAGCTCGAAGTCAGATTTCCTGGTATGAAAGAACAACCCACCCAAATTCCAAGAATTGTCTACTGTCTAGATATCCTGGTCAGAGATTTGGAGCCTGTCCTCTAAGGCAGAAGTCCTAGTCCTAAAGATTCACCTCTAAGCTGAACATACAGAGCCAAGCACATTCTTTGTATTACTGTCCAATGTCCATATGAAGCCTTTTCAATCAAGTACAAATTTCTTTCTCCCCTCTACTGCCTTTATATGGAAAACCATGCCTGGCACCAAGTTAGGTTAATAATTGATCCTTTCATCAACATGTGGAGTCCGCTAGTCCCAGAACCATTGATAAAATGGCATCTCTGAATAGAACAGAAGGAAGATGAGGAATATCAGGAAATATAGCTTCATCAGTACTAGTAAGCCATTTTATGAAGGGTGTCAAAAGACAAGTGCGGTTAACAAGTCTTGATCAAGACTTGACAAAGAAATTGGCATGTCAGAAAGATAAAACTAGCACTTTCTGATGTGCCTAATTACATATGGGGAGGAACTTGGGACAAGGAGTGATACAAGCTCAGAATTAATTTCACATTAGAATTGTATCTTTCTGCTGAAATGATCACCAGGTATTTTACAAACCTGAAATTACCCAGTGGGCAGTAATTCTTCCAAAATCCTTTCTCCACAGGTCAGCAGTGAGAATTGTAGAACCAAAAATCATCTTCTCTTTCCAATCGAGAATATATGTATGTCTATATAGATACACACACATAAGAATCAAGAAAACCAATTTGGTTCCACTTACTGAGTTATGACATTTGCTTATAGTGCAAATCAGTCATCTACTCAATATATTATGCTTTGACACCTTCTAGGCACTGTTATTCTTTCACTGTCGTGTCTAACAGTTTCTATTTTTTGATCTGTATTTGTGTGTTCAGAGCTCGAACTGCTGAAGTTAATGTTGGTCTAGGTCATTTATTTACTAAACAAGCCCTGCTCATAGATTAATCAGCAGTTGCCTGAGACCATTGATGGCTCCACTCCTTTACAGATTTCAGCACTATACTGAGATTTTTTTCCTTCAGTGCCATTAGTGTCTCCATCGCAGACACTAAATCCTTTTGTAATTACTCACCTTCATAAGATTTGTCATATGACAAATCTTTACATTCAGACACAGCTTTCCCTCTTTACATTCAGACACAGCAACCTCCACCCTGCCCCCAGACGTCTCCTTTCTGCCCTAGGACTTACAATAGAACAAAAGATGTCAAAATGTTGTTTCAAATTCAAATGTTGTTTCAAATTCGAAATGTAATTTCAAATTCAAAGATTTAAGTAAATGTATATGTTATTTTAAAATCATATTGGAATTTTTTAGAAATGTGTGTGGGTTTAGGGAAGAAGCATGGAGAAAAGTGGTAAAGGAAGGGTGATGCTTCTATTTTCTGGGTACCCACATTGGACCAGCCCCCGCTATCGACTTTACTTAACATTACTATGTTAATTTTTTGAGAAAATTAGGTTAAAGGTGAGGAAACTGAGGCCCAAATTTATTTTATATCTCACTACTCCCAGTCACACTGTTAGCAAAACTATGATGGGTATGGCTACAGGAAATAAATCAAAGAAATTAAGTTCCCAGCACCCTGATAAAATATGTAATATTGGTTAAACATTATTTCACTTCTTTATGCCTTATTTTCCTCAGCTATAAAATCAAGGTAGAATAATAACATTATTTCTTTCTCAGCAGTTTTAAGTATCATACGATGCTTACCCTATTTTGTCCAGTTTCCCAAAATAATTAACAAAATATAAATATAGTAAGTAGCAAATAGACTTACATCCGAAAAATATGGTCTAGACTTACTATGTAGGATTGGCACAGGAAAGACTGTTTTTAATAACCCATAGATCTATACTTACCTCATATCTCATAGAATTGTTGAATTGAAGAAGCTTGGAGCAGAAATGTCTTTGGAAAAATATTCAGTATTATGGCATTATATCCCCTCCTGTGGGGAACGAGAATGGGTGCTTTTCTCTCACATCCAGGCCAAGGTGAGAGGCTTTGGTGGGACCACGCTAGATCTTGAGCTGTGAACACTGGAGGCTCATGACTGAAGGAGCCTAAGAGAGAGACTGTTTCTGGCTCCCTGCTCTAGTGGCGGCACAAGAAAAAAGGCTGTAGGGTCTGGCGTGGTGGCTCTCACCTGTAATCCCGGGACTTTGGGAGGCCAAGGTGGGCAGATCACTTGAGGTCAGCAGTTGGAGACCAGCCTGGACAACATGGCGAAACCCCATCTCTACTGGAAGCACAAAAATTAGCTGGGCATGGTGGTGCGTGCCTGTAACCCCAGCTACTCAGGAAGCCAAGACCTGAGAATCGCTTGAGCCTGGGAGGTGGAGGTTGCAGTGAGCTGAGATGGTGCCATTGCACTCCAGCCTGGGCGACAGAGCAAGACTCTGTCTCAAGATAATAATAATAAATTTTAAAAAAAGGAAAGAAGGAAGGGAGGGAGGGAGGGAGGGAAGAAAGAGAGAAGGAAGGAAGGAAGGAAACAAGCAAGCAAGCAAGCAAGCAAGCAAGCTAGCAACCTAGGAAGGAAGCTGTGCTGGAAACTAACCACACTCCCAGAGTTTACTGGAGAAAAGATGGAAGAGGTATGAGCCAAACACAAAAGGAAAAGGAATGCTCCTGACACCCACCTGAGGGTATTGGAAGCCTAGGGAAAAGCTCTCAAACCATGTTTTTCCTCTGCTCCCACACAACAATCAACACAGCAGACAGCAGCTACGCGCCATCTAGTTAAATTCTGACACTGTCTACCTGGAGACAGCATCAAATCCCACAGAATGAGGGCTCAGTCTTCAAAACTGTCCCCAGTCCATTGTAAATCTGGGCCTCCTTACCTTCTGACTGACCAGCTTCAAATTGGGGTTCCCATGACCCCCTCTTTGGGTTTGGTTAATTTGCTAGTTGCCTCACAGAACTCAGGGCAACATTTACTTACCGTTACTGGTTTATTATAAAGGATATAGATGAAAAGATGCACAGGGCGATGTATGGGAAAGGGGATGCAGAGCTTCCATGCCCTCCCTGGGTGTGCCACTCTCCAGGAACTTCCAGGTATTCAGCTGTCCACAAGTTCATCCAAACCCGGTCCTCTTGGGTTTTTATGGAGGCTTCATTACATAGGCATGATTGACAACCCTGTAGAAGTGTGATTGGACAAAATGAGCATGATTTAAACTCAGCAAGGTCTGTCCAGACTTTTGTTGGCCTCTTTGTATAGCATTTCGTCTTCTAGGGTAGGGGCCAAGAACCTATATGGAATGAAAGTCTTTGGTCTCATAATCAGATTATGCCCTGCCTTGGGCAGGTGAAAGAAGGACAAGAGAAGTTCAGAGCAGGAGATTCTGCACCTGAGGCCTAAAGCACCCCAACTAATTATAACGAAAGACTGAAACAAGGGCTATGGGAGTCATGAGCCAGGAACTGTGGACAAAAACCTGTGCGTGTGTGTGTGTAATGAGTATATGTATAGATAAAATCATAATATCACCTTGCTCAAAAAAGAGTGGCTGGTGTAAATCTAAAAGAAACCTGAGAAGTCCAACTCCTGATTAGAAACCTATGCGTGATTTTTCAGGCCTGACCATAGGGAATTACAAAGGCTTTATTTGGTTGGCCTCAGCGGGAAGTTGCCCTCCCTACATAAGACTTGGTGTACGCTAATTCACAATAGATGGCAGTCTCTGAAGGGGGCTGTGCTCAAGGACTCAGACCTCCCTATGCACCATGCTGTTTTCACTATTTGTGTTCCTAGCCCAGGTGCCTTCATAGCTGGATCTGGTCCTCAGGTGCTTTTGCAAAGGCCTCCTTGTGGGCAGAAGGAGCAGAGAACCCTGAAGACACTCTTGCCCACTCTGAGTCAATATTCAGTACTTATCCACACTAGCCCTTTCCTCTTTTCTCCCCTCTGGCCCAGGGGCTTAGATCTTTAAATGAAATGGGATACCCTAGCCAATTAAAGAGGTGATTGGGATAAACCAAATCCACAAATACAGCTTGAGGAAGACTTTTCAAAAGGTGAATATGAAATTCTTAGCCCTTGCAATCGTACATTATAATGGTGACTTCTGTATTTCCCCCCTTACATATTCATAGAAGTTCAGTTAATAGCAGCTATTGTTTTAAAAAAAAGCAATAATCATGTGAATAATAATCCTTAGTTTAAAAATATGAACATCATTTGCTGTTTTATAAATTAAAAATTGTGAAAAGTCAGCAATTTCACTTGTTTAACCTAATACAAGTCCTTGACCATCAGTGAAATGATAAAAACATATTCCATAGGAGTGTAAGAAAGGAGCAGCTCACCAATCTAAGTGGAGGAGAATAAGCAAAGAATATTTTGAGGTTGTAACAGAATGGACTTTTAAAAGATGTTTAAATAATTAGTAGAAGTTAGCTAGGGATGAACAGAAGAGGGGCATTCCAGGCAGAGGAACAGTATATGTAAAGACTATACTACAAAAAAGCTAAGCAGCAGTTAGGGACCAGAATTCATTGGCTAAGTCACATTTGAACATGTGAACTAGAGAAGTGGAGACAAGATCTTAAGCTAAGGATTTTACCCTGAAGCTCACTGATCAAGAAAGGGGCCAGAGAGCATTTGCCTGTCAACCAACGAATAGATAAAGAAAATGTGGTATATATATACACCATGGAATACTACTCAGCCATAAAAAGGAATGAAATAATGCATTCACAGCAACCTGGATGGAGTTGGAGACCATTATTCCAAGTAAAGTAACTCAGGAATGGAAAACCAAAGACAGTATGTTCTCACTTACAAGCAGGAACTAAGCTATGAGGACACAAAGGCATAAGAATTATATAATGGACTTTGGGGACTCAGCATGGAAAAAAGACTACAAATTGGGTACAGTGTACACTGCTCATGTGATAGGTACACCAAAATCTCAGAAATCACCACTAAAGACCTTTTCCATGCAACCAAACACCACATCCCCCAAAACTATTGAAAGAAAAACAAAAATTTAAAAATTTAAAAAGGGGAATAAACAGTGTTCTGGGCCAGGCATGGTTGTCTCACACATGTACTTCCAGTACTGTGGGAGGCTGAGACAAGAGAAATCACTTGAGTCCAAGAGTTGGAGGCCAGCTAGAGCAACATAATGAGACCCCATCTCTACCAAAAAATAATAAATTAGCCAGGTGTTGGTGGCACATGCCTGTAGTCCCAGCTACTTGGAAGGTTTAGGTAGGAGGATTGCTTGAGTCCAGGAGGTTGAGGCTGCAGTGAGCCATGATTGTACCACTGCACTCTAGCCTGGTTGACAGAGTGAGGCCCTGTCTCAAAAATAGGCTAGGCACAGTGGCTCACACCTGTAATCCCAGCACTTTGAGAGGCAAGATGGGCGGATCACCTGAGGTCAGGAGTTCAAGACCAGCCTGGCCAACATGGTAAAACCTCATCTCTACTAAATATACAAAAAATTAGCCGGGTATGGAGGTGCATGACTGTAATCCCAGCTATGCAGGAGACTGAGGCAGGAGAATCACTTGAGCTCAGGAGGCAGAGGTTGCAGTGAGCCGAGACTGTGACACTGCACTCCAGCCTGGGCGACGGAGTGAGACTCCATCTCAAAAAATAAATAAATAAATAAAAATAAAAATAAAAATAAATGTTTGGGAAACAGGGAAAAGAGCCTAGACAGGGATAAAATAGGAGCCAGTGAGAACAATGAGGAGATTACTGCAATAATCTAGACTTTGTAATCCTACTTTCTCATTCTATATGTATGGAAATTGAAGCATAAAGCATCTTGTATTTCTACAATCCAGTTACATAATTCTCTAGTCTAAAATTACCACTTATGCTGTGGTCAGAGAAGTGGCAATTCATACCATTGCTTAAGTTTTCTTTGGTCAACAATTTCCTTTGTGCTATAAAATTGACTTAAACCATGATGGAGAGATGATAGAGAAAGACTTTCAGCTAGTCAATCCTCAAGATTGGAAATTGTGCCGGTAGCTTGGAGGGAACTTCTGAAATCTCCTAATGTGTTAGAAGGAAAGCCATTCTGACTTGTGTGAGGTGGCATCTAATGGTGGTTTTGATTTGCATTTCTCTAATGATCAGTGATATTGAGCTTTCTTTCATATGCTTGTTGGCATCATGTATGTCTTCTTTTGAAAAGTGTCTGTTCATGTCCTTTGCCTACTTTTCAATGGGGTTGTTTTTCTCTTTTAAATTTGTTTAAGTTCCTTATAGATGCTGGATATTAGACCTTTGTCAGATGCATAGTTTGCAAATATTTCCTCCCACTCTGTAGGTTGAACACAAATAAGGGAACAACAGACGCTGGGGTCTACTTGAGGGTGGCAGGTGGGAGAAGGGAGAGGAGCAGAAAAGATAACTATTGGGTACTGGGTTGAATACCTGGCTGATGAAATAATCTGTGCCACAAACCCCTATGACACATGTTTACCTATGTAACAAACTTTCTCATGTACCCCCAAACCTAAAATAAAAGATTAAAAAGAAAATAGGGAAGGCATTAGGTAAATTGAAGAAAGCTGCAGAAGTTGCCTCAAGTGTGACAGCCATAGCCTTCCCACTGGCAAAATCCAGTGGCTGCAGCATGATGTTTATAAGACCACAATAATGTCTCAGAGTAGACAGATAGGGGATACGTGTCTACATACACATCAGTCACACCTGGACATTTACCCCAAGGCCAGTGATTTGACAGGCTAGCCAGGGGATAATATGGTAGCTAAGACTTCCATACCTGGAGAAAAGAAAAGAAAAGTTAAAAGGAAGTCCTGTTCAAGGCATCCCAAGGGACAATAGTAACATGAAATAAAAATTCAGTCATTTCAAAGACTTCACAATTTCAATCAGCAAATAATTCAAGGCTTCTTTGTCAGAAACAGCAAACAATACAAGCATCAAATATAACAGATGATTAATCAAAATGCAGGCAGTATAGCATTAGGAAAACAAACATCAGCCCTATAATTAGAGGTCAAAATCCCAAATTCTGGCTTGTTAAAAAGTTACTAGGTAGACACTAAGTGATTTCTAACAGGTATCAATAGGTGCCCAGGAGAGCATTCTCTTTAAAATACAGGGAGAGTAAATGTATTCTTGACTTCATCCTAGGCAACTTGTTATTGTGTAAGTGTAACCCCAAGCAGCAATTTGTGAACCAAACCTATTATTCAGTGTGATTCAAGTGCTATGGTAGATGCATCCCTAGCTTTTAATCTGTATGTTTCACTCACAAGAAAGTAGTATGATTTGATTTTTCAATTCTAAACTCCTATGGGTTTTTCTATTAGCAGGGAAACTCTATTTTATGCCATTGCCCTCAGTAATTTCTCACTAAAATACAGACCACAAATATTTCAAACAAGTTGCAATTGATGGATCACACTCTAGCAGTTTCCTT
The DNA here is from genome assembly GCF_000001405.40 of Homo sapiens. Lineage (NCBI taxonomy): Eukaryota > Metazoa > Chordata > Mammalia > Primates > Hominidae > Homo > Homo sapiens. Next base: position 83,812,269 of record NC_000002.12, read on the forward strand.
AAAACTTGACCTAGTATATGACTTTTTTTTGCTATTATTAAAATTTAGTATAACAGTTTGAAAATTTCTCAATGAAAATTAGGTAATGGTTTAATAATTACTATTGAGGGTTTCTTCTCCAAGTGATCTTGAGTTGCAAGAAATCATTCAGTTATTTTGACAGTTTGAATCTGCTTCTAAAATGACCAGGATAACATGAAAGTGGCTAATACTTTTTTATATTTTAGTGGCAAAATCAGCATAGCCTACAGCTGTCATATAAGTTTTCTGGCTTACAGATGTCAAAAACACATAAATAAACTTGAGACAATGAGACGTTGACCTAAGATCTTGATTCTAGTCCTGGCTCCGCTGTTAACCAGCTGTGAAACCTTTAGCAATTTATTCAGCCTCTCTGGGTTTCTCCTGTAAAAGATAGTTGTCAAATTAGATAAAAGTCCTTTAAGGAGAACAACCACTATCTTTGATTCTACCTGTGAGTACTGATAACTTGAAGGGTTTCTAGGTTCTTCCCACCCTGACATTTTTTAAGGGTTTATATAAATCATTCCAACCAAATCAACTTGGATTCATGCAGTAGTTAGGACTGAGTTGTATTAATTATACCTTATGGCTATTCAATTTTAATTATTTCTGGGAACCCACTCTATAGACCTCTGACCTACAAGTCATCATTATTAGAGCCAATACAAATGTAAATTATGGAACACTGTGATAACTGTGTGTATATCATTGAGACAGGCCAAAATGGGTTGAATAAGGGACCTCAAATGCAAGAAAATTCAACAAAAGATGTTTCCTATATATACATACAGGTCTGACTAGACTTACAGGATCTAAAAATATGCAGACTTTTCTATGAAGATGGCTCCCAGAGTAGTATTCTTTAGATACTTGAGGTGCTAAACCTGGACCCCTGATGACAAGATACTTGTTTCTCTCCCATTCTACCTCCATCTCTCTGGAACTCCTCACCAATCCTTGAACTGATTCTCCATATTAGAAGTCCACAAACGTGAGGTTCTTAAATTCTTGGTAGATGTGAATGTTTCTCTAAAATCTGAGAAATATTGGTGTCATCATGAGATTAAATAAGATGAGAAAGGCAGAATATCCTTGAAGAAGAAATGGTAATTCCATGAGATGATGAAGATAGTAAGAACTGTGGACCTCCTTCCTCCTGCCATCCCTTCTCACAGGTAAATGATTACCCTTTAATTGTGATTGAGTGCCACATAAATTAGCATATTATTGAGTGTAAATTACAAAATAAAAAGTTTAGAAAGAACTAAATGCCATCAATTGGAAAATAGCTTAAAGAAATAGTGCAGCCATTCAATGAAATGTTATGCTGATGTCAGAAACAATTAAGAATAAAAGTATTGATAAAGAAATATGTTCAATATTTATTGTTAAATAAAAAGAAAAAAGGAGGTTGCCGAACAACGTATATAAAACACTCCAATTTGTCTTATCAAGGAAGAGAAGCAGAATATTTCTGGAAAGAAAGATGATGTTTTTAAGTCTTATCTGGGGAGAGGGACATTGAGAGCACAAGGGTATGGCAAAGGAGACTATTAGTTTTTATCTAGTTCATTTCTGTGCAGTTGAAGTTTACCATAAGCACAAATTACTTTCCTAATTAAAGCTATTTAAAACTAAGCATGGATCATTTGTTATGTTCAGGAAATGCTAAAATGATTTTTATGATCCCAGTAACATTATGTTGAAACATTTCAGAAATAAGCATAAACAGTACAATATTAAACACATGAGGGTTCTCCTCCAACTTAAAGAAATCAATTATTTTCTCTTGATTTAAAGAAGAATCTTTACTAATATAGGTAAAGACTCCTGAGTATCCCTCCCTTACTGCATTATCACATCCACCTCCCAGATGTAACCAATAATCTGAATTTAATGTTCATCATTTTATATTATTATTCTATACACAGGTGTCTGACATGACATATAGTATCACTTTACTTATTTTAAGACTTTACATAAAAGGCATGATATAGTTCATATATTCTTTAATTTGCATTGTGAATGTAGTGAAGTTCTGATATGCCTCTTAGCTCCCCCTTCAAGACTGAAGGACTTTCTGCCCAGCTTCTGGGAGTACTGGGACTAATGTCATTCAACTGTCATTCCCCTCTGGAAATTGCCCTTTGCTAAAAAGAGCTCCATTCTGTGAGGTCATACTCTTTCCCAGGGCAGCCTGCTCAATGGGTGTCTTGACCCTCCTCAACCTAATCTAGTAAGCTTTGAAAGGCCATGCCAGCTTCAGAACTATCTATGGAAAATCAGATGAGAGGTGTTTTTGAGAACAAATAACGCACAACCTGAGTCTAACTATGAGAAAATGTCATAACCCCAACATAATGGGATAAGTGGGATCCAAAACTTCAATAATGTAAAATAAAGGTTACATTATTTAAAAATGAAGTAAAAGCAGTATTCTTCAGTCTGTGATGTCCTAAGTATGAAATTTAAAATAATAAAACTCTAAAAAAGTGATCATAAACTTCACTGAGAAAAATCACAAATGGTTCATCATTATTTTAGAGATTGCATAATTCTATTTGTATTTCCCCATGGCCCAAGGGTTGTTCCCAAATTGATGAACAGTCTGCAAACTAATTGACTTGTATTCTTCAGAAATATTAATGTCATAAAAGACAAAGAAAATCGAATGAAGTAGTCCAGATTAAAGGAAACTAAAGGGACATGACAACCAAATGCACACCTAATAAGACATTTCTCTAGCACTATAAGTAAATTATCGGGATAATTTATAACTGGTAGGTTTTTCATGGTGCTTACTATAAAGCAAGCACTGTTCTAAGTGCTTTATATTATTAACACATTTAACCCTCACAGGAGCCTTATGAATTAGGTATGATTATTATCCTAATTTTGCAGATGAGGAAACTGAGGCATGGGGGAGCTATGTAATCTGCTTAGATAACACAAAGCTGGCAATGAGGAAATTGCTTCTGGCATCACTTTTCTTAAGAACAGCTTTTACTGCTTATGTTAATGAAATTATTACTTCTTACTCTTGGGTTTGGCAAATTAAAAAAAAATTACCACCAAATGCTGGTGAAATTGCAGTAAAATGGGAAGTCTCATTGTTTACTGGTCAAATTAATATTTATATGACACCAATTCAGAAAGCAATTTAGCAATATGTAGTAAATTTTGGAATACAAATAACCTAAAACAACAATTAAAACGCATAGCATAAACAAAAGAAGAGCTGCATAAAAAAATGTTAACAGTGTCTGGGCATGGTGGCTCATGCCTGTAATCCCAGAGCTTTGGGAGGCAGAGGCGGGTGGATCACCTGAGGTCAGGAGTTCGAGACCAGCCTGGCCCACATGATGAAACCCCGTCTCTACTAAAAATACAAAAATTAGCAGGGCGTGGTGGCAGGTGCCTGTAATCCCAGCTACTCAGGAGGCTAAGGCAGGAGAATCACTTGAACCTGGGAGGCGGAGGTTGCAGTGAGCTGAGATCGTGTGATTGCACTCCGGCCTGGGCGACAAGAGCAAAACTCCATCTCCCCACGCCAAAAAAAAAAAAGTTAACATATTTGTCAGAAGCACCCTAAAGCACCACTAGCAGAGGAATAAATAAGTTGTTAGCTAATCATATAATAATGTATAGTAAAACCCCAACATAATGGGATAAGTGGGATCCAAAACTTCAATCCTGTAAAATAAAGGTTACATTATTTAAAAATGAAGTAAAAGCAGTATTCTTCAGTCTGTGATGTCCTTCTAAGTATGAAATTTAAAATAATAAAACTCTAAAAAAGTGATCATAAACTTCACTGAGAAAAATCACAAATGGTTCACCATTATTTTAGAGATTGCATAATTCTATTCGTATTTCCCCATGGCCCAAGAGTTGTTTGATAGGGCTTTTGTAAATTTCCAGGTGGAAGAGTCTTTTTAATTATTAAGTTTTATATTAATTTCTAGTTTTATTACATTGTAGGTTAAAATATTGTTTATAATATTTCTACTTTTAATTTTTAATTTGTGTGGGTGCATAGAAGATGTATATATTTTGGGGTATATAAAATGTTTTGATACAGGCATGTAATGTGTAATAATCACATCATGAATCCTGGGGTATCCATCCTCGAAAGCATTTATCCTTTGTGTTGCAAACAATCCAATTATACTAATTTAGTTATTTTTAAATGTACAATTAAATTATAATTGACTACAGTCACCCTGTTGTGCTATCAAATAGCAGGTCTTATTTATTCTTTCTAATTATTTTTTTTTAATGCATTAACCATCCCTACCTCCTCTCACACCAACCCATCCCCACCCCTCACTACCCTTCCCAGCCTATGTTTAGCATCCTTTTACTCTTTATGTCCATAAGTTCAATTGTTTTGTTTTTTTGGATCCCACAAATAAATGAGAACATGCAATGTTTGTCTTTCTTTGCCTGCCTTATTTCACTTAACAAAATGATCTCCAGTTCTATCCATGTTGTCGCAAATGACAGAATCTCATTCTTTTTATGTCTGAATAGTACTCCATTGTGTGTATGTATCATATTTTCTTTAATATTTCTACTTTATTGAACCTACCAATAATTTCTTTTGGATCTAATATATGATAAATTTTTGTGCATGTCCTAGGCATGCTTGAAAAAGTTGCATTCTCTATTATCTGTGTATAAAATTTGATACATAAGTTTGTATATGATGACAAATGCCTTATTCATTACGTTTTTCTCCTATATTTTCTTTCTTTTTTTTTTTTTTTTTTTTACTTTTATTCTAAGTTCTGAGGTACATGTGCAGGTTTCTTATACTGGTAAACTTGTGTCATGGAGGTTTGTCATACACATTATTTCGTCACCTAGGTATTAAGCCCAGTATCCATTAGTAAGTTTTTCTGATCCTCTCCCTTTTCCCACTCTTCAACCTCTGGAAAACCCCAGTGTCTGCTGTTCCACTCTGTGTGTCCATGCGTTCTCATCATTTAGCTCCCACTTATAAGTAAGAACATGCAGTATTTGGTTTTCTGTTCCTGCATTGGTTTACTAAGGATAATGGCCTGCAGCTCCACCAATATTCCTACAAAGAATATAATTTTGTTCTTTCTTATGGCTGCATAGTATTCCATGGTGTGTGTGTGTGTGTGTGTATATATATATATATATATATATACCACATTTCCTTTATACAGTCTACCATTGATGGACATTTAGGTTGATTCCATGTCTTTACTATCATGAATAGTGCTGCAGTGAACATATGTGTGCATGTGTCTTTATGATAGAAAGATTTATATTCCTTTGAATATATACCCAGTAATAGGATTGCTGGGTCAAATGGTAGTTCCGTTTTTAGGTCTTTGAGGAACTGTCAAACTGTTTTCCACAGTGGTTGAACTAATTTATACTGCCACCTACTGTATATAAGCGTTCCTTTTTCTCCACAACCTGGCCAGTATCTGTATTTTTGCTTTGTTTTGTTTTGTTTTTGACTTTTTAATAATAGCCATTCTGACTGGTGTGAGATAGTATCTCATTGTGGTTTTGATTTGCATTTCTCTAGTGATTAGAGATATTGAGCTTTTTTTATATGCTTGTTGGCTGCACGTATGTCTTCTTGTGAACATCCCACTTGTAAGTGGGGTTGTTTTCTTCTTGTAAAAAAAACAAATGATTTTCCATTTGTTTGTGTCATCTCTGATTTTGTTTAGCAGTTGTTTTATAGTTCTCTTTGTAGAGATCTTTCATCTCCCTGGTTAGCTGCATTTCTAGGTATTTTATGCTTTTTGTGGCAATTGTGAATGGGATTGAATTCCTGACTTGGCTCTCTGCTTGGCTGTTGTTGACTTTATAGGAATGCTAGTGATTTTTGTATGTTGATTTTGTATCCTGAATCTTTACTAAAGTTGCTTATCAGCTTAAGGAGCTTTTGGGCCAAGACTATGGGCTTTTCTAGATATAGAATTGGGTTGTGTGCAAAGAGAAATAGTTTGACTTTCTTTCTTTCTCCTTGGAGGCCCTTTGTTTGTTTCTCCTGCCTGACTGTCCTGGCCAGGACTTCCAATACTATGTTGAATAGGAGTGGTGAGAGAGGGCATCCTTGTCTTGCACCAGTTTTCAAGGTGGTATGCTTCCAGATTTTGCCCATTCAGTATGATGTTGGTTGTGGGTCTGTCATATATAGCTCTTATTAATTTGAGGTGTGCTCCTTCAATACCTAGTTTCTTGAGAGTTTTTATCATGAATAGATGTCAAATTGTATCAAAAGCCTTTTCTACATATATTAAGATAATCACATGGTTTTTGTCTTTAGTTCTGCTTATGTGATGAATCACATTTATTGATTTGTGTATGTTGGGCAAACTTTGCATCCTGGGGTTAAAGCCTACTTGATCATGATGGATAACCTTTTTGATGTGCTGCTGAATTCTGTTTGCCAATATTTTCTTGAGGATTTTTGCATTGATGTTCATTGAGGATATTGGCCTGAAGTTGTGTCTCTGCCAGGTTTTGGTATCAGGATGATGCTTGCCTCATAGAATGAGTTAAGGATTCGTTTTTCCTTTTCAATTTTTAAAAATAGTTTCAGTAGAAATGGTACCAGGTCTTCTTTGTATATCTTGTAGAATTCGGCTGTGAATCCATCTGGTCCTGGACTTTTTTCAGTTGGTAGGCTATATATTACTGATTCAATTTCAGAGCTCATTATTGTTCTGTTCAGGGATTCAATTTCTTCCCGGCTCAGTCTTTGGAGGTTGTATGTAACAAGGAGTTTATCCATTTCTTCTGGATTTTCTAGTTTATATGCATAGAAATGTTCATACTATTCTCTGATGGTTATTTGTATTTCTGTGGGGTCAGTGGTAATATCCCCTTTATTGTTTTTAATTGTGTTTATTTGGATCTTTTCTTTATTTGTGTAGCTAGCTGTGATGGTTAATACTGAGTGTCAACTTGATTGGACTGAAGGATGCAAAGTATTGATCCTGGGTGTGTCTGTGAGGGTGTTGCCAAAGGAGATTAACATTTGAGTCAGTGGGCTGGGGAAGGCAGACCCACCCTTAATCTGGTGGGCACAATCTAATCGGCTGCCAGCAAACGTAAAGCAGGCAGAAAAACGTGATGAGAGACTGGCCTAGACTCTCAGCCTACATATTTCTCCCGTGCTGGATGCTTTCTGCCCTCGAACATTGGACTTCAAGTTCTTCAGTTTTGAGACTCGGACTGGCTCTCCTTGCTCCTCAAGCTTGCAGACAGCCTATTGTGGGACCTTGTGACCATGTAAGTTAATACTTAATAAACTCTTCTTTATATATAAATGTATAATATATATTAGTTCTGTCCCTCTAGGGAACTCTGACTAATACACCAGCAGTCCATCTATTTTATTATCAATTCTCATAGTTAACAAATTCCTTCAAAAATTTGTTGAAGTAAAACACAACAGATAAAAATGCTTTTATAGTCCCTTCGGATATCAATACTCTTTTTCTCCCTAGAAGTAACCACTATTATAAAAGTGATATGTTTCTTTGCAGTAAATATTGCATAGTGTATTACATTTGTATGTATCTATAAATAATATTTATTGTTATTTTATTAATTTCTTCAAAAAAACAACTCCTGAATTCATGGATCTTTTGAATGATTTTTTTGTGTCTCAATCTCCTTCAGTTCAGCTCTGATTTTGGTTGTTTCATGTCATCTGCTACCTATAGGGTTGGTTTTCTCTTGCTTCTCTAGTTCTTTTAGTTGTGATATTAAATTGAGGTATTTCTAAACTTTTGATGAGGGCATTTAGTGCTATAAATTTCCCTCTTAACACTGCCTTAATGGTGTCCCAAAGATTCTGGTTTCTTTTATCTTGCTTCTCATTAGTTTCAAAGAACTGCTAGATTTTTGCCTTAATTTCTTTTTTTTTTTTTTTTTTTTTTTTTGAGACAGAGTCTCCCTCTTCCGCCCAGGCTGGAGTGCAATGGGGCGACCTCTGCTCACTGCAACTTCTGCCTCCCAGGTTCTAGCGATTCTCCTGCCTCAGCCTCTCGAGTAGCTGGGACTATAGGTGTGTGCCAACACTCCTGGCTAATTTTTGTATTTTTTAGTAGAGATGGGTTTTCGCCATGTTGGCCAGGCTGGTGTCTAACTCCTGACCTCAGGCGATCCACCCACCTTGGCCTCCCCAAGTGCTGGGATTACAGGCATGAGCCACCATGTCTGGGCTTAATTTCATTATTTATCCAAAAGTTATTCAGAAGCATGTTATTCAATGTTCATGTAATTTTATGGTTTAGAGTGAATTTTTTTTTTAGTCTTGAATTCTAATTTGATTGTGCTGTGGTCTGAGAGAGTAGTTGTTATAGTTTCAGCACTTTTCTATTTGCTGAGAAATGTTTTATGTCCAATTATGTGATCGATTTTAGAGTATGTGACATGTGGCAATGTGAAGAATGTATATGCTGTTGTTTTCTGTGGAGAGTTCTGTAGATGTCTATCAGGTCTATTTGATCCAGTGCTGAGTTCCTGTCCTGAATATCCTTGTTATTTTTATGCCTTGATAACCTCTCTAATACTGTCAGTGTGGTGTTGAAGTCTCCCAATATTATTATTTGGGAATCTAAGTCTCTTTGAGAGTCTCTAAGAATTTGCTTTATGAATATGGGTGCTCCTGTGTTGGGTGCATATATATTGAGGATAGTTAGGTCACCTTGTTGAATTGAAACCTTTATCATTATGTAATGCCCTTCTTTTTCTTTTTTGACCTTTGTAGGTTTAAAGTCTGTCTTGTGAGAAATTAGGATTGCCACCCTTGCTTTTTTCTGTTTTCTATTTGCTTGGTAGATCTTTCTCCATTGCTTTATGTTTAGCCTATGGGTGTCATTGCATGTGAGATGCGTCTCCTGAAGACAGTACAATAATGGGTCCTGGTTCTTTATCCAGCTTGCCATTTGTGCCTTTTAATTGGGGCATTTAGCCACTTTATATTCAAAGTTAGTATTGATGTATGTGGCTTTGATCCTGTCATCAAGATGTTAGCTGGTTATCATACAGACTTGTTTGTGTGGTTGCTTTATTGTGTCACTTATCTGTGTACTTAAGTGTGTTTTTGTAGTGACTGGTAATGGTTTTCCCTTTTCATATTTAGAGCTTACTTCAGGAGTTCCTGTAAAGCAGGTCTAGTGGCAATAAATTCCCTCACCATTTCCTTGTCTGAAAAGCATCTTATCTCTCCTTCACTTATAAAGCTAAGTTTGGGCAAATATGAAATTCTGGTATGGAATTTCTTTTTTTTAAAGAATGTTGAGTCTGGGCGTGGTGGCTCATGCCTATAATCCCAGCACTTTGGGAGTCCAAGGCAGGCAGATCAGGAGTTGGAGACTAGCCTGGCCACAACATGTTGAAACCCCATCTCTACTAAAAATACAAAATTTAGCCGGGCATGGTGGCATGTGCCTGTAGTCCCAGCTACTCAGGTGGCTGAGGCAGAAGAATCACTTGAACCCAGGAGTGGAAGTTGCAGTGAGCCAAGATCCACCACTGTACTCCAGCCTGGGTGACAGAGCAAGCCTCTGTCTAAAAAATAAAAATAAAAAATAATAATTTGAATATTGGCCCCTAATCTCCTCTGGCTCATAGGATTTCTACTCAGAGGTCTGCTCTTATGTTGGTCTAATGGGCATCGCTTTGTAGGTGACCTGACCTTTCTGTCTAGCTGCCTTTAACATTTTTTCTTTTATTTCAACCTTGGAGAATCTGATGATTATGTGTCTTGGTAATGATCTTGTAAAGTATCTTACTGAGGTTCTCTGCATTTCCTGAATTTTAATGCTGGCCTCTCTACCTAGGTTGGGTAAGTTCTCATGGATGATATCCTGAAATATGTTTTCCAAGTTGCTTACACTCTCCCATCTCTTTCAGAGACACCAATGAGTCATAGATTTGGTCTCTTTACATAATCCCATATTTCTCAGAGGTTCTGTTTGTTCCTTTTTGTTCCTTTATCTCTCCTCTTGTCTGATTCTCTTATTTCACAGGGCCAGTCTTCAAGCACCAAGATTCTTTCCACTGCTTGGTCTATTCTGCTATTAATACTTGTGATTGCATTATGAAATTCTTGTACCATGCTTTTCGGCTCTATCAGGTCTGTTACATTCTTTTCTATCTGGCTACTTTGTCTGCCATCTACTGCAATTGTTTTATTGTGATTCTTAGCTTCCTTGGATTGGGTTTCAGCATACTCCTGCACCTCAATTATCTTCATTCCTGTCTATATTCTGAATTCTATTTCTGTCATTTCAGCCATCTCAGCCTGATTCAGATCCCTTGCTGGAGATGTGGTGTGGTCATTTGGAGGAAAGAAGGCACTCTGGCTTTTTGAGTTGTCAAGGTTCTTGTGTTGGTTCTTTCTCTTCTTGTGTGGGCTGATGCTTCTTCAATTTTTGAAGTTGCTGATCTTTGGATGGATTTTTTTTCTTTTATCAAATTTGATGCCCTTGAGGCTTTGATCATGATATAAGATGGATTCAGCTGACTGTTTTTATTTCTGGAAGATTTTAAGGGGCCAAAATTCAGCTTCCAACTCCTGGGCTGTGTACTTTAACTCTAGGAAACTTGTATCAGGACTTGACTTTGTTTTCTGGCTCCTCAAAGGTAGGAATCCATTGCACTGGGGAAGCCAAGGTGATCCTGGATTACTGGTCACTACACTCTGATGGGTGGTGTCAGCCAAAGCATTTCACAGTGCAGTGACAGCGGGTTCCATCCTCATTCACATGTACCAAAAGCAGCTACAGCAACAGTGTGGTGAGGTATATGCTCATCGGTGGGGGTAGGGTGCTAGCGAGTGTCAGGGTGCCTGCCTCTATGCAGGCATTCAGCACAGTGGTGGAGGCAATGCGATTTGGTGGGGAAAGAGGCCTCTGCTGGCAACTATGCACATGGTCACATTGGTGGTGGTGGTGACACAGGGGCAGGGCACTGGTCGGCACATGTCTGTTTGCACTCTCTGTGCCACAAGCAGTGGTGCTCAGGGTGGGAGAGTGTCTGCTGTTTTCTCTTCCTAGTTTCACTTACACAGCAGTGTTGGCACAAAGGCAGTGCACTGCCAGGGGCAGGGTTGGCTGGCTCTGTGCCTGCCAAGGCTTTTGACTGCAATGGCAGTTGGCAGGAGAAGTGGGGACAGACTGCACTCTATCCATAGTAGTGGCAGGGCAGGGTGCATGCACACATGCATGCTGGCAGGGCAAAGAAGGCAAAACTGCCCTTGCACATATGTGCCTCGGCAAAGCAATGTGAGGTTTGCTATGGGTGTGGGGGAAGCTGCAATGTGAGGAGGGAAGGGGTGGGCTGGTGCATGGCCATGGGGGCCACCCCACTGGAGCTCCCCACCAGTCAGGCATAGTCCACCAGTGCAGCAGCTATGATGTGGGCTTCCAGGGCCAGTCTGGGGCCCCTTGAGAGGCCAGCAGACCAAGAGGTGCTCAGGTTGGACCAGTTTCATCTGATGGGCAAGACCACCCTGCAGAGTTCAGGTCCTACAGTTCCCCTAGGGCTAAAAAGTCTCCTATGGGAGAAAGTAGAGACCAGGGGGATGGTCATCCCTGGCCATGCTCTGCTATAGATGCTCCTGCACCAAACCATCTAGGCTTCACATCAGCTGGCTTGCTGCCTCTACCACTTTTCTAAGCAGCTCTCTGTGAATTTGAGTGCTCATGGTAGTGGAGGAGTCTCCTCCTGCTGGGATTCCAGAGGCCCTTGGTGAGAGTGGGTTGCTCTTTGCCAGTTCAACTCACCCATTCCCCTAGAGTCACTGGGGACTAGGAATGAGTGCCAGTGCACAGTATGCCAGTGCAGGGTTCCTAGCTTCCTCCCACTTCAGCCCAGCTTCTGTGTCTTCCCTCCATCCACTCTCAGTGCCTTCCTTCTGAAGATCTATTAGGAGTGCACCAGATGTCTCAGTCCCTTGGTGAAAGCTGTTCCACCTGGCTGTCTAGTCAGCCATCTTGTCCTTTCCCCTTATGCTTCTTAAGTTTTCTATATACTTACTTAAAATTGTCCACATGTTCTGTGTTGTACTAAAAGGAGTATGTTAGATTCTAATGTGTTTCTATCCATGTCTTTTTACAATGCCTGTAGCTTTTGCTTTATATAGGAGTAACTATGTTATTTGGTGCATATATACCTATAGCAGTGTGAATTGTGTCTTTTAACATTAAAATGTTTTCTGTATATGTGAACAAGTTTCTTTTACATTATGCTACATAATTTTGTCTGCTCTGGACCAGAGCCCAGCAACCCTACAATTTCTGATCTTTATACTGCTGATCAATAAACATTTTGGTATAGAATGATATGCAATTTGATTTTGAGCTTAGTTATGTTTTATTAAATTGGTTCTTTATATAATTTCTTGAGGTGTACATAGAGCAAATAGGGATATTCAAAGTATGATATTTAATAGCATTTTGATAGAAATCTCTCATTTAATTAGCTCTTTTTCCTTTGTTTTGGACTCAATACATATTTAGTATCTTAGAGTCACAGAAAATGTATTACAATTCTATTCACCCATTTCCAACTCATCAGTAAAATTTTCCCAACAATTCTACTCAGTATTTTACTCTTTTAACTTCCATGGCATTATTGTCTGTTGCATTATTGATATGTCATTGGTGTAATATCTCATGTAAATTAATCTTATCTCTCCAATTTGTACCCCACCTTTTCAATAACAGAATCCACTTGGAGTCACCTTTCTTAGAGATTAAACCTAGAGACCCTCCCAGGAGCTAACAATCCAGTTGATTGTATTCTATAATATAGAAATGAGAAAAGTATTGTGGATTCACAGTAGGGAGAGTGAATGGAAAAGAGTTATAGGTGATGCTGGAGTTGTGCCTTGAATTTGTAAGAAATTCAGGCAGTAGGCCTGGCATGGTGGCTCACGCTTGAAATCACAGCACTTTTGGGAGACTGAGGTGGGCAGATCACGAGGTCACGAGATCAAGACCCATCCTGGCCAACATGGTGAAACGCCATCTCTACTAAAAAATACAAAAATTAGCTGGGGGTGGTGGCGCATGCCTGTAGTTACAGCTACTCAGGAGACTGAGGCAGGAGAATCACTTGAACCCAGGAGGCGGAGGTTGCAGTGAGCCAAGATTGCACCACTGCACTCCAGTCTGGCAACAGTGCATCTCGAAAGAAAGAAAGAGAGAGAAGAAAGGAAGGAAGGAAGGAAGGAAGGAAGGAAGGAAGGAAGGAAGGAAGGAAGGAAGGAAAGAGAAAGAAAGAAAAGAAATTCAGTCGGTAGTCAGATAAGGAGGCAAAGACATTCTAATGAACAAATAATTTGATCAAATGTGTAAAGATATTGAAATACATGGCTTATTCGGAAAATGATGGTGAGTCCAGGGTGAATGAAGCACAGTGGGTAAGGATGTTCAGAAGACATTGTTCTCCTCTAGAGTGGTGTCCTTTATGTCCTGGGAAGGAGTCGGAGTTCTATTCTTCTAGTACTAGAGGTAATCATTAGGGGTGTTTAAAGGGGAAAATAATATGAACATTATTAGCTTGGAGAAAATAACTGTGTCAACAGTTTGGGAAATATATATCAGGAAGTATTTCAAAGAAAAGGACGTTGGTATAAAAGCTACCCAATGTGGCTAGAGGAGACATGCTGAATAACTGAACTAAAGCAGTGGTGGTAGGAATTGGTAAAAGTGGTCAAATTTAATAGCTGTTTTGTGGGTAGAATTGCTAAAACTCAATGTCTAATTAGTTGTCACAGATAAGACAAATTAGAGGATGACTTCAGTATTTCTAGCAATAACAATTTTGTAAGTGGCCTAAGAACATAGGAGACAGAAAAAGCTCAAAAGAAAGAGCAAATTTAAAACTCACATACGTGGCAAAATGAGGAAAAAGAAGTACTCTCTCTCTTCCTGCCCCTCCCCAATCCCCACCCCTAGCAATCACTGGGCTTCAGCCTTAATGTGAAAAAGGGATGTGAAGAAAAACAATTAAATTCAAGAAAGGTCAGGGCATTATAAGCTATAGTATTGTAAGTTAAGAAAAATAAAGTTGCCTTAAGGTTGAACAGAGGCAGATTAAATTCCCAATAAGTCTTCTTTTTCACCATCACTATTAGGATTTTTCCACAAAGGCAGTTAATTCTCTAAGCCATAGCATCTAAGGAAATGAAATAACTCAGTAGGACCAGAGTCCCAGAGGGACTGTGTCTATGGGACAGAACTAGGTAATTAATAGTTTGAATAAGTGAACGGCCAGTATCCAGAAGCAGATTTCACACAGTGCTTATCTCCCCAAATGAAGATTCTGGAAGAAAATATGTTTAAGATACTCTTAAGCTATTAAATTACATTGTCATTGGAAGCCTGATGCCCTGGGCACTCCCAGAACATATGGCAGAAAAATACCATGTTGAGAATTTCATTGCCAACATCAATCGGCAGCTTTGAGAGTCACAGCTGCCATGCTGGATGGGGTCCAAGGGTATCTCGGGACTGCCTGTTCTTGTAAAACATAGATGGGAAGGTTGAGGTCCCAGGACTTTATTTTCGTCTTGCTACCAGGATCATGGATCACACCCCACAGCTGGTGCCCTATTTTCCCGGACCTTCTGCTCCATTTTCCTAGTAGAAATGACAGGCGAATATCATGACCAGGGCCATGAATCTATAAGTGGAGTGATGCATGTGGCTTTCAAAGGGAAGCTAAGTTTCTTGGTTCTGGCCTTGTTTATAAGAAAGCAATTAGAAAGAAACTTGACAATGAATGGGTTGAGTGTGGGGATCCTGATTTGCTTTAGCAAGAGTGGTACTGCATTGAATCTGATAGCTATCTTCTAGAAATTGAGAGACTAGGAGCTGCTAAGTGAAACTTGAAGAAGTCTTAACAGTAGATGAAATAAGCAGTTACCTAAAAACAGGTAACACCGTATCTGCTCCTTCTGATGAGTATTCTACATTTAACAGCAGGGTTGCCTGAATTCTAGCCATTAGATTAAGTCTTGGTTTGAAATTAAGAAGTTATTTCATTAAGTCCTCTCTTAAGATGAAAATACTCCCTGGCCGGGTGCAGTGGTTCACGCCTGTAATCCCAGCACTTTGAGAGGCCAAGGCGGGTGGATCACGAGGTCAGGAGATCAAGACCATCCTGGCTAACATGGTGAAACCCCGTCTCTACTAAAAAATACAAAAAATTAGCCAGGTGTGGTGGCAGGCACCTGTAGTGCCAGCTACTTGGGGGGCTGAGGCAGGAGAATGGCGTGAACCCGGGAGACGGAGCTGGCAGTGAGCCGAGATTGGACCACTGCACTCCAGCCTGGGCGACAGAGGGAGACTCCGTTTCAAAAAATAAGATGAAAATACTCCCTAGTCAGGAATGTTGTTTTATGACTTGTCTTTGTTTTGTTGTTGTTTGTTTGTCTGTGTTCTCATAGGGAAAACTTTTTCTGACTTTGCCCCTTTTATGACCTTAAATTCCTATGCACTAACTGCAGAGGGCAGCATATTAGCAATAACATGTAAACCAATTTAGGTATTGGAATTCATCAGCTTAGCATAACAATAAAATAACACCAACAGAATGATATATGGATCTGCATATTTTATTAGGGGGATCAGGGTGGAGAAGCAAGTTGAAGAATTCACAAACCAGGAGCCTTAGCCTGGGAAGGCACAGTGACTAAAATGGAGTTGTGGCCAGACCAGGAATACCGTGGAAATACAGAACTAGGGAACAAACACTGTCTTCATCTTCCCATAATGCCTAGGATATAGTAATTGCTCAGAGTCAATCTAATTTAACATTCAAAGGTTGACCGTTGTCTTCTAGATAAAGTGTGGCCTATATATTACACTGTTAATAACTAACATTAAAAACCTCCCACCTACTTTTGCAAATGCCAGTTTCCCTATTTGCATACACTATATAATTTTCTGAATTTATTTCCACTATTATGATTTTTGCATGAATTTGAATTTTAGACAATGAAGAAACAGTATGATTATCACTTTTGTATCCTTCCTTTAGGGAGTTACATTGTATCCAGGAAGGATTATAACTTGTTGTGCATCAGGCTGAGAATTTAACCTTAATAACATAAGACATTTTAAGAGAATACGTAGAATCTTTCTGGATTAGTTCTTTGTGTATTGGGCTTAGCTGATATATTTTTTTTAATCTCATATTTTACTTTTCCAGAGCACACAAGCAGAAATTTAAGAGCAATGAATGTGTGACTGATAAGACGAGTGAATAATTAGCAGTATTATAAACAGAGCAAAAACAAGGAAAACGAAAAAGCTCCTTCTGTATTAATACCATAGGTATGAAATGCCAGAACAATGCTTTTGAAATGAAAAGCAATTAATCTTCTTCACAAATTCTCTATAGTATTTAAGTTACTTCTAATTTGGAAAAAAACACATTAAATGTATATGAGAAAATTAATCACTCATGTGCTTTAATGTGGAAAGAATAAAGAATCTGAGAATAGCATGTAAACAAAGAAAACCTGTGGTTACTCATCAAAGTGTTTTATTTTCATTAATTTTGTCAAAATATTTTATTCATGAAATCAGTCAATGACAAAGAATTAGAAAAGTTATAAATTAAAAATGAGATCACATTTCAAGCCAAATATTTTGTATCTAGTGCAGTGTAAAGAAATGAATCCTGCTTTATATAGATTTATCTGTCCCTCCATTGTTTTGTTTTTCCTTTATTTCATGAGAATAAATGTTTCAGCCCCTCTAAAAACATAATGTAAATAGAGAGTTCATCTTCCGATTGCTTGTTATTTGGAGCATGAGTGACTGAGGTGGATTCAAATGCACCATTGTGAACCATGTGAAGAAAAGAGAGAGGACGGAGCTCTGGAGTAAGGACCATCAGAATGATGGCCAGCATGCTGATGCTGGGTCTAGCTTACTGTTTACCATGTATTTGGAGCTCAACCAATCTGAGTTAAATAAATGAATACATACATCAATGAAAATATGAGTAAAAAAACTCAATTTTGGAAATGCTACAGGTGATGTGACTTCCAAAGTTCATTCTCAGTGTTTTTCAATGTTTCATCTATGAGATTCTAAGGAGTCAAAGATTTGGACTTCTATATGTCACAGGTATTACAAAACTACAGGGAAAACATAATATTTCTGTAATCCTTGTCCTGAAGAGCCAAAATTAAGATTTGATGTAACTTAGAAGAATTTTGTCATTAGCGCCAATCATCATGTCATAGATTTAATGTTATGATTTATGAAATAAAGATTCACAGTTCAAGCTTTCAGTTGCCACAGATCACATTCACCAAATAATACCCACCTATTATATTTTTCTTGAGACAAACAGATTTTTATTTTGTTCCCTAAACTCATGGCCTCATGGAAGATGCCCCCTCAAAGACAGATTGTGACCTTCAGAAGCATTTTCCAAGACTTCAATCTTAAACTATCTTAAAAGAATACAAATTCAGGGGAAAAACATAAAACCCAAACTTTAAACTCCAAAATAACCTTCCACTCAGAATCAATATCATCCATCAAAGGTGAATTTCCTAAAGTTTACTTTATGATAGTTGTTTCTTTTTTTCTTCCCTTTATTTTCACTGGTATTTATGGCTGTTTGAAAATTTGCTAAGGAAGAACATCTAGCTTGTTTATGCCTATATTTTTAATGAACATTTGCAATGCCACTTTTGAGAATTTAGAATGTTTATATCACCATGAGTCAGAATTATTCGATTACATGATACTGTTATGGGCTGTAAGTTTGACTTTTGCTATGCTCAGATGTTCAATGAAGGTATGACCTATTTATTTCTATCATATTGATTTGACCTCTACAATAAGATCCCTAACCTCCATTGAAAAATGACAGGAGGAAAAACTGGATCTTGTTTCTTTGACACTAAGTCTTTACTTGAATGATTCAGGTGAAATGTTCAGTCTTTAGCATTTTGGACCCTCCCGTTGCTCCTATGCAAGTATATCCTTAGTAGTCCAGTCTGAAAAAGCATCAGAGAAGAACTCTGCTTGGCCAACCTCAATTCATATGCACCCTTTACATAAATAAAGTTGAGATAAGGAAGTAGAATTATGTAGGCATATGAAATGGCCCACTAGAATCTCATGAATAAAATAAGGGAAGAACCATTTCTCAGAAGTCAAGAAAAGAAAAAGTGGAGTAATTTGAGGATTTCGAGCCAATATATACACATTATAGTTGGGATGTGGAAAGAGCATTTGAAGTGGAAATCAGTAGAGTAGAAAGCAGTTAGAGGGACAAACACATCCTTAGGACTTAGAGAAGAAGAGTTATTAGAGGGCCTGTTTCTGGCCTCTTGCTCTGGGGAAATGTGTTATTGTGCAGATAGGATTTAACTAATTAACAAAGAGAGAGAGGAAGAGATGAAGAAAGGAAGGAAGAAAGAAGAAAAAAGACTGGGCAGTAGTATGAGCTCTGGAAGCACTTGTGTATTCATAAAGTCTGTGTGCTTCTCTTTGAGTGGTTTTCGTAGTCCTGTACTGTGAAACCCAACTGCCTCAACTTCATTCTTGAGGCAGTTCTCATCCCCCATAGGCTGTTTCCTGGCTGTATAATGCCTTCTCTTCCCCCAAAATGATCGCTCCAAGGTCAATCCAGTTTCTTTCTTAAAGCAGTAAAAAGCAGGAATAGAGCACTGTTTTTTCTTTTCTGCACCTCCCTACCCTCCCCCACCCACCCCCATATACACATAATGGAGCTTTCTTTTTCTGATATATTTGTCAAAACTTGTTAGGAGACAAAGTGGCCAACTAATGTGCTGTACAGTATAAATCACTGATACTTTTCTTTTTTTTTTTCTTTTTGAGACGGAGTCTTGCTTGCCCAGGCTGGAGTGCAAAGGTGCGATCTTGGCTCACTGCAACCTCTGTCTCCTGGGTTCAAGCGGTTCTCCTGCTTCAGCCTCCCAAGTAGCTGGGATTACAACTGCCTGCCACCATGCTCGGGCCTACCACCATGCTCGGCTAGTTTTTGTATTTTTAGTAGAGACGGGGTTTCACCATGTTGGCCAGGCTGGTCTCGAACTCCTGACCTCAGGTGATCCACCCACCTCGGCCTCCCAAAGTGCTGGGATTACAGGTGTGAGCCACCTCACCTGGCCTCTTTTTCCCTTTTTGAAAATACTTGCCTTTCAAAACAGGGGAAAGTATTAGACCAGAGAAGGGAGTTGTTGCCAGATGAATGTGGTAGAGCCTTAAACTCTGTGAATCAAAGATCCTGACGACTCTGTGTTTTCAATTTTGGCTGTATTTAATAATTTCCTACACCACCTAAAATCCCAAAATTAGAAAAAACACCATGTTAAAATAATTTTCTCCTGAAATATAAGTACACTGGGAAGATTAAGTAGAACTGACCAGAATTCATTTAAGCTTCAATGGAAATTAATTAATTTTCACTTTTTTACATGAGAATCAGCAGCCCTGCCTAATCAGTCTGTTCTCCTGTGCCCTGCTTTCTTGACACTTTCAACATCTTTGCTGAATGCTTGCTGGTTTCATAATGCCTGCCTGAAAATGTGATGACAAGAAGAGTTGGCACTCTCATATATTTTTGTTGGTATATAAATGGGTGTAGCCTTTTAGGAGTACAATTTTTAGAGTCTGATAAAATTTTTTTTGCATGAGGTTTTATTTTTTTAAACCAATTTTCCATCTACTTTATTTCATTTTTCTTTGGAGCAAATATATAATTTATTGCAATGAACATAGAAAGATTAAAATTGCATATTAAACATAATTGATATAAAAAGAATCCAACTAAGCAAATTATTTTTTAATAGACCAATAAAACTTCTATATATTTACAGTGTAGAACATGAGGTTTTAATATATGTATACATTGTGCAATGGCTCAATCAAGCTAATTATAATATGTATTACCTCACATACTTACCATTTATTGTGGTGAGAACATTTAAAATCTACTCTCTTACTGATTTCCAAGTACAGTATACAATACAGTTATTAACTGTAATCACCATGCTCTGCGATAGATCTTTGGAATTATTCTTTCTACCTAACAAATTTTGCTTCCTTTGACCAACACGCGCCCACCTCTCAATCTCCATCCAGCCCCTGGTAACATTCTACTACTCTCTGCTTCTATGACTTTTTTTAGATTCCATAATCTCCGTAAGTGAGATTATGCAGTGTTTGTCTTTCTGTGTCTGGTTTACTTCACTTAGCATGTCCTCTGGGATCATCCACATCATCTCATCACAAATGATAGGATTTCTTTATTTTTTAATACTTAATACCATTCCATTGTGTATAAATACCACATTTCTTTTTCCATTCATCCATTGATAGGCACATGGGTTGATTCTGTATTTTGGTTTTTGTGAATAATGCTACAATAGACATAGTAGTGCACATACTATATGTCTTTCACATTCAGATTTCATTTTCTTTAGATATATACCTACAAGTTAAATTGCCTGATCATATGGTAGTTTTATTTTTAATTTTTTGAGGAACCTCCATACTTGTTTTCATAGTTTTTATGCTAATTTACATTCTTACCAACTGTGTTACAAGGGTTTCCTTTTCTCCACATCCTCAGAAACATTTGTTATCTCTTGTCTCTTTGATAATAGCAATCCTAACAGCTGTGAGGTGACATCTCATTGTGGTCTTAATTTGCATTTGCCTGGTGATTATGTTCAGCATTTTTTTTTAAATACCTATGAGCCATTGGTATGTTTTGGGAAATTTATTTTCAGGTTCTTTGCCCATTTCTAAATCAGTTTATTTGTTTTCTTGCTTTTGAGTTGTTTGAATTCCCTATGTATTTTGAATTTTAACCCTTTATCAAATGTATGGTTCCTAAATATCTTCTCCCACTTTGTAGATTGTCTCTTCACTTCACTGTTTCTTATGCTGTGCATAAGTTTTTTAGTTTGATGCAATCCCATTTGTCTGTTTTTTCTTTTGTTGCCTATGCACATATCTGATCATACTTTCTGACTTAGGAAATCTATTGCTGGGAATTTACCATATATATATATATATACACATACACACACATATATATACCTATATACATATACGTACACATATACATATATATACATATATATACACATATACATACACATATACATATATATACATATATACACATATATGTGTGTGTGTATGTATATATATACACACTCATCAAAATATGCCAAGTTTTTAAGAGAAGTGTGGTTAATTCTGGGGTTTTTTCCCCCAATAGCATTATATGTAACTCTTAAAAACTACAATGTAGCTATCTTTTATCTAGAAAGTCAGTAAAATGCATTTTAAGGGGGATGATGATACAAGTTAGAGATTGAACATTGTTTTATTATTGTTTCTAATTTCTTAAATTATTTATTAAATGTATATACGTCTGTATATTTATTCTGGAATAGGAGTTTTT